>NW_025791756.1:314537-629074 GCF_000001405.40 Homo sapiens
TCTAGCTTAGGCGACAGAGTGAGACTACATCTCAAAATAAATAAATAAATAAATAAATAAATAAATAAATAAAATAATAATGTAATGAACTTTTTCATGTCTTTATATAATAAATATTACATTATTTAAATTGTTCAAAAGCATCAAAGATTCCTCTCTGCTATCAATTTCATTTCATTTATTTTATTGTACCAAACTACCAGGACCATTAATTTAATCTACAGCTAAATCTATTATTCTTTCATGTTAGAAATTCAACAAGAAAATTTTTCCCTAATGAAACCTCACATTTCAAGCATAAGGAGCCTGGGCGAGTTGGCTCACACCTGTAATCCCAGCACTTTGGGAGGCCGAGACAGGTGCATCACTTGAGGTCAGGAGTTAGAGACTAGCCTGGCAAACATGATGAAACCCTGTCTCTACTAAAAATATAAAAATTAGCTGGGCGTGGTGGCATGTGCCTGTAATCCCAGCTACTCTGGAGGCTGAGGCAGGGAAATAGCTTCAACCTGGGAGGCAGAGCTTGCAGTGAGCTGAGATGGCACCACTGCACTCTAGCCTGGGCTACAGAGCAAGACTCTGTCTCAAAAATAAATAAATAGATAAATAAGCATAAGTAGTAAAAAAATAACATAAATTTAAAAATAAGGCACAGGGTCTTGCTCTGTTATCCAGGCTAGAGTGCAGCGGGGCAATCATAGCTGACCAACTTGGAACTTCTGGGCTCAGGCAATCCTCCTGGCTCAGCTTGCCTTGTATTTTTTTAGAGACGAGGTCTTGCCCTGTTCCCCAGGCTGGTCTCCAACCGCTGGCCTAAAGCAATCCTTCCCCCTCAGCCTGTTGAGTTGCTGGGAGTACAGGTGCAAGACATGCAGCCTAGCATTGTAGTAAAACAATTTTCAACAAATTCTTAATTTTCTTTCCTTTTTTTTTTTTTTTGAGTTGGGAGTCTCATTCTGTCACTCAGGCTGGAGGGCAGTGGCACAATCATAGTTCACTGCAGCCTGAGATTACAGTCATGCATTATCATGCCCGGCCAACTTTAAAAAAATTAGCTAATACTTAAAAATTTGTAGAGACAGGGGTTTCACTGTGTTGCCCAGGCTGGTCTCCAACTCTTAAAGTGCTGGGACTGTAGCTATGAGCCACCATACCTGGCTTAATTTTCTTATTTTAATTTTATATAAATGATTATTATTGTTCCTAAGATAATTGGGGCAGTGACTCCTTTACAATTGTAGAGATCTAATTTGTCTATTCACTTCACTGAAAGAGTATGCCAATTTGTTTCATGAGAAAATATCCTATATTTATAAAGCAGGAAAATTCCTTCCACCAAACTAGGGTGCATTCTAAAGAAATGAATTGTGCTAAGTAACATCACTTAAAGTGAAAACAGAGGCAATGGTATCTATTAACAATGTTTATCAGTGAAGGAAATAAACTGAAAAGATGAACATCATTAGATCCTTGGAGGGCCTTCATTGCTGAAAATCTGAGTAACAGTGTGATACTCTTTTGAGTCTGGCAGGACATTCTCTTTCCAGGGCATGCAACAGTGGGTGAATAATTTCTTTTCATTCATTTCCATTAAGGGCTGAACTTCCTTAATGTTCTGGAGATTATTAAATTTGATTTGTATAGTTGTGAAAAGTACTCATATTGCTGATTCCATTGCTTATATGTGATCATATAAATCTTTTCTCTTTTGGTAGTGTGGTTTAAACTTAATCCTTAAAGGGCATGTATTTGAATTTTTCAGCTGGTTAGAAACCTGAATATACCAATCAAATAAAACTGCTCCTTACATGCTACAGATTTAGTTTTCTTCCTGTACTAAGATGTCTTTTAGATACAGTAAATTTGTTAAAGCCAAGAGCCCCTATGAAACGAAGTTGGGTGGGAGGGGGGACATTGAGTAGTAAGATCACTCTTGTAACAGAGATGCCACTCTTGCAGATATTGACAACAATTGGGCCTATAAAATTTTTACCAAACATTGGAAAGACAAGATCTGAACAACTTATCATTGCTGCAGTCTCAAATATCAGGAAATATCATTATTCTCAGGACAATAAATAGACAATAAAGAAGACTCACAGACCAGATTAGCTGCCATGTATCACCAAACAGGGACTGGATCCTTGTCAACACGACCCAACAGAGATTGTCCCCAGAAATTCACTTCATAACCTCAAAACCAAAAACCCACACTGATGGCAAAAAACAATGATGCAAAGAATGAGAGAGAGAGAGAGAGAGAGAGAGAGAGAGAGAGAGAGAGAGAGAGAGAGAGACCTGTCCTATAGCCATACTCAGTGGGTAAAAGCCAAAGAGCTCAATTTCTGCTCATGATACTTAATAGAACATAGGGAACATGAGCCAATAGCTCAATGGGTTCAGATCTGCACCAAGTGCCTGTTGGACGCAGGATTCTACTGTCTCCAATAATATGTCTCAGATGCACTATTTTTTTTTCTTTTTTTGAGACAGAGTCTTACTCTGTTGCCCAGGCTGCGGTGCAATGGCGCGATCTCGGCTCACAGTAACCTCCACCTCCCGGGTTCAAGTGATTCTCCTGCCTCAGCCTCCCGAGTAGTTGGGATTACAGACAGACACCACTGCACCAGGCAATTATTATTATTATCATTATTATTATTATTGTGCGTTTGTATGTGTTTTTAGTAGAGATGGAGTTTTGCCATGTTGGACAGGCTGGTCTTGAACTCCTGACCTCAGCTGATCAAAAGTAGGTGAGGTCAGAAAACATACCCTGGGAGAGGCTGGCACAATGCCCAGAACCGCCATCGCTAGGCCTGGGGTTTTCCTCTGTAGTGGAATACTAGTATTCATGTAGTGCAGGGACAAAACCAATTAGATAGTTCTGGGAGTTAAAAAGAGATGATTTACAGTGCTATTTGAGAAGGGGTATTAAGGAATTTGCCAGGGCACTGACGCGTGTCAGGTGTAAACCTCAGGTTGAGAGAGAGCTAAGTATTTTCTGTCCATGAAGGTGATAAGTGAGGGCCTGAAGAAAGAGGGACTGGGGAGGACACTGGCACCAGAAATAGGAAAGGGCTTCTTGGGGGTGGGAAGGATGGGTCACGGTGCTATCTATAAAGTTGGCTGGCAGTGGATGTAGGATGTGGGAGTGAGACATCAAACATGAAGCAGTCGCTTAAAGTCTGAAGAAAGACTAGATATATGAACTGCAGGAGATAGTAGGGAAACTGGACCGGCTCCTCATAAAACTTCCCGCCTTCTATCTCCGGGAGGATCGCAGGGCATTTCCGCCAAGACAGGTGAGACTGCGGTTCTGACCTGCGGGCCTCCGTGCATATGCGCTAGGGCACCTGGGGGCCGGCAGAGCCGTTCCCCTACGCAAAGTAAGAGTGTTATGTCTACAACCCAACGTGGACACTGAGAGCCCCAAAGGCCCTGCTTTCTTCCCAGAGAACTGCCCATCTGCATAATTTCTACCTGGCTCTATGAGGTGAGAACACATTCCCCGCTAGCACAGAAATCCTACAAACTCCTGTGGGGGCTGCGCTTCGAAGCAGAGGCTGTGTAAGAGGTGACTGGGGGGTAGGGAAAAACACGAAGATTTTCACACAGGGTGAGAACCCAAGAGACTGGAGACCACGGACCAATCCCTGCAAAAAGCAGCCAGGGTAGAAAGGGAAGAGCTGAGCGGACTTCACGATAGCTAATTTGTGTTACAAAGCCGATACGGCTGATGCTCGTTTTTTCTCCTATGGCATGCAGGCGACATGTTACTTCCTATTCCCATAAACCCTCCACTGTAGGATTAACACCTAAGACACCAACCAAGACAAAAAAAGATATGACCCTTGGTGTACAGTCTGTTTTTGAAACTCCAGAAAGTCAGGGGAAAGCGCGAACGCAGTCCCCCACTACCACAAATTATGCAGTCGAGTTTCCCACATTTGGGGAAATCGCAGGGGTCAGCACATCCGGAGTGCAATGGATAAGCCTCGCTCTGGGAAAACCACCTTCGTGATCATGGTATCTCCCCTGCCAGG
Organism: Homo sapiens; assembly: GCF_000001405.40. Classification (NCBI taxonomy): domain Eukaryota; kingdom Metazoa; phylum Chordata; class Mammalia; order Primates; family Hominidae; genus Homo; species Homo sapiens. The sequence continues at coordinate 318,581 of NW_025791756.1, forward strand.
TAAGTATGAAACCTTGTGCCTCTGCCCCGACACAGCCTCATACGCCTCACTCTTTACACACACGGTCACTTGCCCCGCGCACTCCCGAGCCCTTTCCAGCCCTGACACACAGCTGGGATTCTCACTTCCGATCAGCGGTCCTGAACCCGCTCCCAGGGCACGGGAACTCCCTTCGTGGCGAAGCAGCAAGTGGCGAAGCAGCAGCCTCTGCGCTGCCTCATCTACATAGAAGTCGCCCTGTCCGTGATGTCACCGACAGTGCCTTGCCCAGTCCCCGTCTGCCTTTCTGCCACTCAACCGACCAATCTGCTGCCAGAGTCGCCAAGGGGAAGTGACGTCTGCCTCTCCCTTTTTCCCTCCCGCCCCTGCGTCTGTTCTCTCCCAAAGAAGCTGGTCCTTAGCCTGTGTTAAGGAGCAACCTTTCGGTGGCCAGATGGAGCCGGGGCATCCTTCTTCAAATAATGGCTTTTAATTCGCAGACTAGAATGTTTCGGATTACAAAAGAAACCGGTTCTCTTCACATCCTTATCCTTGTGATGCAGCATTCCGCTTGCATTTGGAAGCCGTTTAATATCAGAGAGAAGCCATATTTATGAAAGTAAAGAGGCTGCTCAGATGACTGCAAACCAGCCTTCCTTACTGGTTTTATCACTGGTAATGTTATAAAGACAGTTGTCCAGTTTCATGAATCTTGTAGGTTTTTTTTTTTGATGTTGTTTTTTTTTCAAAAATCCGTATTGTAGAAAAATATGCTGTCCCAGAAGAGATGATTGGACACTCTCAAGCGTGGTGCTGGACTTTGTCATCTCTTGCACAGCCATCTCCACACCTTAGTGCTTACCTCATGTTAGTTTTTTATATTCTGCAAAGACGAAACCAAAATAATCCAAATTTGACACAAATACCTGGGCTACATCTTATTTGAGATGTTTAACAAATGTCTGGATCATCTTTTCTTATATATTACGCAGGAAACACTGTGAAGTAAGCAAAGTTGGAATGCCCAAGTGAAAGACCATTTGAATATTTACAAGTAGATTTCAGACAGGAATACTACAGGGTGGTCACAGGATAACAAATTCTAGGCAGCAGATTTACATGACTTGAGGCTGTGGGCTGTTAAGACGCTGAAAAACCAGGGTGTGGACCAAGCTGGCTAAGGCTGAGTGGACCCAACATGGTGCTGGATTGGATGGAGGTTTTACCTAGGCCCTCATTATATGCTCATTAACATACTAAATCACACACCCGCCAGTGCCATGACAGTTCTGAGACCAGTGTTTGATGTAAAAATGGCACCACAGTTCCAAGAAATCTCCACCTTTACCCAGGAATTTTCGTGAACATTCCACTCCTTGGTTAAAGAAACCCATCAAGATGAAACCCCAGAACCCATTATTCTCTCTTGGGTATGCCCAAGCTCCCCTTTCTTGAGAGTGTACTTTTTGCTTTGCAATAAATCTCTTCTTTCACTATCTGCTGACTCATCTTTGACTTTGTTCTCGCGATGGTGTCAAGAGCCTGGACACCACGGCTGGGGTCGAGATCCCACCAGTGTCCAGGGACCTCCCCCAGCCCACCAGTATCAGATTCTATTCCATTGCTCAAATCACAAAACATCGAGTGGAGAGTTCTCTTTGGAGACCGTAAAGTAAAGATTCTGTGGCATGGTGGCCAGTTAGGCCACTGGAAGCATGGCAAAATATTGAAAATGAGGGATTGGGTGACAGTGTAGTAACTGCTGAATACTAAATACTTGATCCAGGCCCCATTCCCTGGAGATTGACAGGGAGACACATTGTCCAGGTAGTAGTGGAGAAATGCTTTCTGGGTATCTGACCAGCCTTTGTGGAAAGAACTGGCACCATCCTGCAGATGTAACCACCTGATGGGTTCTTCCTGACCAATGTACACAAAAATTCAATTCATGGAGACCATGGCACTGCAGGCAAGAGTTTCATTGACACAGGCCAGCCACGACATGTGGGAGACAGAGTTATTACTCAAAGCAATCTCACTGAAGGCTTGGAGGTAAGGGGTTTTTCAAAGATAGTTTGGTGGGGAGGGGGCTAGGGCTTGCGTGGTGCTGATTGTTGGGGATGAAATCACAGGGGTGTGGAAAATGGCCCTTCTGCATGGAGTCAGCTTCTGGGTGGGGGCTAAGGGACTGGTTGATTTTTGGGCCAGATGGTGTCATCCAGCAGTCAGAAATGCAAAAGCCTGAAAAGACATCTCAAGAGGCCAATCTTAGGTTCTACAATAGTGATGTTCTTCACAGCAGTAATTGGGGAAGCTGCCAATCTTGTGACTTCTGGAATAATGGCTGGTAATTATTTAACGAGGCATACATCTTAGTAGAAATCAGGCCCCTTTCATCCTTCTAACTTGGTGGCCTTTCATTCATTTTACAGGGGTAATTTAGTTTTGGGGAAGGTTATCATTTAAAGCAGCCTTTTTGGCTGTCCTCAACCTTTTTGTCACCAGGGACTGGTTTCATGGAAGACAATTTTTCCATGGAAGGGGGTGGTGGATGTTTTCCAGATGAAACTGTTCCACCTCAGGTCATCAGGCATCAGTTACAGTCTCATAAGGAGTGCGCAATCTGGATCACTCACATGAGCAGTTCCCAATAGGGTCCGAGCTCTGACGAGCAGCTAATGCTCATGCTGATCTGACAAGAGGCAGAGCTCAGGTGGTAATGCTCGAAAGCCTGCAGCTCACCTCCTGCTGTTCAGCTGGGTTCCTAACAGGCCATGGACCAGTACCTGTCTTATGGCCCTGGGGATTGGGGAGTCCTGATTTAAACTATAAACTCAATTTTTCCCAAAGATAGCTTGGGAGAAATTGCACAGGAATGAGCAAAGACAGCAAGCCTGTGAGGCTAGAACCAAGATGGAGTCAGCCATGTCAGCTTTCTCTTGTTGTCATAATTTTGCAAAGGTAGTTTCTGAGGGGCTGCACTGGACACTTCTTAAAAACATGAGACAGATGTTATTGTATTTACTACAGTAGGCAAGAGAGACCAGCAGAGAACTGGGCTCAACCTCGAATACAGCAGGAGGAGTTGAAGATTATAGCCAATTGGCAAGATAAGAAAGTCAGTGGATGGAAAATTACTAAGAGGAACTTGATTAGCTATCAAAGGTGGTTGCGAGGACTCTTGCTAAACTAGACTCAACAGTATTCTTTCCTAAAACTGGACTTGGCAGGCAAAGAAATAACAGAGAAAAGGGCTCAGAGGAAACTACTAAGGTTTGGTCAAAGACTAGAGTCCTTGTCAACTCTACATTGAAGCTTCTGCAAATAAACAAAGACCAACCAAATGAAAAAAAGCAAAAGCTATTTATTCTGAGCTTGCTATAGCAGGGAGTCAGTCACTGTTATTTGTGTTTTGGCAGAGACTTGAAGGCAGTCATAAAGGTGGGAAAGCTTTTTAAAAAGAAAGGCTTCAGGGGCCGGGCACGGTGGCTCACACACATAATCTCAGCACTTCGGGAGGCCCAGGTGGGTGGTCATGAGGTCAGGAGATCAAACCATCCTGACTAACATGGTGAAACCCCATCTCTACTAAAAAATTTACAAACAATTAGCCAGGTGTGGTGGCAGGCACCAGTAGTCCCAGCTACTCTGGAGGCTGAGGCAGGAGAATGGCGTGAACCTGGGAGGCGAATCTTGCAGTGAGCCAAGATTACACCACTGCACTCTAGCCTGGGTGACAGAGCGAGACTGTGTCTCAAACAAACACACAAACAAACAAACAAACAAAAAAACAAAGAAAAGCTTCAGGTATGCTTGGATTGGAGGCTGTCAGCATGGTGAAGCTGTTGATAGATGAAGAAAATCAAAGTATTTTACCCCAGAATATATTTCTTTGGCATATTTTAAGATGGCTGTCAGAGAGCCAGCAAACAGAAGGAACTCTGCAAAACTGTCTTTTGTAGGGGAAATTTACACCTGCAGAGAATCTGCATTAATCCAGCTTTATCTTGTCAGGTTTGAGAAATAAAAATAAGCCCTAGGCCCTACAACCAACTGAATGGACTCCCTCTTGGCTGACAGGACCACAGAGAAACCTCGAAAGCAGTTTCTGGATGTGGCAGGCTAGGAGGTTGGACATGCCACCTCAAAACCCTCCCCTCACTAACTGCCATTATGATGCAGGAGAACAGCAGAGGGAATTGGAAGTTGGATAAAAGGCAGAGTGAGTGAAAGCAGAGAAAGAAGCAAGGTGATGGGGTGGGAGAGCAAGAAGCAAGATATAAGGCAGAAGTTGAGCAGCCAAAACAAAAAGTAAGATTTAAAAAAGCAAGCAAGGCTGGGCACGGTGGCTCATGCCTGTAATCCCAGCACTTTGGGAGGCCAAGGCAGGCAGATCACCTGAGGTCAGGAGTTTGAGACCAGCCTGGCCAACATGGCGAAACCCCATCTCTACTAAAAATACAAAAAATTAGCTGGGCGTGGTGGTGCACTCCTGTACTCCCAGCTACTTGGGAGGCTGAGACAGGAGCATCGCTTGAACCCGGGAGGCGGAGGTTGCAGTGAGCCGAGATTGCACCACTACACTCCAGACTGTGCAACAGAGCGAGACTCTGTCTCAAAAAAAAAAAAAAAAAGAAAAGCAAGCCAGGACCCCATGGCCGGCGAGATCCAAACCAGTAAAGGGGCAGCTCCTCAGAGATAGGCATGTGCATTAGAGAAAAAAAGTATCCTTAACATGACTCCATATGATAATCAGCTCATTAAAACTCATGCATATGGACTGCATATCATGCATGTACTTAAAATTATGGGATGGAGGCAATGTGCAAGCACACAAGGGCCAAAATAACTAAGCAACCCACCTATCAATCAAAAGGCAAACACTGGCTAACGATTAGGCATCCTTGGGAAGAGAAGAGAAAGAAACACACATAAAAAGACCCAACGTACACCAAACTAATACTGATCTCACATCCCAGAGATCAGCCCACTCTCCCCACTCTGAGACTGTTACTGTGCTTAATAAATTTTGCTTTGCTTTGCTGCTTTGTGTGTGTCATGTACAGTTCTTTGTTTGGGACACCAAGAGCCTGGAAATGCACGGCACCATCTGGCAAGAATTAGGATTTTTTTTCCTAAGGGTTAACAATCCAAGCCTTTGGAGAGACTTGCTTCACTGCTGTTATCAACCAACAGCCTGATGCTTTCCCTCCCTTTTGTGGTTTTGACAAAACAAGCAAGCAGCATTCCCTCCTGATAAGAGACCACCGACCTAGGAATGATTCTGGCCAGACTACAGAGGATGTACAGTGAGGGTTTTCATGTCCATTGCCTCAGATTTTGACGTCAGAGGGCCACAAACTCCACTCTCAGATGATTGCTAACGCCACCATTTTATGAACATGAGCCCCATGGAGAGGCACGCAGCTCAACTGCACATCTGCACATTTTTCCTCTTATAAACATTCATATTGGAATATTATTTGGTACTGCTCCCGTGAAAGATACATTTGCAGAATGGACTCAGATTAGAAGCATTATACAAGCACTATAATGTAGCAATGGCACATCCAGCTCTCTACACTATAGAAATGTCTGCAGGGTAAACATTTCCACAATGACCAAAGATATCTGTACAGGACTGGTGACTGCAGCATTCTTTGTAATCCTAAAACTATGAAACTAAAGTCATCTCAAAAACATTTTGTTTTTTTGAGATGGAGTCTCGCTCTGATACCCAGGCTGGAGTGCAGCGGTGTGATCTCAGCTCACTGCAGCCTCCACCTCCCAAGTTCAAACGATTTTCCTGCCTCAGCCTCCCGAGTAGCTGGGATTACAGGTGCATGCCACCATACCTGGCTAACAAAAACATTTTGAAAAGGGTTAAATAAATCATGCATAAACTGAGGAAAAATACTATTTTCAAAAATGATGGAGAGAATCACTTTCATGATGAATGATTCCACTGGTCACATTATTGATAGAGCAATCAGGAAACCCAGGCACATCCTGGAGGTAATACTGGACTCCTATTACTAAAATATGAAAAAATGGAGACACGTAAATACTCGTTTAAGCGTATAACGGACTGAATTAGAATTTTATCACATCAGAAGTGGGTTCCTAGGTCTCTGTTTCAGGATTCCTTAGTGACACAGGTGTAAACCCGGCATTTCAGGAGATAGCCGGCTAAGAATCTGGTCGGGGAGGTGGGCGGCCCTTGACATGGATCTGTCATAAATTAGTGGCTTGAGACTTTGGGAAGATAAAATCTTCCCCATTTATCTAGTGATTGACATTGCGTGAATGCTTCAAAAGTTCCAATAAGCGTCCCTGGGTGGGCTCGAACCACCAACCTTTCAGTTAACAGCCGAACGCGCTAACCGATTGCGCCACAGAGACAAGCGCTTCCAACTCTACTGGGCATCTAGGAAGGGCCCACTCACTGAACTTCCTCCGTTCCGTCTATTCTCAGGGCCCACCGGGCAGGACCACTGAGCAAGGCCTTGGAAAACCAGAGAGATTAGAGCGGTGAGTCGCGCCGGTCACGTTGGACGCCTGCGTGTTAGGAGATTCTGGAGCCAGAAGAACAGCAGAATTGCCTTCGCCCGCCCTGCCCCTCGCCTGCTGCAGAAGCTTCCAGAAACTCCCTGGTGGGCGACCCAGCCCGAGCTGCCTGGGGCCCCAAGGGAAGCTGAACGCCCTGTGGGCTCCTGGGTTGGTTCTTCCCGTTCTTTGCGCCGCCTTCACCCATTGAAGGAGCCTGTGCCCACCCTGCCCAGTCGCTTTCCGGGCCGCTGAGGAGCTTCCGCTGCCATCTTCGGATCCTGTGTTCCGCACGGGGGCTCCACCAGGGCAGGGATGGTGGTGAGGGTCGCTCGTGGGTCCCCTCGCGGGGAGCAGGGTCTGGTACTCACCAGGGCGCACGACTAGGACTTGTGGAATGAATTCATCGTCGCCTTTAGCTTTTAGTCCTTTGAAGAGCCCTGAGAGTGGAAATCAAGAGATTTTTTCCACGGGGAAGTTCTTTTTACAAAGCGTTGATTTCTCGGCACCCGGCAGGGAGGGCAACTGGCAGGGCCTCTGGCGCACCTTCTGCGCGGTGGAGCCACGGGGGCTCAGCTGGGCGGTGGTGCGGCCGTGGGGTGGTAGGTCAAGAGCTGGGAAAGGAAAAAGCAAAAGCTGGGAAAGAAGCCGGGGAGCGGTGGACCAGACATCCAGACCTCCTGAAAGGCTCATGAAGGGGCACAGGCAGGATCTTCTGGAAGTGAGAATTGTTTTGTTTGTTTGTTTGTTTGTTTATTGTAGTAGAATGGGGAAATGGAGAGAGAACCTGAAAGAGCCCCAAACTCGAGGACCTATTGCTCCCCAAGAATAACATCTTCCAGAAGAACTAGACAGAAAACTAGGCGTCTGGGAACTCTGAAATCCTTGGAGGAGTAGCATCATCATGACCCTCTGTGTTCCTTTTGGCAAAGGACTTGCTCCCATTGTTTGCTTGTTCAATTGTCTGTCCGTTAAATAAATAAAACCCTTTTCCTATATCTTTAAAATTACGTTGGTTTTATCATTTTATGATTACAAGTAATGCTGCAGTCATCATTCTTGTACACTCTCATTGGCCACTGGTGTATTTCTATAGGGTGGAGGCCTGGAGAGTAGTTGTTCCAGCATAGTGTTTACATAGCTTTTATTTCATTCCGTTTTCTTTCCTTTGTTGCTTTATTAGCTATAACCGTTTTCTTATTTCAGAGGCTGCTTTAGGGTTTCCGGAATACATCTTTAATTTATCATAGTCTGCTTTCTAGTGTCATTATGCCTCCCTTTCTGGCCTTTATCCTAGTGTTATGTATCTTTACTTTATGCACTATAACCTTTGTGATTCATTATTATTACTTTTATTTATTACGTCAAATATTTTTTGAAAGATTTAAATTATAAGAAAACGTGTAGTACATGCTTTCTAAATGCCATTTCCAATATTCGTTTCTTTGTGTAGGACCACATTTTTATCTGGTATCCTTTTGCTTCTGCCTGGAGGACGCAAGATTTCTTGTAGCGTGGGTTGGTGAATTCTTTTAGCTTCCGTATGTTTTTCAATGTTCTTATTTCACTCACAGTTTTGAAATTTTATTTTTGCATAGAATTCTAGGTTAACTTTTTTTCTCTAGGTACTTTAAAAATGTTGCCATTTATGAAGCATTGTCATTTAAAATATCATCTTTCTTTCCTATGTTTGTAAATATGGCGTAAAGCCGGTTTCTTGTGCTGGTTATACAATTTTCAGAATGTGTATTTAAATTTAAAATATTAAATTGTACTAAAAAACTAAAAATATTAATCATGAATGTCCTAGATTCATCTTAAGTTCCAACAGTGCACTTAAAATGTGCCCAACCTGAGGGTCAAACCTACCTGCTGATGTGGAATTTGTGTTTGTGAGACATTCTCAACAGCATTTGCTTTCCCCAGCCTAGTGATTTTCCTCACATCTGAATGTCTTCATTGCAAAAGGAAACGTTTTTCTTTGCAAAAATACTTTAAAATATTCTTACTTCAAGTAGGTGTACTAAAAACAAATTTCTCAGTTGCATCCCTGAAATCCATCGAAAGCCCGGGAGAGACAATCAAGTGCTTCAGGACCAAGAGTGAAACAGGAGAGGACAAAGCAGGGCTTCTTCACTAGGAGTCAAGCCAAAGTCAACTGATTTGGTCTCCAATGGAGAACGGAACTCGGTTCACCAGCAACGTGAGGACGTGGCCCAGAGGAGACGGAGTTTCCCTTCATGGTGCCTTCAGATAGGAAATCTAGGATTTTCTTTCTTTCCCTTTGATCTACTTCCAACTCTCCCTTTCTGTTTCTTCAAGATCTTTTTCGGATCCCTGGGTGCGAAGGACATAAGGGGCCAGTGCCCTTCCCTACTGGTCCCTCCTTGACTGGGTGTCTTTGGAGCCCAAGCTCACCCGGAACATTACTGCCCGCTGCAGACAGTGAGAGGACAAAGGAGGGCGGTGGGTGCAGTGGGAACCACAGAGTCACCGTGCACCTGCGCCCGTGGGCTCCTAGCAAATTGAATAAATGCCCCCTGAAGCTTCTCTGCAGGTCAGAGGGAAGGGGAGGGTGGCTGCCGACCTGGCGGGAGAAGCTTCAAGAAACATCGGGAGGACTTGGCCCTGCCCCTGGGCCTTGAAGACAGGCCTGGCCAGGCTGATTTTGATGGGTAGGCCCAAAGAAAAGGTTCGAGGGCAGCCCAAACCCCGACCCCGAGATTAAGGCTCTTAAGTGTCTGACAGTTTTGAGAATCGTCAGTAGAATCGATCCTGCCTGTATCAGGAGACTTCTTTGCCAAAATTCAGAGACCAAGAAAGAGAAAGATTGGGCAGATCAAAATCTGTCATTAACCAAACAGGAAACATAAGTTTTCTGACAAATTGAATGTGTGCTGTGAGAAAAAGACTAGCCTCAAGGAGAACCTGGTTTTTTGGCTTGAGTGTAGGGAAGAATGGAGTTGCCACCAACAATGGTGCGTTGAAACGGCAGGTGCATCAGGCTGTAGATGTGAAGGAATTAAAAATATTTTACCCCAAACTACATTTCTTTGACATATTTTGAGATGTCTGTTCAGAAAGCCAGCTGCAGAAGTAGCCCTGCAAAGTTGTCTTTTGTTGGGGAGATTTGCATCTGTAGGGAATCTGCATTGATACAGCCAAGTCTTTCCTTGTCCAGATCTAGGAAAGATGAACTGAGAGTCTGACACCTGTAAAGGTCTGAAAGAAACTTTTAGGGTTTATTCTCTCTGAGAGCTGCTACCTGTAAGGTTTCATTTACATATTAAGACCACCTTTGCTAGCCGAGCCTCATTTTCTCTCCCTGCCATCACTTATCTTGTCCACAATAAATGGATATACCTCTGACTCTGATTGCACCTGGTTTTGGCCATGCTTTGAGCCCTCATTCATTCTGTTATCTCGAGATGGTATATAAGCTTCTGCATCCCATTGTGGGTAGGGGAGGGTAATCACTCTGTGACTCTCCCCATGCACATGTTAGTACATTTTATGCCTTTTCTCCAATTAATCTGCCTTTTGTGACTTGATTTTTGAGTGAAACTTCAGAGAGTTAAGAGGGAGGGTTTCCATTGGCCCCTACAGTTTTGGAGCTGTAAACAGGATAGGAAAGCTCTGCTCTTCTGGAAGCTGCAGTGAAGAACCCAGGATATGATCAGCTATCATAAGGGTAAGAATTTTTTTACCAGCCAGGCTCCTGGCCTCCTTCTCTGTGTGGAATCTCATCAAGTGGATGGTAAAAATCACTGTTTCTTTCTTTTCCCTCTCCAAAATCTTGATTAATTGGAGAAAAGGATTTGTGTGACTAGTCTTGGGTGTAGTGACTCTGGTGTGCTTTTTGGTACTTTGTGGTACCAATTCCTATTGTTTAATCCCTTTCTTCCCAGAAATTGTCTGTTCCTTTGTCTTTGTCTCTATGTGTTATTCTGTCATAAAAGGGGGTACTGGTTGAGGTTCCTTCTCATCTTATTTTATGTCCTTGAGAGCTTGACTTGTGACCAAGTGGAAGCGCTTTCTCTTGGTTTCCACTATCTGGAAAGAGGCGGTAACTTTCAGGTCATACTAGGTGGCCTGTCTGAAAATGGCTGGGAACCCCAGCACACTTTTTGTTCTGACCATGACAAGCTCTTGGGGTTTGTCTTAAGAAGTCCCATCCCTTTGAGGCTTTTGTCATCTCAATTCTTGTTGCCTGGTTAGTTCTAGGAAAGCTCAATCCCAAGATGGCCTACCTGGTATCATGGATTCACAGGTCTGTGACTGGAAGTCCCCATAAATTTGTGGGTTGCTGGAGGCAAACATCATCCTTACCCATCTGTGGTCTACTCTACTAAAAATACAAAAATTAGCCAGGTGTGATGGCATGCGCCTATAGGCCCAGCTACTCGGGAGGCTGAGGCAGGAGAGTCATTTGAACCCAGGAGGCGGAGGTTGCAGTGAGCCAAGATTGTGCCACTGCACACTAGCCTGGGTGACAGAGCAAGACTCTATCTCAAAAAAAAAAAAAAAAAAGAAAGAAAGAAAAGATTTAAGAGAACAATTATTTTAATTGAATACATTTTGTCAAGATTAACTCAACTTTCCCCTAGAGTAGTGAAAGAATAAGCAATCGTAATTTAGATTCTAAGTTACTGGTCTTTGAGAAAGTGTGAAAACCAAAAAGGTGCCATAAGTCAAAAAGAGCAAAAGTCCTAATTTTCAAACTGATGAAAATAAAGTACTAAAAAATTGAAATCATCATAGTTCATCTTGGTCCTTGGCAAAATACAAATGTATTGATTCAAATTATAATATCTTAGCTACCCTATTGTGCGTAGCTCTTACCACTGAGGAGAAAAACCAAACCCAAACAAAAGTGTGTTCAAGTTGGCAACAATGTTTACAAACCTGCAAAATCTCTTCAGCCTATCCCTTAAACTCCAGACTTGGTATTTACTAAGCTCTGTGGTGTACAATACCCACCTTAATATCCATTCTTGCACAAGTTCTGTTAGGTATAAGCCAAGATGACATGAGATTTTTTTTTTTTTTTTTTTTTTTTTTACCCTCTCATGCCTATGTTTGCTTTTGCTTCCACAGACCCTTCTGAGTAAGGACTATCCTCAGACTACTGGAGGCACTTAGTCACAAGCTTGCCTGAGGCTCAGAGCTGGCAATACCTGGGAGTTTATGTCAATCCCACAGCACCCAGCAACCCTGCCTGCAAAATATTTACCCATGATTGACAGGTGCAGGTGTATGAAAGCCCAGCTCCTTGACTTGAGGGGCACCTTTGTGGTGAATTAGGTTTGGCAAAAGGGAATCCAGAGGCCAACTTTGTAAAAATGCAGATAGATAAATAGAAAGAAATCTTTGCCTTGGAAGTCCAGTTGAGAAAGAGAGTGATTTACTTGAGACTCTGAAAACAGAGACTAAAATCTGTACTTTTTCATGGGAAAGAAGCCTATGGTGAAAGAGAAACAAAGAGAAAGGTAGGAAATAGGGTGGGTCTACTCCGTAGCTTTAAACCACTCTGTCATATTATAAAGCCCGGTGAGGTTTTAACTAACACAAGTGCCTGGACTCTACACATAGAGATTCTGATTTAAACGCTTCCAGGTGGGTGGAAGCCACTAGTAGTCTTAAAACACTCCCAAGTAATTTTACCATGTGGCTAGAGATGAAAAGGACAATCTATCTACTAGAATCTCAAGTAACCATTATTGAAGTGCCCCAAATGTGCAGCTACCTCATAGAAAAGGCTTAACACCACCCTTTGATGGAATTTCCCTTCCTCTCTCCATGGTCTTGTCTGCATAGCATGGAAAATAGAGAAGAGATAAAGAGGTAGATGGAGAGGTTGAACCTGTAATTTGCCTATGTAGAGCAGTTTCTCAAACTTTTCTGACCACAAGATGCAGTGAGAAATATACAATTCTTTGTGATCAGTTTTTTTTTTTTTTTTTTTTTTTTTTTTGAGATGGAGTCTTGCTCCGTTGCCCAGGCTGGAGTGCATTGGAATGATCTCGGCTCACTACAAGCCCCACCCTCCTGGGTTCACACCATTCTCCTGCCTTAGCGTCCTGAGTAGGTGGGACTACAGGCACCCACCACCATGCCCAGCTAATTTTTTTTTTTTTTGTATTTTTATTAGAGACGGGGTTTCACCGTGTTAGCCAGGATGGTCTCAATCTCCTGACCTCGTGATCCACCCGCCTCGGCCTCCCAAAGTGCTGGGATTACAGGCGTGAGCCACTGCGCCTGGCCTGTGATCAGTTTTTAAAAAATCTTTTACTATGTGTAATCCACCCTACCTAGAATTTAAATAAAGCCTGCAGTAGTAAGCAGTCGACTATATTGATTTCACAACCCCTAAGTGGTTCAGAATTGCAATTAGAAAATTTTTCCTTTTGGCCAGGTGTGGTGGCTGGAGCCTGTAATCCCAGCACTTTGGGAGGATCACTTGAGGTCGGGAGTTTGAGACCAGCCTGACCAAGATGGAGGAACCCCGTCTCTACTAAAAAAAAAAAAAAAAAAAAATTAGCTGGGCGTGGTGGTGCATGCCTGTAATCACACCTACTTGGGAGGCTGAGGCAGGAGAATTGCTTGAACCCCAGGGGCTGGAGGTTGTGGTGAGCTGAGATTGCACCATTGCACTCCAGCCTGGGAAACAAGAGTGAAACTGTCTAAAAAAAAAAAAGAAAATAAATAAATTTTTACTTTTGCTCTGCCTTTTTATCAAGCAAAATCCCAAAAGAACATTTACTATAAACATCTTTCTGTGAATCCTTATTTCTGTCCCAGCCACCATGACCCAATAATCTCTAGAGCCTGTTAGTGTTCTCCAGATTGAAGCCTTCCCTCTAACTGCTCCTAAACTCTGTGATGTAGTGGAAAAGTTTTGAGGCCTCGATTCTCATCCCAGGTTTTTCACCTACAGATCATACGGCCTTAGCCTCTTGACACCATTGTCTCCTTATGGCCAAAGATGGAACTGTACTTGGGTGGTATCTGAGCACCCTGTTGGCTTTGACATTCTAGGGCTCTTCCCTTGGCACCACTCTCTTATTTAAAAGGAACAGGATGTGGACTTAGGAGGGTTATTTCTCTGCAAACTATCCTCTCTTTCTTATGACAAGCTATTTCTGAATGTGCACATTTGAGGCTAAGCAAATTCCTTCCTGGGAGGTTGAAAGACCCTTATTTCTCTCCAGAGGAGTATTATGGAGAGTCAATTGATGCTGAGGAGGTGGTAGAGACCTAGTGAACTCATCTGCAGTGGCTTTGAGCAAGGCTTTTAGAATCATAAGGTGGGTGGGGTCCTGTGTCCTACACCACAGGCCAGCTAGTTCATTTCAGGAGACTTTTTTTTCAATCTATTATTACTATCTTCTTCTAGACTGTAGTTCACTACTGGAGATTATCCACTTAGTTACACTCAGTTTGCACCTGGCCTGTATCACCAGTCAGCTCTCACTCCAGCCTCAGGTATCAGCAAGACCTCACCAAAGATTATTGTTTAATTTTGTGTGTGTGTGTTTTTGTTTGTTTCGGGTAACAACTAATGTTGGAACTATGAAAAGCTCTTCTCTACTTTTAACAAAGCTTAGTCACAAACAGTTCCCCAGTTGATGAGAAAAACTAAAACAACAGAACAATTGAAAGTCCAAATCTGCAAGCTCATCTCTGAGAACCGAATTCTACAGCCACTCCAGATTTGTACTCCAAATGGATAGTTTGATTGTAGAAATCACATCCCTTCAGTCTGCCAATGTGATAAGGGCCCAAGAGACAGTGATGCCTAGATTCATAGATAATCCCCTTTCCCCCATCCTATATATAACTGGAGTCAACAGCAGCTGGAGGAAAATGGCAAGAACTTGGAATCAAGATTAGCTTAGAATAACACTGCTGTAGACAGTTTATCAGCTCTTCAGCATACGTCCGTTTTCCTTGAAGGATGAGCCTGTAGAAACCTCTGACAATAAAGTTTATTTTACACCCATTCCCTTGCCTATGATTTTTTCATACAAATCACAATTATAAAACTTTCTTGCTCCAGCTAAAAGCAGGAAACTCAATCATGAATGTGTTCACTAAATATATACCACAGAATGATAACAACCAGTCTGATTGCATCACTTGATTCCAAAATTAAATGTTAGCCCTCAGGGGTGCAACTACATGTATCTCCAACTCTGGAAGCCACAGGCAACATATTCCTGTTTCCTTGCAGGGAAACAGATCTATAAGCAGGGCGGCAGTCTGACACATGTACATTCCTGGGAAACCCAAGGAAACAATGATAGTGACGCAGGGCAGGCAAGCCCCCAAACTGAAAGAGTTTTGCTAATGTCGCGATTGGCTTTCTATGTTATTTGAAGACTGAGATCTCCATGAGGAGTGAAGATAGGTAATGCCTAAGGCTGAGGCATGACCTCACTGGGTCACCTTAGCTGTAAAGTGAGGTCAGTTGTCACCTTGCAAACCTTTTGGTAATCCAAATCTTGGAATGATTTCTTTAAGAATTTAGACACTTCCAATACTTTTCCTGTCCTTGTGGGGAAAGCTTCTATCCACCTGGTGAAAGTGTCTATAAATACTAGCAAATCTTGTAGTCCCCTGTAAGGTGGCATCTGGTTTAAGTCTGTCTGCCAGTCTTCACCATGGTATGTTCCTTGGTGTTGTACAGGTTTAAGCAGGGATCGGGGTATGGGGTGGCTTCCTGAGTGGTAACCCTTTTTATAGTTTGGAACAGTCCCTTCCGCAAGAATATTTAGGAAACTAATTTAAATGGAAAATCCTGTCCCAAATGTGAGGAATCATGAAAATGTTTAATTATTTCCCATCTGTCAGCCTCAGGAATAGAGTTTGTTCTTTTCTAGCAACCATCCAGATGGGTCTCCCTGGAAGCCTTTTACTCAGTCCCTTTAATTTCCTTAGGGGTATATTATGGTGTCACTGACACGGATGGAGTACCTGGTAGTAGCGCAGCAGCCTGAAATACCAGGGTTTCCTTAGCTGTGGCCTTAGCTGCTCTTTCCACCAGGGAATTTCCTCTAATAATAAAAGTGTCTCCCTTCTGGTGTCCCCTGCGGTGAGTAATTGTTATTTCTTTGGGAGTTGGACAGCATCTAAAAGTTCCAAGATCTGAGTAAAGTTGTGTGGGGGATCCCTTGGCTCTTGATAGTCCCCTTTCCTTCCCTATGGCTGCATGAGCATGGAGCACCAGGAACCCATATTTAGAGTCAGTCAACACATTGACTCTTGAGGTTTTGTTCTTTTTTTTTCTTTTTTTGAAACGGAGTCTTGCTGTGTCGCCCAGGCTGGAGTGCAGTGGCATGATCTCAGCTCACTGCAATCTCAGCTCACTGCAAACTCAGGGATTCTCATGCCCCAGCCTCCCAAGTAGCTGGGATTACAGGCGACCCCCACCACACCCAGCTAATTTTTGTATTTTTAGTAGAGACGGGGTTTCGCCATGTTGGCTAGGCCGGTATAGAACTCCCAACCTCAGGTGATCCACCCACCTTGGCCTCCCAAAGTGCTGGGATTACAGGCGTGAGCCACCGTGTCCAGCTTAAGTCTTTTCATGGTTGGAAGGCCCTAATTAGAGCAGCTAATTCTGCTTTTTGAACAGAAGTCTGAGAAGGTAAACCCTTGGCCTCAAAAACTTCTTGTTGGCTAAGCTTCCTTTCTTACTCCCTCATGAATATAGCTATTTCCATCTCTAAACCACTCAACATTTGGGTTAGACAAGAGCTTGTCTTCAAGGTTGGGCCTTCTAGAGTAGAGCTCTTCCGTGGTTTCCACACAGGAGTCAATGAGTTTGGGATCTGTTTCTTGAGACGTGAGGTGCAGCAACAGAGTAGCAGGGTTTAAAAATCAGGACACTTTCAGGGTAACATCTGGGGTGTCAAGCAGAAGGGTCTGATATTTAAGTAACTGGCCCCCTGTTAGCCATTGGTGTACTTTTGCCTCTAGGACCCTCTGTACTGTACTTCATGGGGTGGCAGGGGGTGGGGGTGGGGGTGGGGTGGTATGGCATGTAATTGTTGTCCCAAGGTAAACTTACTGGTTTCGTCTAACGATAGAGTGATGGTAGTCACAGATCTCAAGCTTCTTGGTCACCTAGCTGCCACCTGGTCTAGCTGTTTAGAGAAATAAGCCACTGGTCCAAAGCAATTCCTCAGCCTTTGAGTTAGAACATTCGAAGCTGTCCCTTGTTATTCATCCACATAGAGGGTGAAAGGTTTTTCTAAGTTCGAGAGTCCTGAGGCAAGGGATGTCCCTGGCTTTTCTTTTAAGGCTAAGAATGCCTTTTGACAGGTTCCAAGCTCCGCCTCCTGGGTTCACACCATTCTTCCGCCTCAGCCTCCTGAGTAGCTGGGACTACAGGCGCCCGCCACCACAGCCAGCTAATTTTTTTGTATTTTTAGTAGAGACGGGGTTTCACCGTGTTAGCCAGGATGGTCTCTATCTCCTGACCTCCTGATCTACCCACCTCGGCCTCCCAAAGTGCTGGGATTACAGGCGTGAGCCACCGCACCCGGCCAACAAGTTTTTTTTTTTAAATGAACAGAGCATCAGTGAATGATAGTGCAAGTTTAAGACACCTAATAGACAAGTTAAAGGAGTCCTCCAGGCAGAAGGAAACTGACACCAGATGAAAATGTGGATGAAAAAAAAAAAGACACTAGAAATGACATCTACATAGGCAAATATATAATTTTAACATCTGACTGTTTAGCTGGGCACGATGGCTCACGCCTGGAATCCCGGCACTTTGGGAGGCCAAGGAAGGCGGATCACTTGAGGTCAGGAGTTCGAGACCAGCCTGGCCAATATGGTGAACCTTCCTCTCTACGAAAAATTCAAAAATTAGTCATATATGGTGGCGCAAGCCTGTAATCTCTGCTACTCAGGAGTCTGAGTCAGGAGAATCGCTCGAACCCGGAAAGCAGAGGTTGCAGTGAGCCAAGACTGTGCCACTGCACTCCAGCCTGTCCGATAGAGTAAGACTCGTCTTAAAAACACCACCACCAGCAACAAAAAAGCAAAAACAAACAAACAAACAAACAAACAAACAAACAAAAACACATCTGACTCTTGAAACAAAAGTAATAGAGATGGATTGTAAGGTTTATAACAGGTGTAAAGTAAAATGCATGACAATAGCATAAAGGCAGGGGGAGGAGTCATGTGAAGAGGTATGATGCCACTTGAAGGCAGACTGTGATGGGTTAATTTTTGTGGAAAGCAAGGCAGAATTTTTGAAGTTTGTTTCTTCAAATACTTTCTGTTTCCCGTACATACAAGCTAGTTTGTTCTGCAGAGATCTCATTTTCTAGGAGGCTCGGAGGGGGACCTTCTGCTGTCTGTCCTCATGGGATGCACAAGACACAAGGGAACAGTCTTTCACTTTTAAATACATTGATGGGTCTGAGGAGATAGATACAACTGCATTTTTTTTTTAAATGAGGTGGGATTCTCATTGGTCTTGAACTTCTGAGCTCAGTGGAGGCTTCCCCTACTTCAGCCTTTCAAAGCGTTGGGATTAATAGGCATGAGGCACTGCGCCTGGTCACAACCAACGTTTAAAATCACGTCCCTGGGTGGTCTCTAACCACCAACCTTATGGTTAACAGCCGAACGCGCTAACCGATTGCACCACAGAGACAACCTCAATCGCTTGCTTTCATCTCTATATAGATTAAGCAATCACTAAACCCTAGGAGTTGCCATTTGCTTTCTGCGGGACAACTGTGCAGACTACAAAGCTTCAGAAAACCGGAGAGGCTGAGTCGACTAATCGTGTTGTTGCACGTTAGAAACGCGTGCATTGCGTGACTCTGAAGCCAGAAGGGCGGCCGAATGGCCTTCACCCTGCGTTCACCCTCGCCTGCTTCAGAAGCCAGTGCCTCTGGAAATGCCTGGATCTGCGACCCCAGCCTGAGCCAAGTAGGGCCCAAGGGAAGCTGAACTCCCCGACGTCTCTCATGGTAGCTCTTTCTGTTCTTTTGCGCCGCCTTCAGGCAGTCATCTGTTCCGCTTGCTCTCCCTTCACTCAACTCGGCTTCAGTAGATGGGGTCGGTGGGGCGGGAGCGGGAAAGAGGCAGGGGAGTCAAAAGGGAAAACGTGAAAAGGAGGAGGGAGAAGCAGGGGAGACCAGGACTAGACAATGGGACAGCCCAGGATGCCCGTGCAGAGGGCACCGGCTGGATGCAGAGAAGATGGGACATGTATCAGATCGGAGAGGAGGAAATGGGGAGAAGATGTGAGAGAAAATCACAAGAACCTGTAGCTGCCCAAGAATAAAGAAGTAAAAATCGCATAATGTTTTTACATTAATAAAAAAAATCGGGGGACCAGGGGCGGTGGCTCACGCCTGTAATCCCAGCACTTTGGGAGGCCGAGGTGGGTGGATCACTCACTTGAAGTCAGGAGTTCGAGACCAGCCGGGCCAACATGGTGTAAGCTCGTCTCTACCACAAATACAAAAATTAGCTGGGCGTGGTGGTGCACGTTTGTAGTCTCAGCTACTTAGGAGGCTGAGGCAGGAGAATCGCTTGAACCTAAGAGGCGGAGGTAGCAGTGAGCCGAGATCGTGCCGCTGCCCTCCAGCCTGGGCGACAAAGCGAAATTCTGTCTCTCAAAAAAATATATAAATAAATAATAGAGGGGTGGGGAAGCAAAACGACGGGCAGTAGGTGTGGGGCGCCTTGGGATTCTCTAGTGGTTAGTAGTCTGCGTTGTGCCTGCAGCAACCTCTGTTCTAATCCGAATCCTGGTACAGTCAGACTCTATCTTGGACCCACTGGGGCGAACCCACGTGTCTTTTGGTTTGCTTTTGATTCCTGCACCAGCTGAGGCCTTTATCTGCAGCCAGAAAGCCGGAAAGCAGGGTTTACCCCTGGCCCCACAGCGCCATACTGTCTGGGGAAAAGAAGGAAACCCAAGAGTACACAAACAGTGGCCCAAAGAGAAACCTTCCAAGTGCTCTATGCCTCACCGTTTAGCAGAAAATATCAAGCAACTCTCAATCTAGCTGGTCTGTACCTTCCACGAATGAAATAATGTATTTATTGCAGTCTTTCTGGTTGAGATATTTCAAATATTTGGTGGAGCTTTTAATGAGAGAGACACTCTCGAGTGTGGAAGAAAAAAAAGAGGGGATGTGAAGATAAGGCGACTTTAGGACAGAAAAAAAAAAAGAGACAAGGAAGCCATGTAAACGTTTTTGGATGGGCGTGAGGCGTTGTCAGTCTTGAACCCCGTTATGTCAGGTAAAGAGCGCAGCCTCTTCTACCACAAACACCATTTCCCACATGGAGGAAATCACAGGGATCAGCAACTCTAGAGTGAGATGAAGAAGCTTCACTCTGGGAGAACCCCCTTCGTGACCACGGTCTCTCCCCTGCCAGGTAAAGTGGAAATGAGCACATGGCTTGCAGGGACAGCACAGCCTCCTCGCCCTGGCCGGTCGCTCAGGGTCACCACCCTCCCCACTGCCGCCCCTCGCCATTCTTCCAAACCACTCTCCACCAAAGATTCCACCGACAGTCACCCCACAAGACAACCCAGGCCGCCTCTCAGCAGCGGCTCCCGCCCCGCAGCCACCGCGCCCTCTCACCCCCGCGCGGTTCTGCCCGCCGCCTCTGCCGAGTCTGCGCACTTCACCTCCCTGGCTCCCGCTCTCCCCTGAGCTTACAGTGGACTCGGGGTTCTTCCGAACCCCTCTTGGGAGTACTGAATGGAAAAGGGGGAGCGTGCGCAAGTGCTTGGTAGAGTGTAGACGTCGTGGGATTTGACTGTGGTACCATCGCTTCGACGTCCTAGTGCTGATTTTTCCACCTGCCTTCTGCTTAGGGCACCGGCAGCAGTTTTCCGTCTGTGCCTACTCCACCTGCTGTCCTTGTTGGGTCAGCGAACATCGCCTCCGTCTACCACTCAATCAGCAAACGGGACCGCCCTCGAGGACCTCACCCGCCGCTTACCCCCCTAACAAATTCGCGGGCATCGCCTCCGGTCGCCTCTTCCCAAGGCCTAACGAGCGCCTTCGCTGGCAACGGAGGTGAGGAGGCTCCGCTGACTGGCTGGTGCCCGTGTCCGGGGCTGCCACAAACGCCACGACTTGGCTTGGCCTCTCTCTTAGTTATTCGCAGCTCAGCCCGATGGGCGTCTCCGGGGTGGCGACGGGAAAGAAGGTGGGCTTATTGGGTGCAGCTCCACGGGGGCTGGCATCTCTGCCGGGCTGTGTACACCTGAGCGAGAAGCTCAGTCGCTCTCTAAAGCTGCTCCCGCGGATGACGGACACGGAGACAAATAGGAACGGTGTGTCGTGAGAGGTGGTCCACAAGCACTTGCCCTCCTTCGCCCGGCTTTAACCCCGCTGCGGAGACTGTTCTGCTTCTGGCCCTTGGAGCAGGCTGGCTGACAGCGTAGTGAAGGAAGATTCCTGCGGGAGGGCGGCCAGTGTAAAACAATTCCCTGACCGGGAATCGAACCCGGGCCGCGGCGGTGAAAGCGCCGAATCCTAGCCACTAGACCACCAGGGACACACAGGAGGGAGCTTTCTCTCCCTTCTTCTGTCAGAAGCGACAGCTTCCCTGAGCTCTGGGAGGACTTGGGCCTTGTGAGGGTCGCTCTTTGCTCCTGGAGTCTCTCACAAGGCCATTCCCTCCCTGCTTTCTTCAAAAAAAGAGCCTGCAAGCGACACACCGAGGGCTCCGCGAGGGACACCGAGGCCACGAGTCCGAAGGCCTGGAGCGAGTTGCAGCGACCCGGCCGCAGCTCACCACTGGACTAGAGATGCGCCTTTGCGAGGTGGCAGCAAGTGACCAGTCGGTCGTGCGTCGCCAGGTCCGGAGCCGCGCACCAGGTTGCCAGGAGGAGGCGGGAGCGCGGAGGCGCCCGGGGTGAGACGGGGGCACCCTCTGCATCATAAAGGACCCAGACGCCAGCACCCTCAACGTCATAAGGAATCAGACGGATGCGGAAACCGAGACGGGCTGGATGGGAAACTCTTTCCAGGAAGGCTCCGGGGCCCTCAGCTGGTCTCCGACCTTCCCCTGCAACCTGTGACACCTGCCATTTTCCCATCTTAGGCGATGGCAACGCCACCCTTCCGTTTGCTCCGGGCAAAACTTCGAGAGTTCCCTCTGACTCTGGAGTTTTTTCCTCAGATCCAAGAGCCAACTGGTCATCAATTCGTAATTTCCCATCGGCTAAGTGCGTGGGCATTGAGCTACACGCGAGTCTCTCCACCTCTGCGGAATGGCTACTTCGGGGTAGGGGAGGGGCCCTCCCGTGGATTGTAAGGTGTTTAGCAGCAGCCGTCGCCTCCGCTGACTAGATACATGCCAGGGGGTTAGCATTCTCCCTCCCCGCTTCCCCCATTCGTGACCTAGTGTCCCAGCGTGGAGGTGAGAGGCGTGTAAGGGCAAAGTTGCCCCCTCTTGAGAACCACTGATGCGCGTTGTCCTGCTGTCTGAGCTTGTGCAGAGGACTCTCCAGATGAAGGCTCAGGGGTCGATCCAGCTTGAGACCCCCTCGCTCCCCCGCACAGTCAGACCTTAGGATTGGAGGCTTTTAACATCTCTACATCATGAGATTCGAAACCTTTAGGTCTTTTCTTCCGTTCTGTCCTCCAAATCGGCCTCTTCCGAGCCTGTTGACCAGGGCCAGCCAGGCAGACGGCTGGGTTCGCTCAACGAGGCTCCTCTCGGCCCTCCTGGAGCTTCAGGCCTCTTTCGGTTGCAGAGAAGCTTTATGGGCCACTTCCTTCGGCATCCCCGGGGGCAGGTGCGCGGTGCCCGGGGAAGAAGAGGGTTTGACTGCGGTTCTCGACCCCCGGCGACCAACCTCCACCCCGGTGGGCGCGCTTTTCCAGGCTCCTGCTGGTCCCACTGGCCGGGAGTTAGGTCTCGGGTCAGCCTGAGCTCCAGAGATGCCCAGGCCCGGAAGGACACTTAGGGGAAACCAGCTGCTCACTTTGGTCTTGTCCGCAACGGACCTCTTGCTGCCAGGAAAGAAAGGCGTCGAGTCCTGTCCTGTTGGGTAGGCGGAAGAGAGATCAAAGGGAAGACAAGAAAAATCCTGGGAGGTTTCAGGATCTAAAGTTACCATGAAGTCGACCTAACCTCCTCTGGAGGTCCTCCCAGTCCTCCCGTGGCTGGCGATGGTGAATCGAGTTTCCGTCTCCAGTTTGCCAAGGCGGACAAAGCCGACACAATGGGCCTGTCCACTATCTTCTTTCATATACACAAAATGTCAGCTTTTCCTGTTTCTAACTGGCAACATCCCGCCTGATGACCAGCTTAGCAAATTAGAGACTCTCCATGGGATTCCATCTGTGTCTTAGTTCGGGCTTCTCTAACACCGTACCATACATAAACTGGGTGGCTGATTCACAACAGAAATTGATTTCTCACAGTTCCGGAGGTTGGAAGTCCGAGATCAAGGTGCCGACATGGTAGGTTTATGGTGAGGGCCTTTTGTTCTGGTTGTAGACTGCCACCTCCTCATTGTATCCTCAGGGGGCAGAAAGAGGGCGAGAGAGCTCCCCGAGGTCCCTTTTATAAGGGCATTAGTCCCATTCAGACTAATGGGACTAAATCCAGACTCTGTGCTGAGTGTTGTGGATTTTTTGCATGTTCATCCTCCCCGCAGGCAACTGGAGATGTATTGTCCCCAGAGGGTACAATAGAGAATCTTCCGTCACAAGTCAGCAACCAGCATATGTGAGTGACAGCATGTGTTCCACTCAGAAATGAGAGTGTATTAGTCCGTTTTCACGCTGCTGACAAATACATAACATAGTCCAGGACGAAAAAGAGGTTTAATTGGACTTACATTTCCATATGACTGGGGAGGCCTCAGAATCATGGCGGGAGGCAAAAGGCACTTCTTACAAGGCAGCAGCAAGAGAAAATGAGGAAGAAGCCAAAGCAGAAACCCCTGATAAACCCAGCAGATAGTGAGACTTATTCACTGTCAGGAGAATAGCACAGGAAAGACCCACCCCCATGATTCAATTACCTCCTCCTAGGTCCCTCCCACAACACATGGGAATTCTGGGAGATACAATTCAAGTTGAGATTTGGGTGAGGGCACGGCCAAACCATGTCAGAAAGGGATGAAGTGACAGCATATCCTGATGTGTGTGATGGTTTTATGAGTTATTACCTATTTCAAAAATTATTGCAATGTGTAAAAAAGAACAAGGACTTGTACTATCTGATTTTAAGGCTTACTATAAGCTATTACAGACAAGGCATCAGGAGTGACAAATAGATAAACAGACTGAGTTAAGAGACTTGAAACTGATCCACAGCTATACGGTCAATAAATGGGTTTTCAATAAAAGCAGTTCAATAAAAGAAAATAAATCATTTCAATTAATGGACTTTTATATGGATGTGGGGAGACCAACAATGTTATTCTCCCTCACACTACACACAAAAGTAATTTCAGCCGCATTACACACCAAAACTTAAAAGTTAAAGATATAAAGCATTTCAAGGATAGTTTGTGACTTGTTGGTAGGCAAAGATCACCCTACCAACAAGCAGGACACAAAAAATACATATATAAGAAAGACATGATAAATGAGACTTCATCAACATTAGCCACACCTTCTCATCAAAAGATACCACTAAGAAAGTGAAAAGGCAAGCAAGTCACAGACAGAGAGAAAATAGCCACAAAACGTGTCTGACCTCCACACCCTGCAGTTATAATTATAGTGGTCTGGTACACTGCGCCCAGTTTCTGCTGGATGGAGTATTTTCTGGGTGTCTCTAATGAGTAAGAGAGGGCCCCATGGGATATTCCTTCAGTTCCCAGGTGAACAGTGGGAAAGACTCCACATTGACCAACCTCGGGGGCCTAAAAATCCAGGTCCTATAGGAGGGTAGAGTATACCTGGACCCTGACCCAGACCCCTGGATGGGTTGTGCCAAGAGACCCAGCAAGGGAAAGGATTTCCTCCTGCCTCAGGTTCTCTGTCCTTCTGTGGTTAGACGACCTGAACCCAACTCCCTCCCCAAGCACTGGAGATGGGGCTTTTCCAAGGGCTGGGGATCTTGCTGTCCTGAGAACAGCTGAGCAAGGGGGTCGAGGAGGAGCTTGGGTGGTGGAGGAGAGGAAACCGGGTAAGATGCATGAAGCCGTTGGCTATACCAGGCACAGAGAGGACCCACTGGGACCCAATGGCCTGCATGTGAAGCCAGGCCTTGGGCCACCTCGTTCCTCAAAGGGGTGCTGACTTCCATGGGGTGTTCAAAGGGACTGTGGAAAGAGAGGCCTTCAGCCCACACCTCTGAATGCTTTTCGACCACAGCATGCCCTGTGGCCTTTATCCTGCTGGTGTGGAACAGTCAGAGCCCTGCAGGGCTGCAGAGCTTCTGTACTGGGCGGCATCCCAGCCTGAGTGTCAGAGCTCAGAGGGCAGGCCCCGGAGCAAGTAGAGAGGAGGGCACCTTTGGACAGAATGTGTGGGACAAGAGCGACGGCTCATCCATTCAGGTTCCTCAGAAAATGAGAGTCAGGAAGATGAGGGCGCAGACCTGATTCCCTACACAGGGCTGAAAGCAGACAACCGGAGGAAGAGCAGCACCTGGGCCAACGAGGTAGAAGACAGAAGACCACAGTCTACTCCTGCCCTCAATCTCACCCCTTCCCACCCACATCCTCCACGCCCCCTGATCACCTTCCTCAGAAGTGTAATAGGAATCCAGATTCTCCCTGGCCTGGTTGCTGCGGGAGGCACAGTGGCCTGATGGAGCCTGAGGCAGGTGTGGGAAGATGTGGATTGTCTAACTGGAGGTTGGGAGTTCAGGGTGAGGAAGGAGAAGCTTGGAGTGCAGGATTTGGTGGTATGTATGTGGCTGTAGGCAAAAGAAAGAGACAACTAAGCCACTTGAAATACCATGAGAATTCAAATTTAGAAAATTCCCAGGGAAGTATGCATGCAGGCACTCATGAGATCCAAAAAACAGCTGCTGCATAACTGCGTGTTGCAAGCAAGCCCTAAATTGCTGATTTTGAAACAGCCTGATGGGTTCACAAAGACAATTTCTGAATAGTCTTAAGAGCAGAGGTGCACTAAAGCCACTGTGCCCCGCAGCTCAGGATCCCAGAAAGTTCTTTAAGGAGTAAGTCTTACTTCCATTTATGGAAGATTTTTGGAGTTGTCCTTAGTCACCCCCAAAAATGTTTTGGTTAGGAGTAGAATTTTAGATGTCATCAATTTAAAAATTAAAACTGAAACTCTGGAACTCATAGAGAGATAAAATTAAGAGAATCCATTCACATCCTGAGTAGAAAGATTTTTATAGAACATGACGGGCTTTAAAAATAAAGAAAAAATATGGCAAAATTTCATCAAATTAAATGCTTTCAGAACTAAGATTAAAATCTGAAGCCACCCAACTAGCTGGACAGATGGCTTCTTTGCCAAGGAGACCCCAGAGAAGTCTTAAATACTGAGTTCCTGGCCAGTACTTGGAAGCTCAGACACCTCTCCTTATACTCTCTCCCTTTGTGGTTTAGACACAACTGACCAGCATTATTGTTAAAATAGAGATCCTAAGACTGACAGAACAGAGTCCTTACAGTAGTAAGATACCATATTATAAACAAGACCTAAGGCCATGCCAGGCAAGGTTAAGTCATGCACCCCTCAACTTAAAGAATAAACTATGTTCTAATTGCCACAGGTTTTTTTCTTCTTCCCTTTTTTCTCTAGCTAAACAAGCACTGGCCTTGAGATAAGCAATGCTGAAGCACTTGCAGCTCACCCATTACCATAAACTGACTGAGCCCTCCCTACACAAGCCATAACTGCAGCTTTGATTGGACAAGAGACTGATTTCAGTAACTTCCCCTTGATAAGAGAGCACTGGCTGTGGACGGGTTCTGGACGGTTTACAGAGGCTGTGCACTTGACTGCCTTTGTGTCCCTGCTTCCCCTTTTGAAGCATAGGGCCTAATTATAATGTATTTAAATGTCATCTCCACCCCAAAGTGAACATGGGTTGCATGTAACAGGCTTGTTTACTCAGCATGCATGCAGCAGGATCCCTTCATGAATATTCAGAGCTCCTCCTATTCCCTGTTGAATATGCATATGTGGCCCACCACATCAACATAAATCCCTGTTCCCCCCTCCCCTCCCTGGAAACCTACTTTTCGGTTTCAGCAGGAGGGTATGCCTCCCAGTCTGTGGGAATGGCCACCTTGCAGGCTGTAACCATTTATAAAAAATAAAATCTCCCTTCTAAATTTATAAATTGTGTGATTTTTCAGTTGACAGCTTTCAGTCAGACTTTTCACTGACTGGGAAAAGTCATTTGCAATATATTTATTTTAAAAATGACTCCTCAGGATACAAAATTCTTGTGCAAAGATCACAAGCATTCTTATACACCAATAACAGACAAACAGAGAGCCAAATCATGAGTGAACTCCCATTCACAATTGCTTCAAAGAGAATAAAATACCTAGGAATCCAACTTACAAGGGATGTGAAGGACCTCTTCAAGGAGAACTACAAAACACTGCTCAACAAAATAAAAGAGGATACAAACAAATGGAAGAACATTCCATGCTCATGGGTAGGAAGAATCAATATCGTGAAAATGGTCATACTGCCCAAGGTAATTTGTAGATTCCATGCCATCCCCATCAAGCTACCAATGACTTTCTTCACAGAATTGGAAAAAACTACTTTAAAGTTCATATGGAACCAAAAGAGAGCCCGCATCACCAAGTCAATCCTAAGCCAAAAGAACAAAGCTGGAGGCATCACGCTACCTGACTTCAAATGATACTACAAGGCTACAGTAACCAAAACAGCATGGTACTGGTACCAAAACAGAGATATAGACCAATGGAGGAGAACAGAGCCCTCAGAAATAATGCCACACATCTACAACTATCTGATCTTTGACAAACCTGACAAAAACAAGAAATGGGGAAAGGATTCCCTATTTAATAAATGGTGCTGGGAAAACTAGCTAGCCATATGTTGAAAGCTGAAACTGGATCCCTTCATTACACCTTATACAAAAATTAATTCAAGATGGATTAAAGACTTAAATGTCAGACCTAAAACCATAAAAAGCCTAGAAGAAAACCTAGGCAATACCATTCAGGACATAGGCATGGGCAAGGACTTCATGTCTAAAACAGCAAAAGCAATGGCAACAAAAGCCAAAATTGACAAATGGGATCTAATTAAACTTAAGAGCTTCTGTGCAGCAAAAGAAACTATCATCACAGTGAACAGGCAACCTACAGAATGGGAGAAAATTTTTGCAATCTACTCATCTGTAGATTCATCAGAATCTACAAAGAACACAAACAAATTTGCAAGAAAACAACAAAGAACCCCATCAACAAGTGGGCGAAGGATATGAACAGACACTTCTCAGAAGACATTTATGCAGCCAAAAGACACATGAAAAAATCCTCATCATCAGCGGCCATCAGGGAAATGCAAATCAAAACCACAATGAGATACCATCTCACACCAGTTAGAATGGCGATCATCAAAAAGTCAGGAAGCAACAGGTGCTGGAGAGGATGTGGAGAAATAGGAACACTTTTACACTGTTGGTGGGACTGTAAACTAGTTCAACCGTTGTGGAAGTCAGTATGGTGATTCCTCAGGGATCTAGAACTAGAAATACCATTTGACGCAGCCATCCCATTACTGGGTATATAAATCATGCTGCTAAAAGCCAAATGATTATAAATAAATTATATATTTATTTGATTTATATGATTATAAATAAATGATTATTATAAATGATTATAAATGCCAAAGGATTATAAATCATGCTGCTATAAAGACACATGCACACGTATGTTTATTGCGGCACTATTCACAATAGCATAGACTTGGAACCAACCCAAATGTCCAACAATGATAGACTAGATGAAGAAAATGTGGCACATATACACCATGGAATACTATGCAGCCATAAAAATTGATGAGTTCATGTCCTTTGTAGGGACACGGATGAAGCTGGAAACCATCGTTCTCAGCAAACTATCGCAAGGACGAAAAACCAAGAACTGCATGTTCTCACTCATAGGTGGGAATTGAACAATGAGAACACTTGGACACAGGAAGGGGAACATCACACACCAGGGCCTGTTGTGGGGTGGGGGGAGGGGGAGGGATAGCATTAGGAGATATACCTAATGTAAATGACGAGTTAATGGGTGCAGCACACCAACATGGCACATGTATACATATGTAACAAACCTGCATGTTGTGCACATGTACCCTAAAACTTAAAGTATAATAAAAAAAGTCAAAAAAAAGACTCAATTCTTGAATATACAAGAGAACTTTTGTAAATCAGTAATATAGAGCTAAGCCAAATAAAATAGGGCAAAATATTTGAATAGTCCTTTGCAAAGGAGAGTTTCTTATATGCTGGAAGCCACAAGAAAGTATGCTTCATAGGATTGCTCATTAGGCAAATACAAATTAATTCCACACTGAGATAGCACTAACTACTCACCAGTGTATGGCTACTTTTTTTTTTTTTTTTTCTGAGACAGGGTCTCATTCTGTCACCCAAGCTGGAGTGCAATACTGCGATCTTGACTCACCGCAACATCCCCCTCTGGAGTAGCTGGGACTACAGGTGCATGCCACCATGCCCGGCTAATTTTTGTATTTTGAGTAGAGACAGGGTTTCGCCATGTTGGCCAGATTGGTCTGAGAGCATAGCTACATTTAACAAAGTTAGTACACCAAATGCTGACAAGAATTTGGTGCCACTTCAACTGTCATCGCTGGTGAAAAACATTCTAGAAGACTGGCAATTTATACTGATGTTAAACTTATACTCAGGTCATGACCCAGCAATTGAAGGACTTCCATGAATCTCAAGTGCACACAAAGACTGTTATAAGAATATTCAGCACAAGAATTCAATAACCCCAAAATTGAGAAGTGATCTATGAAACTACATGGATATATCTCATGAGTATAATGAATGTAACTGCAGAAAAAAGGCCAGACACAAAACATATGTACATTCATTCATGTGAACTTTAAGAACAGGCAATTGTAACCTGTGGGAATAGACATCAGAATAGTGATAACTAAGAGGACACAGGGTGGGAATCACCTGGACAGGGGCTCTAACAGGCCTTTCTCAGATGATGGCAATTTTCTATAACTTGAGCTGGGTGGTGATAACATTGATCAAAACTAAACAAATTGCACTAAAGATTTGTGCACTTTATGTGAACTGTAGCTTCTTTACTGTTCTCATTGCTTGAACCTGGGAGACACAGGTTGCAGTGAGCCGAGATTGAGCCACGGCACTCCAGCCTGGGTGACAGAACAAGACTACGTCTCAAAAACAATAATAATAGTAATAATTTACTGTTCTCATAAAAATTAGCAGATGGGGAATGGAGGCAAGCCTGTGCAGACCATGACAACTAGTTTAGATTTTATTGTCAGCTCATTAAAAACTCGTCCTCGTTTTGTGTTTTTAAAAAATTCCACTGATACAGCCGTTTTCTCTACCAGAAAAGACTATAACCGCATTATTTCATCAGTGGAAGCTACAGACAAAGGGCCCTTGAGAGGCGGCATCTTCACCTACGGGAATTTTTCCTGCTCAATTGTGAGACAAAGAGCATGTCCAAGTTTTCCTATCGGCCAGGCCGCCCCCTAGTTTCTGCGCTGTGGGCTAAACTCCAGAAGCTGGCGCCCTTCGGGGCCAGAGGTTTACTCTGCTCTCTGGAGGCTGCTAGGATTAAAGGCAAAGCAAACGACAGGTCTATTAGCCACAGTTGCAGGTTAGAAAACACTACTGTGACTCAGATTAGAACCCAGGTTGTGGCAACCACAACTACAAGTATTAACTACTACACGACCACAAAGCCTGCTGACAAGCATTGCACTTCTATGTTTTGAATGTAAAAACACTCACACTATTTTATCTGCTTTATTGTTGGACGTCCGCAGATTTTTGTGCTTTTCTGTCTTTCATGCGCTTCTCCCTTTCTCTCCCCATTCTGCTACATAATTAAAAAAAAAATCTCATCTCTCAGGATCCGACCACTGCCTCTACAACAAGCCTCCTGGGAGGTCTCTTTGTCCCATTGACATCTCTGCCTTCTTTCGCTGCTTTTTTTTTTTCTTTCTTTTTTGACGGAGTCTCGCTCTGTCGCCCAGGCTGGACTGCAGTAGCGCGATCTTGGCTCACTGCAACCTCCGCCTCCTGAGTTCAAGCGATTCTCCTGCCTCAGCCTCCCAAGTAGCCGGAATAGCAGGTGCATGCCACCACATTTGGCTAATTTTTGTATTTTTAGTAGAGACGGGATTTTCCCATGTTAGCCAGGCTGGTCTTGAACTCTTGACCTCAAGCGATCCATCCGCCTCGGCCTCACAAAGTGCTGGGATTACAGGCGTGAGCCACCGTGCCCGGCCAAATTTCAGGCCAACACCTGTTGACACACATTGCCAGACACACGGAATCTCTCGGGGAACACCGATGGGCCCACAAAACACGCGGAGGCCGCGGTCGCTGACGATGTGAGCAAATTCGGTTCACGGTGTCTGGGGTACAGCCCTGAGGGTCTACTGGCCGCCTCTGCGCAAGGACCAGTCTCCGCCGCTCCCCTCATCTCCACGCAGATTCTTGCCCACACACCACCCCTTTCTTTGGGCCGCTGACGCCTCTTGGACCTCTGAGGTGACTGTCCTGCCCGCAGCTTCTCTCCTTCCAAGAGCGTCATTTCTTGATCCTCTCCATAGTGGCTCAACGGTAAGCCCAAGGTCCAGCACGCGAATCAGGAACCTGATGGTTCTTCGGGTTTGCAGGGATCCTTCCAGTGAATAGATGAAAGTCACAGGTACCAGTATGAAAACTGCAGTGACTCACCGGAAACACTTCATGCTTGTCAGCTTGCTAAGCTGTTTGAGTCCAACAACTGCATGGGGTCCTGAGTTAGTCTCCTGAATGTCTCCTGCCGCTACTTTCGTGAGTGTTGTCGTCACTTTACCTTGTGGTGGCCAAGCCCCTAAATGCACTATTAGGTTATGCAGTATGATTTTCAGCGTAAAAGACAGATAAAGAGCAACAGCGGGGTGAAAAAGACCCTCTTGCATTGGCCGGGAATTGAACCCGGGTCTCCCGCGTGGGAGGCGAGAATTCTACCACTGAACCACCAATGCCTCTGCGTAACAACCACCTGCAGGATAACAGAAAACAGTATCCACAAAGACTTAGAAACCGTTCCAAGCGGTTTTTTCAAGTGTCGACTAAAAGCTAACAAAGACATCCAAACCAAATGTGTTTTTACAGGAAACTTTTACTAGACAACGTTATAAATATCAAAATAGCTCATTTGTCGGATCAAACTCTTAACTCTGAAAAAGGTCTTTCTTTCTACCTGCATTACAAACCCCTATAATAAAACATCAGAAATTCATTCACGTTTCTTTTTTCTAATCCTAAATCTTCCATCGTCAACCTCAAACTGCTGCCTTAGAGGTTCTAAGAAGGTAACCTAACTGGTAGTTTAGGTAAGTAAAGTTCAAATCCAGGGAGGAAATCAGTAGCAGAAGCAGAATTAGAAGAAAGAGGAAATAAAAGGACAGAACCAAGGTAGAGATAATGAAGAAACAAAGGTTGGTCCACTAAGTTAGTCTTTTGTCGCTGGTTTTTTTGGCAAAAGAGTAATGATCAGTCTCGTAATCATTATAATACTATTATTTGTCTGCTTGAAGATGTATAAAGCATTTGAAGGAAATGTGATATGAAAAGATGAAGAACGCTCGCTGTCAATGTTTCCTTGTTTGGGAGAATCCCATTTCCTAAGTTAATATGCTTTGATGTATTAGCTATGTAAGGAGTAGACTAGTTTAAGGAAATATTGACGGTCAAATATTAGCATATTAGTCTTTTGATGAAGTTCAAATAGTAGAGAGATTTCTTTCCTCAATTTTCTCTGGAAACATTCAACTGAAGAGACAAATCCAGAGTTTTCTCCATATGTTGGGTCTGGGAGTCATTATGACTTTTTCAAAGACAGGAGCTGTGACATGGAATCATGCTTCTTCTCTAGCTGAGAAGCCAAGCTAGGTCCAGGCTGCGTCATAAACTTGAGCCCACCAAGGAAATCACCCTTCACATTGACCTCGCAGAGTTTTGGCTGTTCTCTGTTCTTTGCCCAACACCCAAGACACACACCAGCTCTGGCCAACAAACCTTAACATATGATCTATATCCACCAGAGCTATATTTATTCCCAAATCTCCTTCTAAAATACAAACCTGTACTTTCTACTCTCAACTTCTAAATTTACAAAGGTCTCATATGCATCTCAGAGTCACAGATGCTAAAACTTAACCGGTTTTCTGAGGATTATTTGGGGAAGGGGTATGCATGCAAATGTATATACATAATTCATGTGATTTAGGAATATTGACTCTATGACTTCCAGATGCAGATTTAGAACCTTTTTAAAAAATATTTTGTTTTTGTTGTCTTGCAAATCAGCCAGATCTGCAACTTACCAGAGTAAAGCGAAGCCAAGCGGGACCCTTAGGAAATGCACTAAGATGTCATCCACTTTCAGTGTCAGCCTGTGAAAATACAGGCGATAGAAGAGAATGAAGAGAACCTGAAGGAATTTCTGGAACCAAAGCTAATATTAAGCAGGCCTCTTGCTGGCAGACCAGTGGAAACTGTAGCCTGGTCAACGATCTCTCTAGATTGAGGAGGTCTAAAGTGTAGCCACAGGTTCAACTACTTTTCTGTTTGTTTCCCAACCTCGATTAAACTCACTAAATTTAGGGACAAAAAAACAAAACAAAACACGATGTTCCCACGCAGTCTCGAACCAGAGACCTTTCATATGTGAAGCGACCATAATAACCACTACACCACAGAAACTGCATATGCACCAAAAAAGGCAAAATATCATCATGAAAATCTTAGGTCAGCCATTTCTATTATCGTTTCCAAAGTAAGAAATTCAACTGCATTTCGAAATTCGACTGAAAAAAGCCCAATAAGCACCAGCCATCAAGAAGACTATGGCTCCCAATAGGCCCAGGCTTAGCGTTCCGCGCCCACCCCCAACACGAAAACCATGGGGACCCACACACGGGCTTCGGGGACACATACTCGGGCTTCGGGCTCCCGCATCCTCCCCTGGGTATGCAGTTCCAGAACTAAGCGCCGTGTGCGGGATCCTCCCGGCTGACACTCTTCGGCTCCCAGAAGCTGCAGGAGCCGGCGGGCTTTGAGCGTCCGAGCCCTGGGCGCCCCGTGCCTCTCAGGAGGGTGGACGCCGCCCTTCCAGGGATGCGGACCCCGCCTCGGGGCCTTTTCCCCGGCGCCGGCCGTCGGGGCTCTTGGCTCTTCTCGTCCTCCCAGGAACCGTAGAACCCTCCTTGCCCTCCCTCCCGTAGGCCGAGGGGCGTGAGCTGCACCTGTTTCCTCACGGACCCTTTGGCCTCAGCGCCTCGACGTCTTGCAATTCTTAGCTCACGGCTCTTCCTCCTATAACAAGGCCGTTCCATCTCATGTCCCCTACTCCCTCTTAGCACCAGAGAGATGTCTCCCCTGCCCCACAGGTCACATTCCATGAGTGGTGAAGTTTCTAGAGTTGTAACCATGGCATCTCCAGCCCTGTGTGTTCCTCTCCATGCTCCCCATTGAGCAGTCTTGATCCTGTATTAGCCCCAGGAAATGAAATAGAAACAGGACCCTACGTTAAAAAGTTGCAGTGGAGATGTGGTGGCCACCAGGGGCTGGAACTGTGGGGTGACTGAGAGTATCCAAAGCCCTGTGGCCAACTTACTGGTGCTGAGTGTGCTGGTGAGCCTCTCTGTCAGCTGGCTTCCCTGGGCCAGTTGCTCCCGGAAGCTCTGTCCCAGGTAGTAGTCAATGTCATTGCTCCTTAGGAGATCCTCAAAAGATTTTACTGTATCTTTTGCATGCTGGGTGAGAAGATAACAAACACCTCTCCCTTCTCGTATTTTTTGCCGTAGGTAAGACAGTTCCCGGGGCTGATCCTGAATCAGGGAATCATATTTCCTAATGCAGGACAGAAGAGGAAAGGGTGGATGATAAGTTATGGGGCTTCTGTAGAGATTTCTATGAGAACATCTCTAAGGAACTCCCCCAAACTGAATTCTGGCACGTAAGCCATAGGAGGTATTTAAGAGTAAATTCTACCCTGATAAAGTATTGCACTGAAAAATTTAGTATGGGCCGGGCGTGGTGGCTCACGCCTGTAATCCCAGCACTTTGGGAGGCTGAGGCAGGCAGATCACAAGGTCAGGAGTTTGAGACCAGCCTGGCCAATATGGTGAAACCCCCTCCTCTACTAAAAACACACAAAAAAACTAGCTGGGCATGGTGGCACATGCCTGTAATCCCAGCTACTTGGGAGGCTGAGGCAGGAGAATTGCTTGAACCTGGGAGGGAGAGGTTGCAGTGAGCCGAGATGGCACCACTGCACTCCAGCCTGGGTGACAGAGTGAGACTCTGTATCAAAACAAAACAAAACAAAAAATTTACCATGCCACTGTTCTTCAACTGTTCTATATATGTTAATTATATGTCCCTAGATAAATCGTAAGGTCTGTGAGAATGAAGATAGTTCTGCGTTTCACATCCCTTACAGCACCAGCATCACAGAGATTCACAGCAGATACTCAATGAATAATTAGACTCATCTCATCCTAAGTCTAGATAGGACCTTTCATGTCTTCTGTTTTAACCACCACCTGATGTCTGAATTTCTTCTGTGTTGTGATACTGTGGCTGACTGTATTTTGCAATCATGGCCATCACATAAACTCTCATGCCATCAACTGATGAGACCCAAAACAAGAGACCCTAAGTGAGAGCTACCCAGCTGAGCCCAGTCAAACCACAGAACCGTGAAGCATAATAAAGTACTGTTTGAAGTCACTAAGTTTTAGAGTGGTTCTTACTTAGCAGTAGATAACCAGGACACATACCAAGATGAATGTCTGTGTTTTCAACACAAAGTGTCAATAACACTGATAACTATGGCAAATAGCATTGAGAGCTTAATGTATGCTGGGCACCATTCTAAGCACTTGTACTAATTTTTTTTTTTTTTTTTTTTTTGAGACAGAGTCTTGCTCTGTCACCCAGGCTGGGGTGCAGTGGTACCATCTCGGCTCACTGCATCCTCCACTTCCCAGGTTCAAGCGATTCTCCTGCCTCAGCCTCCTGAGTAGCTGGGATTACAGGGGTGCACCACCATGCCCACCTAATTTTTATATTTTTAGTAGAGACAGGGTTTCACCATGTTGGGTAGCCTGGTCTTGAACTCCTGACCTCAGGTGTTCTGCCCACCTCAGCCTCCCAAAGTGTTGGGATTACAGGCATGAGCCACCACACCTGGCCAGCACTTGTATTAATTCATGTAAACCTAATATCCACCCTTTGAGATGGGTTCTGTTATCATCCTCACTTAATAGGTAATGACAAAGGCTCAGAAAGGTTAAGAAGGTTGCATGGGTAGTAAGCATCAGAGCTAGGCAGTCTGATTCCAGTATTACCACTATACTATACTATACTATACTATACTATACTATACTATACTATACTATACTATACTATACTATACCATATGTACTATTACTTTACTGATATATCCCTAAGAGGAAATCCCTGAGATCTGGTATCTCCCAGATACTGGGACATCATCCTATGCCCTCCTGCTTGCCTACCTGTCTTTTCCACAGACCTATATCTACCATTTAAATCAGTGTCCTTGTGAATACCCAGACATGTTGTTTCTTCCAACTGCCTGAGCTACCCTACACCAAGCACAAACTTACACATTTTCAATCCAGAAAGTGCCCAGACAGTGCCATCCTTACCCAGGCCACGAGGCTGATCTCAGCTCCTCAGCCAGCTTCCCTTCTAGTCAATTTTTTGGGAGCTGGGCCTCCAGCTGGGATACTCTCTGGATGAGACTCTTCAGGTCCTTTTTGGCCTGAAGTCCTGGAGAGTAGAAAGCCCCAGTGCCATCAGACAGCCACACCTCATCCTCATCAGTGACACTATGAGGTGAAGACCCCTCCAGGGTGTCAAGAGCTCTCAGCTTCCAGGGTCTTTCCAGACTAGATGAATAATCACTTGTAACTGAGAGGGACTGGACCCGGCTCTTGAAGTTTTGAATGACCTTGTTGGCATTCTGCAGCTGGGCCTTCAGATCTTTGATGTCCTTTCATAGGACCCAGATGTTTTCTGACTTTCCATATACCCAGAACTCTTCCTGCCTCCCTAGTTCATTCTCCAAGGGCTTCCTCTCAGAGGAACTAGCCAGTGTTCAGCCCCGGCGCCCCTGCTCAGAGCACAGCCCCTCCACCAGGACCATTTCCTTGCGGCTGCTGTGCTCCTCATGCTCTGAAAAAAGACAAAGATGTCTTCCTAAATAAAAGCTGGATGTGCTGTTGTGGCCACTGCCTTTGAGAGGAGGCAGGTTTGGTCATGAGGACAATAATTACTAGGGAATAAGGTGAAGTCGTACTTTATTCAACCCTGACACTGTACTAGGCATTCAAATACAGTATTTCTTATCCTCCTTATACCCACAAGTTAGGTTTCACCACTTTCTATTTTACTGACTGGGGAAACCAAAACTTAAAGAGAGGTGGTAAACCAGCTTGTTCTAGATCACTCAAACTAGCACATGGCAGAGCCTGAATTCAAATCCTCCAACGTCCTGTGTTCATTCCACACACACTGATGTTTCTCAAGCCATTAACATGGCCTTATCTAGTTAGGATAGCCACAAGAATGTAGGACAAGCTATTTCTGCATGCTGCAAGTTTAATGCTCTCTAAAGTTTACTATAATTTAAAAGTTTATTGGGTTACAACTGTGTGAAAAATAGGCAAAGGAAAATAAGAGTTTGAATAAATATATCAGCATGTTAACATCAGTGTATTGGGGCAGTGGTAGTCAGAATGAGAACTAATCCACAGCATTTTACCCGATGCCAGACACTGTTCTAAAGCATTTTATAAGAATTTACTCATTTAATTGACATTAGTACCTGATGGGGTAGGTAGTTCCTTTATTACTATTTTAACATTTGAAGAAACTGAGGCATAGGAAAGTTTACAAATTGGGATTTGAAGCAACAAGTCTGGCCCCAGGATCTTTTCTCTTAACTGCCACACTACACTTCCTCAAGAATGAGAGAGACTGTGTTTTTCTTCTCTTCTCGTTTTGAATGTGGTGGGTGGCCCTATAGTTGTAGTCCTTTTATAATGCAAACCAAAATTATTTTTAACTTATGGTTTGCATGTTTCCAAAACCTCATGTGGTCTCTAAGTAGGCCTTAGTATTTCTATAATAATCAGTTGGATAGAACTTCATATGATTATTATTATTATTAGCAGTATGCCACAAACTCATTGTAGAAATTCAAACTTATACTCAGCCTCATTTTGGGTAAGAGTTCTCCTATTAACCTCCTGTCCTCCTCTTCCCCACTACTTGTCAGGTGTGGAATTGGCCAACAGCACCCAAATGTGACAGCTGACTCCAGGGAGGGAAGGTGAGCCCCACACCCTGTGCTCTTACCGGGACTGGTGGATTCCTCCTGTTCAGCCTCATTCTTGCTTTGACCACAAGTCTCATAGCCCAGGTCCTGGAGGTCCACCTGGACCTGCTTGCTGTCCTGCTTCAGCAAGGGTTCACCTGCGTGGGAAGAGACAGCAGGTGTTACAGAATGTCTGAATTTCCCACATATGCCCTGAGCCTCAATGGCACATACCCTAACCTTGTGGGGCAGGGAGGGCAGATCCACAGTGCGAGAGAAGCTTCTTTGAACTGGTGGGAGAAGAGACCACCAGCTCCAGGAAGCAGAATTTCTTTCCACAGGAGGAGCCTGCATTTGCCATTGATAATCTCCCCTTCAGATAACCTAGGCCTTAGTTGGGACAAGGTATCTGTAAGTCAGGGATTGTGTACTCTCATCTCTAGCAGCCCCACTGAAGCTGGCAAGTGCTTTATCAGCAGGGGTTCAATAAATGTTGAATGTAAAACATGGCTGATTACTTTTTATTTTCAATCCAACTAATCTCCATTTCTGGTGAGAAAATCTTGCCAAAACCAACCAAGCAAATGCATAAAAGTATATCAAAAAGAAAATGAAAGCTTCCCTGCCTCCCAATCCCACTTGCTTGGTGTCAGCTATTATTTATTACATGGAGGAAGGGGGCTAGGCACCCAGGAAGTCCCAAGTCCTGTTCTGACAATCATCTGGCCTCCCTGGGCAAAGGGAAAAGAGGGAAGGCAAAAAGAATATAACATTACTGTTTGCAGAAATTTCCCCTTGGTACAGGAAACTCTGGTAAACTGAGAGAGTATGTTTTCCATGAGGGAGGCCTCAAGGGCTCTTCTCTGGCCCTAAGCCCAAACTGGATTTTGCCTCATTTTCTAAGATGCAAAGGAAATGGTAAAAGTTGATCAAAGGAGAGGGCAGAGAAAGAAAGAGGACGACTCCTCCATCTCAGGTCCACCTTCCTCGGTGTTGCTTGAGGGATCAGAGGAAATGCATGAACAGAGGTGCGTGGGAACTACGGCTGCTCTGTGAACTCAGTGCCCTCCAGTTACGAGCTATTGTGAGGTTCCATGATGTAATGGCGAGCGCTTTGGACTCTGAGTACGGTGATCAGCGTTCAAGTCTCAGTGGGACCTTTCTGTATAATGCCAATGATATTCCTATTGCTCCCTAAGCGGAATGGGGGAAATTGCCCCAGTCATGGTCACCCACCGTCCAGGCCACTGGCTGTGTGCAATTGGAGTCCTAGACCCAGCGACCCAGCAAGACCCCTCCCCTCTCAGGGTGACCCTGGGCCTCCAGGTGACAGGTCTCCTCCACTGAAAAGGCTGCCTCCCCTCAATCCTAGACCCTGAGTTTTCTTTTATACATGTCATTGGGCCATTGCCCTGTGTCTCTTTGGAAGAAATGACCTATATGAAAAACTTTACTTCCGGGATTCCCTAATTCCTTCATCCCTTAGGACGGCGCAGTTTTTCAGCTCCTGGTCTTGGCTCCAGTTCTAATGCACACGTTTCATTTTATTGTCATGGGATCCCCTCCAACAGGCTACCACTGGATTCCTGTCCTTGGGGTCTCTGTGGATGGCAACCAGATGCTGCTCTTGTCCCAGATCCTGACACCTCTCTCCAGGGAATTGCCTCCCTTAGCCTCCTAAATCAGCCAATATTTAGATTTGGGCCTGGGATCGCAGCAACTGTGGAGAACAGAGGTTCCCGATCCCTGGCCAGCCTCCCGCAGTGAAGGGGAGAGGAGCACAGCAGCTGGGAGGGGCAAGTCTGGGGCCCTGGGCAACCCCCTTTTTCCTGCCCAGACTCTGCTCCAAGGAGCAGTTGCCTTAGGACCAGATCAGATGGAAACTCTTTTGTTCTCTTCTCATCAGCAGAAAAATTTAGGCAAGAGTTCTGGAGGACGTTCCTAGCTCCTAAAAATGGTGTGGCCAAATCTCTCCAGTTTTGGAAATGCCCAAGGTTACCAAGTATTTTGAGGGCTCACTTTGGAGCCTCTGAAAAGGAGGGGTGAGGGCCCATGGAAGGTACCTGAGGGATGCAGGGGAGAGAGGGGAAAGAGCAGACAGGAGGGAGGAGAGAAGGAAGGAAGGGGAGAAAGGGCGTGTGAGGGCCAGGAGCCAGGATTCACCCTGACAGTTCAGTGACTGCTCCCTTCCAACAAGCTTCCCACTGTGGCACCTTCTAGCAGGTGGTTTCCATCTCTTATTGATGTCCTAAGACCTTGGCTCTATGGAACGGTTCTGTTCTATTTGTCTGGCATGAGTCCTGGCAAAGTTTCTTTTTCACCATTTGGGGGATGAGATGGGGGTATATAGGTTTGCAAGTGACTAGGAGCTAAGTCAGGAACTTGTGGAGCCACTCAGAGTCAACTGTCAAGTAGCCTCCTTCTCCCATTCCCCTGCAGGACGATTGCCTGCAAGACAGGGCCTGGAGAAGGCCAGGGCACCCAAGGCCACAGAAATGCCCAGGGATGAGTCCCGGCTGGAGATGCCTTGGCTGAACTCACTGTGTACTTCCAGGGCGCACAGGGCAGGTACTCTGGGGGTCTGGCCGGGAGACTGAGCAAGGGGACCAGGGAGGTTGTGTAGCAGGCTTCTGCACAGCAAGGCAGACATTCTTCTTGGAGCCCCCAACCCAAATCAGGTCTTCCACCTCCTCTTCCTAAAGACCCTTTACTGCAGTCATTCCTTTACTAGAACTGCAAGTTTATAGAACATAGATTTCAGTGTGCTCATCTGGCCAACCATCTTCAGTGGCCAATGCCCAAGGTAACCTCCCTCCCTACCAAGACCTGAACTCAGAACCTTACCTAAGGAGAAGATGTCCTGTTCTTTCTTTCCCACCAGAACTGCCCTGGCCCAGACCCCATTTCTGTCTGGTGACCAGGACAGTCCCCTCACCAGTCTCCCAGGTTGGGGAGGGCAGATTCTCCTCAGCTCCCTGCCCCTGAGAGACCCCAACAGCCTTGCGTGGCTCCAGCCCACAGAGGGCTATCCATGGCCCATATCTCTCAAAACTCTCCCCTCCCACTCTGAATCCACCCTCTACTGCATGCTCCCCTCACAGAACAGACATGGGTTTTTTTTTGTGTCCTCGTTTTGCCTACCCATACCCCAGATTGACTTTTCTGTCTCAGAACTACCTGTCCCTCTTTGGACAGTGTCTTCTTGGTACTACACATGAAGATGTCCTGCTCTCCCCTGCTCAAGGAGAGAGTGCCTGACCTGAGCTGGGCCCATCAGATCCAGTACTTACCCGGAATAGGAAAAAGATGGAGAGGGTGACCAAAGATTACAAAAATCTCTGAAGCTTATCCACTTGAGAGAGAGTCCCTGAAGATACTGGCCTTTCATTTCCTGCTATGTATATCCAGTGTGACTGAACTCTGAATAACATATACAAGTTATAATAATGTAGTAGTTGGCCCTCAAACTAGGACACAAACATGTTAGAGGGTAAGGTAGTGAGAGGCATGTTTGGGGGTGGTGGTGATGAGCAAGTATGTGAAGGAGAGATAGTGCCTACGCTTGAAAATCAAAAAGGAATAATATCTATTTAGACATAAGGAGATAAATAACTAAATACTTGCTTCTATGTGATGAAACTCTGGGAGTACACAAGGGGACTGCTGTTTTACTAAACAAATTTTCCAGTCTATATAACTTTGATAAGGTATCCAAATAAAAAAATTCCTTTCCCATATATGTATGTGTATATATATGTATTTGTATACACATATATGTTTGCATTTTTGTATTTTGAATATAAATTTTTATAGAGTCCTGTGAACCCCTCTTTTCAATTAGGATTTGAGTTTGATGTCATGCATGCAATGTGATCCCACTGTGTGACTACAGAAATGTTGGCAAAAGTAAGTTCAGAGGAAATGGTAGGCAAGTACTTCCCAGTTTTGGCCAGAAGATGGAGAAAAAAAGAATTCTCATAAAATATTAAAAGTATGACTTGTTACAGCTTCTTTTCATAGTAATTTGGATAGAAATTAGCAAAATCAGAAATGTATAAATACTTTGGTCTGACAATTCCATCTCCAGGTATCTACGGAGAAATAGACAAGTGATGCACGACAGATACATGTGTCAGTCTGGTCTCTGCAGTTGTATTTGTAATAATACACATTGGAACAATGTCATGGCCATCGGTTAGAGAATGTTTGAAGAATGACCCATTCATATCAGGAAGGACGTTTCAAAGATCAAAGCCTGATGGAAATGCTGGAGGCCGTGACGCTGATAGGAGCTCATGCGTGTTGACCAATTGCTACGTGACAGGCATTGGCTCCACGCTTTTCCTGCACTGCTCGTTTAAACATTGGACAAATTAAGTGTTCTGATTTAGCCCATTAGACAGATAGAAATGGAAGCACAGAAAATTAATGGGTTTATCTTTAAACGCGAGCAGATTAGGTTTTTCACCCAGGGCCTGTGGCTTCACCATA
The DNA here is from genome assembly GCF_000001405.40 of Homo sapiens. NCBI lineage: Eukaryota > Metazoa > Chordata > Mammalia > Primates > Hominidae > Homo > Homo sapiens. The sequence continues at coordinate 361,182 of NW_025791756.1, forward strand.
GGTGTGATTCAGGTTCTGTTGTTCTCCACTTTAGGAATTCCCAGTATTCCAAATATGAGAAGCTGAGAAAACAAACAAACTCAAAACTCTAAAAACCGGGATAAGTAAGGGTAGATGTTTGCTGGGTGTGGATTAATAATGAACTTTTTTTGCCTCAAGCAACAAAGAGGCACCTTGGAAAATAGACAAGAGACAAGAAGAGGAGAAGCTTGAAGATATATTTGGTCCAAGGAAGAGACTCTTCAGATGGAAGGTCACATCAGCTAGAAACATTAATGCGACTGGATGGGCTCAAACCACCGACTTTTCAGTCAACTTCCGACAGCACTAACCTAGTGTTCCAGAGACCCTGCTTGTTAAACAGTGAAAGCTGTTGCTCAATTGTGTCATCCATAATTGTCAAATATTGTCATTTAGTAGCACAAGGAAGTATTCTCTGTTGCCAAGCTAGAGTACCCATAACTCTTCTGTTTTGTTGAACATTCTTCCCCACCACAAACCCTCTTTAGAAGACTGGTGGCTCCTAAAACATTGAGGCCAACAGTCCTGTCCTTGTGCATGTTTGGGCATTGATCCAGGGCCAAATCAGTGGGAGACTCCTCCACGCACATGCCAGGTCCCCAGGTGACAACTGCAGTCTCTGGATCTGAGGTCATCCACTTTCCCATTCCTAGCTCACCTCACCCATCATGAAGCCTGGTCAGGATTGCCAGAGACCCGAGTGGGCAGGTGCCCGCACTAAAGACAGAACCTGCTGTGTGCCCACTTTGCTGATCCCTCCATCTTTCTAGACAAGGCTTTGTGAGCCAAGGACTTTGGGTTTGCTCACAAGGCAGCCCCTCACCTAGTAGGCATTAGTTCATTATGTATAGTATACGTATATGTATATGTATATGTATATGTATATGTATATGTATATGTATATGTGTATGTGTATGTGTATGTGTATGTGTATGTGTATGTGTATGTGTATGTGTATGTGTATGTGTATGTATGTGTATGTGTATGTGTATATGTATATGTAGTCCTCAGGTTGTATTCCTTAAATATATATAATATATGTAATTCCTTAAATATATAATTTTAATACAAAATTTTTAAAAGATTCCTTTCATAAACATTTACAATAACACCAAGAAATATAAACTACATAGCAAAGATGTGAAAGCCAGCCAGGCTCAGCTTCAAATCCTAGCGCTTAGGAAGGCCGTGGCAGGAGGGTCGCTTGAGCTCAGAAGCTTGAAACTAGCTTAGGCAACATAGTGAGACCTCATCTCTACTGAAAATCAGAAAAATTATCCGGCTGTGGTGGTGTGAGCCTGTAGTCCCAGGTACTCAGTGGATGAGGCCCTAGGATGTCATCGGCCTGAGAATTCCATGCTGCAGTGAGCTGTGTGATCTTGCCCCTGTACTCCAGCCTGAGTGAAAGAGTGAGATCGTGTCTAGAAACAAAAGAAGAAAAAAAAAAAAGGTGTGAAAGCCTGTATATTGAAGATTACCACGTATTACTGAGAGCAGTTAAAGACCTTTGGAATAGAGAACGTTCCTTCTTGCATTTCAAGATTGCTTTTGTTTTGGGGGGACACTTGCTGTTTTTTAGGAACATGAAGTTCTTCTCAGGCATTCCTGTAAAAAAAGCCACTTTTTGATAGGATTGTATTGAGTCTGTGGATTGCTTTGAGTTGTATTTTTATCTTAACCATGTTACAACTTCCAACCCGTGGACACAAGATGTCTTTCCATTGATTTAGGTCTTCCTTAGTCTCCTCGAACAATGTTCTGTAGTTGTCTGTGTACAAGTACTGCACCTTCTTGAACAAATTTATTCCCAGGCATATTATCCTTACAGGTGCTATTATAAATGAAATCATTGTGTCAGTTTACTTCTCAGATAGCTCATTGCCATCACAATGAATTGTTTGCTGAAAGTTTGCTGAATTCACTTATTAACTCTGATAGTGTGTGTGTGTGTGTGTGTGTGTGTGTGTGTCTGGTGTCTGTGTGCATGTATGTGTGTTTGCCTTTGTATGTATTGTTTGGGATTTTCTATACATAGGATCACACCATCTGCAAATTGAGATCATTTTGTTTTCTGTTCAAAAATATTTTTTCTCATGTTTATTTTTGAAAGATAATTTGGCCAGGTGTAGACTTGTAGGTGACAGTTTTTCTTTTTTTAAGTACTTTATTGCAAACTTCTTGTTTGTAAAGTCTGCTATGAGAAATCTTATGCCATCCTTATATTTAGTGCTCTGTATGTAACATGTTCTTTTCCCTTTTATTACTTTTAGGATTTCCTTTTTATCACTGGTTTTGATGGATTCGATTAAGGTGTTCCTTGGTGAAGTTTTCTGCATGTTTCTTGTTCTTGGGATAATCATATTTCTGTAATATTTGAAGTTTATGATTTCCATGGAGCTTCTAAATCTTTCATCCAGTATGTTTTAAATATCTTTTTCTCTCTTCTCCACTACCTGCCCTTCAGGGATTCCATTTAGCCCTATACTGGGGGGTTTAAAGTTTTGATGCTGATGGTCTTTATATGTTTTCAAGTCATTTGTTAATGTGTGTTTCATTTATGTTAGTTTCAACTTCTATTCCTTCTAGTTTAATAATCTTCTCTTCTGCAATATTTAATCCAGTGCCTTCTTCCATTTCACACTGTAAATCATAGTTTTTATCTACAGAATTTGATATTTAAAAAATCTTCAACCTCTCCATTTAATTAAAATACAATTATACTAATTGCGGTAACGTCCTTTTCTTCTATTTCCAACGTGTGTGTCAATTTCAACCAGATTATTAGATTCTTCAGTATGTGTCATGTTTTCCTGCTTCTTTGACTGCTTGATATTCTTTTATTTTTATTTATTTGTTTTTGGGGGGATGGAGTTTCACTCTCGTTGCCCAGTCTGGAGTGCAATTGTGTGATCTCAGCTCACTGCAACCTCTGCCTCCCAGGTACTCAAGCGATTCTCCTGTCTCCGCCTCCCAAGTAGCTCAGATTACAGGCATGCACCATCATGCCCAGCTAAACTTTTTGTGTTTAGTAGAGACAGGGCTTCACCATGCTAGTCAGGCTGGTCGTGAACTCCTGACCTCAGGTGATCCACCCGGCTGCTTGATATTCTAAGATTTGATGCTGGAGCTTTGGTGTCAATGCTCAAAAGTGCCCAAAGACACCACTCAACCTCAGTGTCTATGCACACCCAAGCTTTTGCAACAGGAGAGGTAGAGACAGCAGAGATGAATGTGCTACAACATGCTGGTAGAAGGTACCCCAATTGTGCTTGGGGCTTCCTATGCCTCATAGAATAATGTGCCTTCCTTAATTTTTCCCATAAGAACCACCCTACTTCATGCCCTGTCTCTCTGTCCAAACACCAGGACAGCCCTCAGACCAGTCTCAACCACCCAATGGATTGACAAAGGTCCAAATATGATTCAGTGGAGAAGGCATTCTCTTGTCAACAAATTGTGTAGAAACAACTGGACATGCATATCCCCAAAGGAAAAAGATTCACCTGAACCTCAATACTGACTCAAAAACTAACTCAAAATGGATTATGCAACTAAATATAAACTATAAAAGTAGAAAAAGTATAGCAGGAAATATAAGACAAAATCTTCACGACACAGTTAGGCAAAGTGTTCTTTGTTATCAAGAAACACAAACCATTAAAGAAAACATTGATAAATTCAACTTTATAAAAAGTAAAAGTTTTTGCTCAACACGAGACAGTATTAAGAGAACAAATATAAGCTGCAGATTGGGAGAAAAACAGGGGAAATGACAAATGTGACAAAGGACAAGTGTGATAGTTACTTGCACGTGTCACTGTGACTGAGCACCAGGGTGCCGGGACATTCGGCCAAATGTGATTCTGGTTGTGTTCCAGAGAGTGTTTCACATATGATTAACATTGGGATGGGCAGACTAAGTGAAGCAGATTGCCCCCCTTAACGGGGGTGGGACTCATGCAATCAATCAAAGGTCAGGAGAGAATTAAGAGGCCTAATGGGAAACAAATGCTTTCCTGGGTATCCAGCTTTCCTTCCATCTTGGGAATTTCAGCCTCCATAATCTCAGAAACAAATTCACATATGTATACACACACATATACATTTCATAGGTATGTGGCTAAGATTGTATTTTTAAAAGTTCAGCCATGAGATGATTGGTGAAGCCAGCCAATGAATAAGGGTGTGTTCTATTATATGACTCAGTCTTCTTTTGTAAACGATTGAAGTTCTGCATTTGAAGTAGGAGGACAGGAGAGAGCAAGTCCACCTAGGATGATAACAGCTGAATTTCTCAACAGACACTTCAAAGCCCTAGGGGTTAACTTAGAGAGTCAAAAATCCCACCCATAACCCTGCCCCTAAACGCCAGGGCTAGGGAACACTGTGGCCCTCAGGTGATTTTGTTTCACTTGGTCTGGGAGCCACACAAGGGCAGAGGGAGCAGGAAACACTAAGCAAATCGAGGCCAGGACAGCAGGGAGGGCCTGTTCATGACAGAACACAGGTAAAACTATCCTCAGAAAGAGCATGTGGAGAAACACAGATCATACCTGAGACCTGGTGGATTAGAGCACTGGCTACTGGGGAATTGAAAGGAAGGGGCTTCACCATGCAGAGGACCAGAGGTGCCAGTCTTGGAAACGCAGAATTGCTGGGAGATGGGGAGGCATGGACAAAGGAAGCATCCTCTGGAGACTCATGGTGAAGAGAACAAATGAAGTAACTGGCAGAAATTATAGGTCCTGGTAGAACAAAATAGAATCCCACAATGAGAACATACAGCATGTATGTCCCGCAAGGAAGACAATAGCTCCTAAAAATGCAAGAAAAATCATTTTGGGCAAACACCTTATATCCAGTAATGCGATCCATGTATCAAGACCACGAGGAAGATTATTAAACATGCTAAACTCAGCGAGACCTGATTCCCTCATGAGGACTCTGTTAAGGATGAGTACCACTCAGCAAGTGATGACTGTGACATTCACTTTTGAACAGCTCATGAGCATTAATATATTTAATTGTGGATCTAAACCAAAAACCAAGGTGTGGGCAAGATGACAACCACAGAATGTCACTGGCATATGTTTAGGTTCAAATACCATTATGAGAAGTGGCAGGTAAAGGAGGTAGGAAAAAGAAAACACATCATGTAACTGACTGTCATATGGAAATATTTGACGTTGAAAGTCATAATTTAAAATGTATAAACCAAATATTAGAAGTGTGTCTAGTTCAAAGGGGGGAAAACTATGAAACATTTTTAATCAATATCAAACATGAGCTACACAACCCTTCCTAAATGCCAGAGGCACACACACACACACACACACACACACACACACTCTCACAAAGAATATAAATATCTAGAACCAAGAAATGGAGTAAATGCATTCTGCTACATATGGTAAACATAGCCTACAAGGTGGAAGAGATTAGAAAATAAACAGGGAAATGGAAATGTTTTTATTAATTCACATCAGTACCCACCGAAACCAATCAGCATAACAAAAGATTATAACACTGAATGTAAAAAACAATCCAACAGTCCAGAGTGATAGGCAAAAGCTTTTAATTGTATAGATTAAAATAACTTTGGACAAAAATTAAAACTCAGGCAGAGAATGTTTTTTTTTTCAACAACACAAACTAGCAAAAACAAAGGCACAGTAAACATTGAGGCAGAAAGTTTCCAGCGTAGAGATATGAATATAATAATAGACACAGGCAGGGATGATTAATAAATGATAAAATGTTTACAGGATGATCATCGGAATACAGGACATTTCTACTTTTGAAAACCACCCTCCCAAATACTTCATTATAAGTAAGGTGTCTCTAAAAGGGACAGATCTCCTAGACCCCTCCTTAACCAAGTAACCAGTCCTGATATCATGATAATGCTGATGGACAAACTAGACCTTCTCTGCCCGCAGATGGGCTAAGGTTGGAAACTCACAGCATTGTCTCTGCAGTGTTCCCGGCAAAACGTTTAGGCTGAATTTAATCATGAAGACATTTTCAGACAACTTCAGAATGTAGATCATTGAGCCAGACAGCTGACCTGTCCTCTATAAACAAGTCCATGTCACCACCATCAATGACAACAACAAAAAGATGAGGAAATATTTGGGGTTCAAAATAACTAAAGAAATGCAGCTATATTATCTTTTTACTTTTTTTGAACCCAAAATATCTCTTCTCCTTTTTGTTGTGTGATTTGTGGTGATATGGACTATGTGAAGGAGACAGGTCAGTTGTCCTGCTCAGTGTTCTACATTCTGCAGTTGTCTGGTGATTACCTCCTATGAAACTCAGGCTAAGCGTTTTCTGCAAGAACATGGCGTTGTTCATATTCTGCACCGGCAGAGTCCTGGGTGACATGCTGTCTCCTGCCAGCGGCTCCTGACTCCTGTTCTCTACAGGATGGAATCGAGAGGAGCAGGGCTAAGGCCTCCCAATGCTGTTTGTCCATCTAGCTGTGGTCTTCCTAAGTACTGACACCAATTGGAGGCTGAAGGACTGTGGCTTCTCTAACCAAAGGAGCCTAGCGGGTTAACAATTGTCAAGAGCAGTTGGTGGTTCTGAAATACAATCCTCAGCCAAGGATCCCTCCTGCGTTAAAGATGGATCAGCTAAAACAATTCAACACTGAAGATACAAAGAATGAGGTTAGGTTCATTGAAACCAGGGTAACACCTTTGGATGAGCTAAACACAAAGATGACACTGACCTTGAGCAGGTATAGAAGCTCAGAGACATGCCTGCAAAATGAAATCCCTGAGGAACTTTGTAGCTACCCAGAGATACGTGGTTCAAATTAAAATGTCTGACTGATCACTCCCGGCATGTGCTGCACAGTTATGTGAACGTGTCACACCTAACTTGGGTCCATTGTCTTCAGACTGAGCACAGGTTGCCACTGGCATGGTCTGAGAATAGGAATAGAGCCATGCCCACTGACCCATCCTATGTCTGGGCTTCCAAATGGAACTATAGTTTCATTCAAATCTTCACGTGCCTATAGGTCCTGCCTGCAGGAATGACATCTCTCGGCTTAGTAAGGGCTGCTTATTGTGGGAATATGACTCCCATCTGGAAGACCAGGTGGAGACTTCTTCCCATCAAAGTAAGAAACCTATTGTCCACGTCAAGGGCGAAGCTGATGTGCTGTTCCTCAAATGAGTAAAACACACTTCTGTAGTGCTGGAATGAGTCAGGTAGTTCAAAGAACATTGACGGAGTCGAATAACATCTATCCAGTGAGTCCTGTAAGACTTCAGGCTCTTCCACTTCCATCAGCACACCGCTGAGCCTGGAAAAGCAGACAAAACTAAAGAAGCAGCCAGGGAAAATCAGACACCACAGAGCCCCACTAGATTTCAGAAGTAACATAAGGAAGTGGTAAGAAAAGAAAAGGATAGATCCATTAATGAGGTAAAAAAAAAAAATTATTGCCTTTATGTTGGGATAGAAAAGGGCCAGGTAGAAAACAATGAAAGAGAAAGACAGAGAGACAGAGACAGAGACAGAGACAGAGAGAAAGTGAGCTAGTGAATTGGCCAGGTGACATACTGGTAAGGGAGTAAAAGGACACTCTGAGTTAGTGCCCTCATGACACACAGCACACTGCGATCATGAAAAGAGTGAGCTCAATAGTTTTCCATAAAATATGCTCAAAATTCGATGCAGTGGCCATGAGAGTACAGCTTTTGAAGTATGGTCATCCTATGGTACGTTAGTAAATGATAAGGGGAGGAAGAAATGGAAACCTAAACATCTACTGCAATGAAAACCAACAGCAATGACAGTAGGAGTAATTCAGCCTTCGTTGAAAACATGAAATCAAACACACTCTGGTTTCCCTCAATCTGTTGCCTCCAGGTGTTAACACAGAATTAAGCATCCACAATTGCTGAAAGTTACCTGGGGCATGGTGGGTTTTGATCTTCTTCCCCTTCTTTTCTTCCCCTTCTCCTTCTTTTCTTCGTTGATCTTCTTCCCCTTCTTTTCTTCCCCTTCCCCTTCTTTTCAATTTCTGCAATAAATTCAGACATGGACAGACACATTAAGCTGATTCCCCTACACACATAACAATCCACTGTCTAACCCTCACACAGGGACCTCAGGCTCCTCAGCATAAGAATAGGAGACTGTGAGAGATATATTTCAGGAGGCCTGAAGGCTGGTCATGATAGAAATTCCTCGGTTTTTCTCCCAGAAACTGTGGGTAAAATGTCCCTATTCTAGTAGATCGTTATCCCAATATCATTTGTCCCGAGTTTGTGCAAACAGTTATGCCATATTTTTCCAATCAATTTAAAGCAAATACCCTCAAATGATTTCTAGGAGAAAAACTGCAATATTTAGCCCTGTCTCATCAAATACTCAGATTGTTCATGGTTGTGAGGACTTTAGACACTGAAATTAGAGTGAAAAAGGAAATCTACAAACCCTTGAGTCAAAATCATAGTTCTCTGAATTTGTCACATCTGCCCAGGTCCAATGTCATGAGAGTAGAATCAGAGTGCCACAGGCATGGCCTGAGACTAGGAAGAGAGCCATGCTCACTGACCCATCCCATGTCTGGGCTTCCAGTTAGAACTAGAGTTTCATTCAACCTACATGTGCCTATAGGTCCTCACTGCAGCAATGACATCTCTCAGCTCAGTAATGGCCACTTGGAGCAGGAATATGATCTTTATATGGAAGACTCAGTGGATCCTTATCACCTTCATAGAAAGGTACTCACCTCCCACGTCAAGAGAAAAGCCAACATGTTTTTCCTCCAATGCATAAAAGGAACTTCCATAGGGCAGGCAGGAGTCAGGCTGTTCAAGACAACTGGAAGGAGTTGAATAACATCTATCCAGTGAGTCCTGCAAGACTTCAGGCTCTACTGCCTCCAGCAGCTCCCTGCTGAGCCTGGAAAAGGAGGAAAAAGTAAAGAATAAGCCAGGGGAAATCAGACACAACAGAGCCCCAACTAGGTTTCATGGGTAGCATAAGGAAGTGGTTGAAAAAGTAAAAGGAGAGATCCATTAATGAGGTAACAAATTATTGCTTTCATGTTGGGACAGAACAGGGCCAAATGGAAAAGAATGAAAGAGAAAGACACACACACACACACACACACACACACACACACAGAGAATGAGCTCAGTGAATTGTCCAGGTGACACACTGATGAGGGAGTAACAGGACACTCTGAGTTAGTGCCCTCAGGACACACAGCATACAGTGATCAGGAAAGGACTGTGCTCAATAATTTTCCATAAAATGTGCTCAAGTTTCCATGCAGTCGCCATGAGAATACAGTTTTTGAAGTCTGGTCCACCTACAGTAGGTTAGTAAATGATAAGGGGAGGAAGAAATGGAAACCTAAATATCTACTGCAATGAAAACCAACAGCAATGTTAGTAGGAATAATTCAGGCTCGGTTGAAAAGATGTAATCGATAATGTCAGCCCGCCCTGTTTTCCCTGAACCAGGAGTCTCCAGATGTCAACACAGAAGTAGCTGTTCACAATTGCTCAGTTACCTGGGGCATGGTGGGCCTTGGTCTTCTTCCTCTTCCTGGTCCTTTTTAATTCCTGCAATACATTCAGACAGGGACAGACAAAATAAGCCAATTCACCTACACCCGTAACAGTCCACTGTCTAATCCCCACACAGGGATCTCAGGCTCCTCAGCAAGAGAACAGGACAATGTGAGAGATATACTTCAGGAGGCCTGAAAGCTGGTCATGATATTCTTTGGTTTGCATCTCAGAACCAAGGGTGAAATATCCCTATTCTGGTAGATCGTTATCCCAAAATCATTTATCCCAAGTTTGTGCAAACAGTTATGCCTGATTGTTCCCATCAGTTCAAAGACAATGCCCTAGATGATTTCTAGGAGGAAAACTGCAGTATTCAGCCCTGTCTCATCAAATGCCCAGCTCGTTCATGGATGCAAGAATTTTAGACACTGAAATTAGAATGAGGGAGGAAATCTACAAACCCTTGAGTCCAAATCATAGTTCTGTGAATTTTTTACATCTGCCTGGGTCCAATGTGCTGAGAGCGGGCTCAGGTTGCCACAGGCATGGCTGGAGACTAGGAATAGAGCCTTGCTCACTGACCCATTTCATGTCTAGGCTTCCAGCGGAGACTACAGTTTCATTACAACCTATATGCGCCCATAGGTCCTGCCTGCGGCAATGACATCTCTCGGGTCAGTAAGGGCCACTGGGAACAGGAATATCACCCCTATCTGGAAGACCAGGTGGAGGCTTATCACCTTCATAGTAAGGTACTCACTGTCCACGTCAAGAGCCAAGCCAAGGTACTGTTCCTCCAATGAGTAAACAGCACTTCTGTAGGGCTGGCCTAAGTCAGGCAGTTCAAGATAACCTGAAGGAGTCGAATAACATCTATCCAGTGAGTCCTGCAAGACTTCAGGCTCTTTCTCATCCAGCAGCTCCCTGCTGAGCCTGGAAAAGTAGGAAAAAGTAAAGAATAAGCCAGGGGGAATCAGAAACCACACAGCCCCAGCTACATTTCATGGCTAACATAAGGAACTGTTTAAACAGAAAAAGGACAGATCCATTAATGAGGTAATGAATTATTGCCTTTATGTTGGGATAGACCAGGGCCAGGTAGAAAAGAATGAAAGAGAAAGACAGGGAGAGGGAGAGGGAGAGAGAGACAGAGGAGAAAGTGAGCTCAGCGAATTGGCCGGGTGACACACTGATGAAGGGGTCAAAGGACACTCTGAGTTAGTGCCCTCGGGACACACAGAGAACAGTGATCATGAAAAGAGTGGGCTCAATAATTTTCCATAAACTTGCTTAAGATTCCATGCAGTTGCCATACAGCCTTTGAGGTATGGTCAACCTACAGTAAGTTAGTAAATGATAAGGGGAGGAAGAAATGGAAACCTAAACATCTACTGCAAGGAAAACCAACAGCAATGTCAGTAGGAGTAATTCAACCTTCGTTGAAAACATGAAATTGAACATACTCTTGTTTTCCCTGGACCTGGCATCTCCAGGTGTCAACACAGAATTAAGCATCCATAATTGCTCAAAGTTACCTGGGGCATGATGGGTCTTGGTCTTCTTCCACTTCTTGGTACTTTTCAATTTCTGCAATAAGTTCAGACATGGACAGACATATTAAGCTGGTTCTCCTACACACATAACAATCCACTGTCTAATCCTCACGCAGGGACTTCAGGCTCCTCAGCATGAGAATAGGACACTGTGAGAGATCTTCTTCAGGAGGCCTGAAGGCTGATCATGATAGAGATTCCTGGGTTTTTGTCCCAGAAACTGTGGGTAAAATTCCCTATTCTGGTAGATCGTTATCCCAAGATCATTTGTCCCAAGTTTGTGCAAATGGTTATGCCATATTTTTCCAATCGATTTAAAGCAAATGCCCCCAAATGGTTGCTGGGAGAAAAACTGCAATATTCAGCCCTGTCTCATCAAATACTCAGATTCTTCATGGTAGCGAGGATTTTAGATGCTGAAATTAGAGTGAAGGATGAAATCTACAAGATCTACAAAATTGAGACAAAATCAGAGTTGTGTGAATTTGTCACATCTGCCCAGATCCAACATCTTGAGAGTGGGATTAGGGTGCCACAGGCATGGCCTGAGACTAGGAAGAGAGCCCTGCTCACTGACCCATCCCTTGCCTGGGCTTCCAAGTGGAACTAGAGTTTCATTCAACCTACATGTGCCTATAGGTCCTCCCTGTGGCAATGACATCTCTCAGCTCAGTAAGGGCCATTTGCAGTAGGAATATGACCCTAACCAGAAGACTCAGTGGATCCTTATCACCTTCATAGAAAGGTACTCACCATCCATGTCAAGAGCCCAGCCAACACGCTGTTGCTCCAATATGTAAAAGGCACTTCTGTAGGGCTGGCATGAGTCAGTCAGTTCAAGATAACCTGAAGGAGTTGAATAACATCTATCCAGTGAGTCCTGCAAGACTTCAGGCCCTTTCTCATCCAGCAGCTCCCTGCTGAGCCTGGAACAGTGGGAAAAAGTAAAGAATAAGCCAGGGGGAATCAGAAACCACACAGCCCCAGCTAGATTTCATGGCTAACATAAGGAAGAGTTTGAAAAGAAAAAGGACAGATCCATTAATGAGGTAACAAATTATTGCCTTTATGTTGGGATAGAACAGGGCCAGGTAGAAAACAATGAAAGAGAAAGACAGAGAGACAGAGACAGAGACAGAGACAGAGAGAAAGTGAGCTAGTGAATTGGCCAGGTGACATACTGGTAAGGGAGTAAAAGGACACTCTGAGTTAGTGCCCTCATGACACACAGCACACTGCGATCATGAAAAGAGTGAGCTCAATAGTTTTCCATAAAATATGCTCAAAATTCGATGCAGTGGCCATGAGAGTACAGCTTTTGAAGTATGGTCATCCTATGGTACGTTAGTAAATGATAAGGGGAGGAAGAAATGGAAACCTAAACATCTACTGCAATGAAAACCAACAGCAATGACAGTAGGAGTAATTCAGCCTTCGTTGAAAACATGAAATCAAACACACTCTGGTTTCCCTCAATCTGTTGCCTCCAGGTGTTAACACAGAATTAAGCATCCACAATTGCTGAAAGTTACCTGGGGCATGGTGGGTTTTGATCTTCTTCCCCTTCTTTTCTTCCCCTTCTCCTTCTTTTCTTCGTTGATCTTCTTCCCCTTCTTTTCTTCCCCTTCCCCTTCTTTTCAATTTCTGCAATAAATTCAGACATGGACAGACACATTAAGCTGATTCCCCTACACACATAACAATCCACTGTCTAACCCTCACACAGGGACCTCAGGCTCCTCAGCATAAGAATAGGAGACTGTGAGAGATATATTTCAGGAGGCCTGAAGGCTGGTCATGATAGAAATTCCTCGGTTTTTCTCCCAGAAACTGTGGGTAAAATGTCCCTATTCTAGTAGATCGTTATCCCAATATCATTTGTCCCGAGTTTGTGCAAACAGTTATGCCATATTTTTCCAATCAATTTAAAGCAAATACCCTCAAATGATTTCTAGGAGAAAAACTGCAATATTTAGCCCTGTCTCATCAAATACTCAGATTGTTCATGGTTGTGAGGACTTTAGACACTGAAATTAGAGTGAAAAAGGAAATCTACAAACCCTTGAGTCAAAATCATAGTTCTCTGAATTTGTCACATCTGCCCAGGTCCAATGTCATGAGAGTAGAATCAGAGTGCCACAGGCATGGCCTGAGACTAGGAAGAGAGCCATGCTCACTGACCCATCCCATGTCTGGGCTTCCAGTTAGAACTAGAGTTTCATTCAACCTACATGTGCCTATAGGTCCTCACTGCAGCAATGACATCTCTCAGCTCAGTAATGGCCACTTGGAGCAGGAATATGATCTTTATATGGAAGACTCAGTGGATCCTTATCACCTTCATAGAAAGGTACTCACCTCCCACGTCAAGAGAAAAGCCAACATGTTTTTCCTCCAATGCATAAAAGGAACTTCCATAGGGCAGGCAGGAGTCAGGCTGTTCAAGACAACTGGAAGGAGTTGAATAACATCTATCCAGTGAGTCCTGCAAGACTTCAGGCTCTACTGCCTCCAGCAGCTCCCTGCTGAGCCTGGAAAAGGAGGAAAAAGTAAAGAATAAGCCAGGGGAAATCAGACACAACAGAGCCCCAACTAGGTTTCATGGGTAGCATAAGGAAGTGGTTGAAAAAGTAAAAGGAGAGATCCATTAATGAGGTAACAAATTATTGCTTTCATGTTGGGACAGAACAGGGCCAAATGGAAAAGAATGAAAGAGAAAGACACACACACACACACACACACACACACACACACACAGAGAATGAGCTCAGTGAATTGTCCAGGTGACACACTGATGAGGGAGTAACAGGACACTCTGAGTTAGTGCCCTCAGGACACACAGCATACAGTGATCAGGAAAGGACTGTGCTCAATAATTTTCCATAAAATGTGCTCAAGTTTCCATGCAGTCGCCATGAGAATACAGTTTTTGAAGTCTGGTCCACCTACAGTAGGTTAGTAAATGATAAGGGGAGGAAGAAATGGAAACCTAAATATCTACTGCAATGAAAACCAACAGCAATGTTAGTAGGAATAATTCAGGCTCGGTTGAAAAGATGTAATCGATAATGTCAGCCCGCCCTGTTTTCCCTGAACCAGGAGTCTCCAGATGTCAACACAGAAGTAGCTGTTCACAATTGCTCAGTTACCTGGGGCATGGTGGGCCTTGGTCTTCTTCCTCTTCCTGGTCCTTTTTAATTCCTGCAATACATTCAGACAGGGACAGACAAAATAAGCCAATTCACCTACACCCGTAACAGTCCACTGTCTAATCCCCACACAGGGATCTCAGGCTCCTCAGCAAGAGAACAGGACAATGTGAGAGATATACTTCAGGAGGCCTGAAAGCTGGTCATGATATTCTTTGGTTTGCATCTCAGAACCAAGGGTGAAATATCCCTATTCTGGTAGATCGTTATCCCAAAATCATTTATCCCAAGTTTGTGCAAACAGTTATGCCTGATTGTTCCCATCAGTTCAAAGACAATGCCCTAGATGATTTCTAGGAGGAAAACTGCAGTATTCAGCCCTGTCTCATCAAATGCCCAGCTCGTTCATGGATGCAAGAATTTTAGACACTGAAATTAGAATGAGGGAGGAAATCTACAAACCCTTGAGTCCAAATCATAGTTCTGTGAATTTTTTACATCTGCCTGGGTCCAATGTGCTGAGAGCGGGCTCAGGTTGCCACAGGCATGGCTGGAGACTAGGAATAGAGCCTTGCTCACTGACCCATTTCATGTCTAGGCTTCCAGCGGAGACTACAGTTTCATTACAACCTATATGCGCCCATAGGTCCTGCCTGCGGCAATGACATCTCTCGGGTCAGTAAGGGCCACTGGGAACAGGAATATCACCCCTATCTGGAAGACCAGGTGGAGGCTTATCACCTTCATAGTAAGGTACTCACTGTCCACGTCAAGAGCCAAGCCAAGGTACTGTTCCTCCAATGAGTAAACAGCACTTCTGTAGGGCTGGCCTAAGTCAGGCAGTTCAAGATAACCTGAAGGAGTCGAATAACATCTATCCAGTGAGTCCTGCAAGACTTCAGGCTCTTTCTCATCCAGCAGCTCCCTGCTGAGCCTGGAAAAGTAGGAAAAAGTAAAGAATAAGCCAGGGGGAATCAGAAACCACACAGCCCCAGCTACATTTCATGGCTAACATAAGGAACTGTTTAAACAGAAAAAGGACAGATCCATTAATGAGGTAATGAATTATTGCCTTTATGTTGGGATAGACCAGGGCCAGGTAGAAAAGAATGAAAGAGAAAGACAGGGAGAGGGAGAGGGAGAGAGAGACAGAGGAGAAAGTGAGCTCAGCGAATTGGCCGGGTGACACACTGATGAAGGGGTCAAAGGACACTCTGAGTTAGTGCCCTCGGGACACACAGAGAACAGTGATCATGAAAAGAGTGGGCTCAATAATTTTCCATAAACTTGCTTAAGATTCCATGCAGTTGCCATACAGCCTTTGAGGTATGGTCAACCTACAGTAAGTTAGTAAATGATAAGGGGAGGAAGAAATGGAAACCTAA
This sequence comes from Homo sapiens, assembly GCF_000001405.40. Taxonomy (NCBI): domain Eukaryota; kingdom Metazoa; phylum Chordata; class Mammalia; order Primates; family Hominidae; genus Homo; species Homo sapiens. The sequence goes on from NW_025791756.1 coordinate 376,835, forward strand.
ACATCTACTGCAAGGAAAACCAACAGCAATGTCAGTAGGAGTAATTCAACCTTCGTTGAAAACATGAAATTGAACATACTCTTGTTTTCCCTGGACCTGGCATCTCCAGGTGTCAACACAGAATTAAGCATCCATAATTGCTCAAAGTTACCTGGGGCATGATGGGTCTTGGTCTTCTTCCACTTCTTGGTACTTTTCAATTTCTGCAATAAGTTCAGACATGGACAGACATATTAAGCTGGTTCTCCTACACACATAACAATCCACTGTCTAATCCTCACGCAGGGACTTCAGGCTCCTCAGCATGAGAATAGGACACTGTGAGAGATCTTCTTCAGGAGGCCTGAAGGCTGATCATGATAGAGATTCCTGGGTTTTTGTCCCAGAAACTGTGGGTAAAATTCCCTATTCTGGTAGATCGTTATCCCAAGATCATTTGTCCCAAGTTTGTGCAAATGGTTATGCCATATTTTTCCAATCGATTTAAAGCAAATGCCCCCAAATGGTTGCTGGGAGAAAAACTGCAATATTCAGCCCTGTCTCATCAAATACTCAGATTCTTCATGGTAGCGAGGATTTTAGATGCTGAAATTAGAGTGAAGGATGAAATCTACAAGATCTACAAAATTGAGACAAAATCAGAGTTGTGTGAATTTGTCACATCTGCCCAGATCCAACATCTTGAGAGTGGGATTAGGGTGCCACAGGCATGGCCTGAGACTAGGAAGAGAGCCCTGCTCACTGACCCATCCCTTGCCTGGGCTTCCAAGTGGAACTAGAGTTTCATTCAACCTACATGTGCCTATAGGTCCTCCCTGTGGCAATGACATCTCTCAGCTCAGTAAGGGCCATTTGCAGTAGGAATATGACCCTAACCAGAAGACTCAGTGGATCCTTATCACCTTCATAGAAAGGTACTCACCATCCATGTCAAGAGCCCAGCCAACACGCTGTTGCTCCAATATGTAAAAGGCACTTCTGTAGGGCTGGCATGAGTCAGTCAGTTCAAGATAACCTGAAGGAGTTGAATAACATCTATCCAGTGAGTCCTGCAAGACTTCAGGCCCTTTCTCATCCAGCAGCTCCCTGCTGAGCCTGGAACAGTGGGAAAAAGTAAAGAATAAGCCAGGGGGAATCAGAAACCACACAGCCCCAGCTAGATTTCATGGCTAACATAAGGAAGAGTTTGAAAAGAAAAAGGACAGATCCATTAATGAGGTAACAAATTATTGCCTTTATGTTGGGATAGAACAGGGCCAGGTAGAAAACAATGAAAGAGAAAGACAGAGAGACAGAGACAGAGACAGAGACAGAGAGAAAGTGAGCTAGTGAATTGGCCAGGTGACATACTGGTAAGGGAGTAAAAGGACACTCTGAGTTAGTGCCCTCATGACACACAGCACACTGCGATCATGAAAAGAGTGAGCTCAATAGTTTTCCATAAAATATGCTCAAAATTCGATGCAGTGGCCATGAGAGTACAGCTTTTGAAGTATGGTCATCCTATGGTACGTTAGTAAATGATAAGGGGAGGAAGAAATGGAAACCTAAACATCTACTGCAATGAAAACCAACAGCAATGACAGTAGGAGTAATTCAGCCTTCGTTGAAAACATGAAATCAAACACACTCTGGTTTCCCTCAATCTGTTGCCTCCAGGTGTTAACACAGAATTAAGCATCCACAATTGCTGAAAGTTACCTGGGGCATGGTGGGTTTTGATCTTCTTCCCCTTCTTTTCTTCCCCTTCTCCTTCTTTTCTTCGTTGATCTTCTTCCCCTTCTTTTCTTCCCCTTCCCCTTCTTTTCAATTTCTGCAATAAATTCAGACATGGACAGACACATTAAGCTGATTCCCCTACACACATAACAATCCACTGTCTAACCCTCACACAGGGACCTCAGGCTCCTCAGCATAAGAATAGGAGACTGTGAGAGATATATTTCAGGAGGCCTGAAGGCTGGTCATGATAGAAATTCCTCGGTTTTTCTCCCAGAAACTGTGGGTAAAATGTCCCTATTCTAGTAGATCGTTATCCCAATATCATTTGTCCCGAGTTTGTGCAAACAGTTATGCCATATTTTTCCAATCAATTTAAAGCAAATACCCTCAAATGATTTCTAGGAGAAAAACTGCAATATTTAGCCCTGTCTCATCAAATACTCAGATTGTTCATGGTTGTGAGGACTTTAGACACTGAAATTAGAGTGAAAAAGGAAATCTACAAACCCTTGAGTCAAAATCATAGTTCTCTGAATTTGTCACATCTGCCCAGGTCCAATGTCATGAGAGTAGAATCAGAGTGCCACAGGCATGGCCTGAGACTAGGAAGAGAGCCATGCTCACTGACCCATCCCATGTCTGGGCTTCCAGTTAGAACTAGAGTTTCATTCAACCTACATGTGCCTACAGGTCCTCACTGCAGCAATGACATCTCTCAGCTCAGTAATGGCCACTTGGAGCAGGAATATGATCTTTATATGGAAGACTCAGTGGATCCTTATCACCTTCATAGAAAGGTACTCACCTCCCACGTCAAGAGAAAAGCCAACATGTTTTTCCTCCAATGCATAAAAGGAACTTCCATAGGGCAGGCAGGAGTCAGGCTGTTCAAGACAACTGGAAGGAGTTGAATAACATCTATCCAGTGAGTCCTGCAAGACTTCAGGCTCTACTGCCTCCAGCAGCTCCCTGCTGAGCCTGGAAAAGGAGGAAAAAGTAAAGAATAAGCCAGGGGAAATCAGACACAACAGAGCCCCAACTAGGTTTCATGGGTAGCATAAGGAAGTGGTTGAAAAAGTAAAAGGAGAGATCCATTAATGAGGTAACAAATTATTGCCTTCATGTTGGGACAGAACAGGGCCAAATGGAAAAGAATGAAAGAGAAAGACACACACACACACACACACACACACACACACACAGAGAATGAGCTCAGTGAATTGTCCAGGTGACACACTGATGAGGGAGTAACAGGACACTCTGAGTTAGTGCCCTCAGGACACACAGCATACAGTGATCAGGAAAGGACTGTGCTCAATAATTTTCCATAAAATGTGCTCAAGTTTCCATGCAGTCGCCATGAGAATACAGTTTTTGAAGTCTGGTCCACCTACAGTAGGTTAGTAAATGATAAGGGGAGGAAGAAATGGAAACCTAAATATCTACTGCAATGAAAACCAACAGCAATGTTAGTAGGAATAATTCAGGCTCGGTTGAAAAGATGTAATCGATAATGTCAGCCCGCCCTGTTTTCCCTGAACCAGGAGTCTCCAGATGTCAACACAGAAGTAGCTGTTCACAATTGCTCAGTTACCTGGGGCATGGTGGGCCTTGGTCTTCTTCCTCTTCCTGGTCCTTTTTAATTCCTGCAATACATTCAGACAGGGACAGACAAAATAAGCCAATTCACCTACACCCGTAACAGTCCACTGTCTAATCCCCACACAGGGATCTCAGGCTCCTCAGCAAGAGAACAGGACAATGTGAGAGATATACTTCAGGAGGCCTGAAAGCTGGTCATGATATTCTTTGGTTTGCATCTCAGAACCAAGGGTGAAATATCCCTATTCTGGTAGATCGTTATCCCAAAATCATTTATCCCAAGTTTGTGCAAACAGTTATGCCTGATTGTTCCCATCAGTTCAAAGACAATGCCCTAGATGATTTCTAGGAGGAAAACTGCAGTATTCAGCCCTGTCTCATCAAATGCCCAGCTCGTTCATGGATGCAAGAATTTTAGACACTGAAATTAGAATGAGGGAGGAAATCTACAAACCCTTGAGTCCAAATCATAGTTCTGTGAATTTTTTACATCTGCCTGGGTCCAATGTGCTGAGAGCGGGCTCAGGTTGCCACAGGCATGGCTGGAGACTAGGAATAGAGCCTTGCTCACTGACCCATTTCATGTCTAGGCTTCCAGCGGAGACTACAGTTTCATTACAACCTATATGCGCCCATAGGTCCTGCCTGCGGCAATGACATCTCTCAGGTCAGTAAGGGCCACTGGGAACAGGAATATCACCCCTATCTGGAAGACCAGGTGGAGGCTTATCACCTTCATAGTAAGGTACTCACTGTCCACGTCAAGAGCCAAGCCAAGGTACTGTTCCTCCAATGAGTAAACAGCACTTCTGTAGGGCTGGCCTAAGTCAGGCAGTTCAAGATAACCTGAAGGAGTCGAATAACATCTATCCAGTGAGTCCTGCAAGACTTCAGGCTCTTTCTCATCCAGCAGCTCCCTGCTGAGCCTGGAAAAGTAGGAAAAAGTAAAGAATAAGCCAGGGGGAATCAGAAACCACACAGCCCCAGCTACATTTCATGGCTAACATAAGGAACTGTTTAAACAGAAAAAGGACAGATCCATTAATGAGGTAATGAATTATTGCCTTTATGTTGGGATAGACCAGGGCCAGGTAGAAAAGAATGAAAGAGAAAGACAGGGAGAGGGAGAGGGAGAGAGAGACAGAGGAGAAAGTGAGCTCAGCGAATTGGCCGGGTGACACACTGATGAAGGGGTCAAAGGACACTCTGAGTTAGTGCCCTCGGGACACACAGAGAACAGTGATCATGAAAAGAGTGGGCTCAATAATTTTCCATAAACTTGCTTAAGATTCCATGCAGTTGCCATACAGCCTTTGAGGTATGGTCAACCTACAGTAAGTTAGTAAATGATAAGGGGAGGAAGAAATGGAAACCTAAACATCTACTGCAAGGAAAACCAACAGCAATGTCAGTAGGAGTAATTCAACCTTCGTTGAAAACATGAAATTGAACATACTCTTGTTTTCCCTGGACCTGGCATCTCCAGGTGTCAACACAGAATTAAGCATCCATAATTGCTCAAAGTTACCTGGGGCATGATGGGTCTTGGTCTTCTTCCACTTCTTGGTACTTTTCAATTTCTGCAATAAGTTCAGACATGGACAGACATATTAAGCTGGTTCTCCTACACACATAACAATCCACTGTCTAATCCTCACGCAGGGACTTCAGGCTCCTCAGCATGAGAATAGGACACTGTGAGAGATCTTCTTCAGGAGGCCTGAAGGCTGATCATGATAGAGATTCCTGGGTTTTTGTCCCAGAAACTGTGGGTAAAATTCCCTATTCTGGTAGATCGTTATCCCAAGATCATTTGTCCCAAGTTTGTGCAAATGGTTATGCCATATTTTTCCAATCGATTTAAAGCAAATGCCCCCAAATGGTTGCTGGGAGAAAAACTGCAATATTCAGCCCTGTCTCATCAAATACTCAGATTCTTCATGGTAGCGAGGATTTTAGATGCTGAAATTAGAGTGAAGGATGAAATCTACAAGATCTACAAAATTGAGACAAAATCAGAGTTGTGTGAATTTGTCACATCTGCCCAGATCCAACATCTTGAGAGTGGGATTAGGGTGCCACAGGCATGGCCTGAGACTAGGAAGAGAGCCCTGCTCACTGACCCATCCCTTGCCTGGGCTTCCAAGTGGAACTAGAGTTTCATTCAACCTACATGTGCCTATAGGTCCTCCCTGTGGCAATGACATCTCTCAGCTCAGTAAGGGCCATTTGCAGTAGGAATATGACCCTAACCAGAAGACTCAGTGGATCCTTATCACCTTCATAGAAAGGTACTCACCATCCATGTCAAGAGCCCAGCCAACACGCTGTTGCTCCAATATGTAAAAGGCACTTCTGTAGGGCTGGCATGAGTCAGTCAGTTCAAGATAACCTGAAGGAGTTGAATAACATCTATCCAGTGAGTCCTGCAAGACTTCAGGCCCTTTCTCATCCAGCAGCTCCCTGCTGAGCCTGGAACAGTGGGAAAAAGTAAAGAATAAGCCAGGGGGAATCAGAAACCACACAGCCCCAGCTAGATTTCATGGCTAACATAAGGAAGAGTTTGAAAAGAAAAAGGACAGATCCATTAATGAGGTAACAAATTATTGCCTTTATGTTGGGATAGACTAGGGCCAGGTAGAAAAGGATGAAAGAGAAAGACACACACACACACACACACACACACACACACACACACACACACACACACAGAGTGAGCTCAGTGAATTGGCCAGGTGACACACTGATGAGGGAGTCAACGGTCATTCTCTATTTGTGCTCTCAGGACACACAGTGAACAGTGATCATGAAAAGCATGGCCTCAATAATTTTGCATAAAATGTGCTCAAGTTTCCCTGCAGCCACCATGAGAATACAGCTTTTGAGGTATGGTCAACCTTCACTAGGTTAGTAAATGATAAGGGTAGGAAGAAATGGAAACCTAAACATTTACTCTAATGAGAACCAAAAAGCAATGTAGTAGGCATAATTTAGACTTGTCTGACAAGACAAAATCATTATTTTCAGCATGTACTGTTTTCCCTGGACTTGGCATCTCCAGGTGTCAACATCAAATTAACTGTCCACAATTTCTCAGACTCACCTGGGACCTGTTGCCTCTTGGTCCTCCTTTTTCACTTGATCCCACCGATGTCCTGCAAATAAATTCAGATGGGGCCTCTTACATTAAGCAGTTCTTCCTTGCACACAGAAACATTCCTCTGTCCAATCCTAACACAGGTACATCAGTCTGGTCAGTGTGAGAACAGGAGACTTTGAGAGAAATATTCCAGTAGGCCTGAGGTCAAGTCTTGAGAAAACTGGCTTGGGTTCTTTCATGAGCCTTGGGCAAAATTACCCTGTTTTGGAATGTTATCTTCCCTATGTGCTCTGTCCTAGGTTTGTGTACACAAATGAGCAACTTTTTCCCCAATAAATTGTAGGCAAATAGTTCTAACACCTCATAGGAGAGATACTTCAATATTAAGCTTTCTCTCATCAAATACCCAGAATTTGATAGTTTATGAGATTGTGGACACAGAGATTTGATGAAGGGGTGCAATGTACCAGCTCTTGAGTCAAAATGAAACTTGGTTCTACACAGAAGCATCAGCTATTATGGCTTTTGTGGGTGAAAAGTCAGACATTTATCTAGAAAATATACCAGGAACATGACGGACAGATGAGCTAAAGCAAGCGAACTTAGAAGACACAGAAAATGGGAATAAATTCAGTGAAACCTGGGCCACATCTTTCACTGAGAGGTAGACAAGGGTGACACTTGCCTTGGGCAGGTAAAGAACCACACAGACATGCTTTGGGAACAAAACTCATAAGGAATTTTGTAGCTGGCAAGAGACATTTAATTCAGATGAGCTGATCTGACAGACAACTCCTGGTCATGTGCTGCATAGTTTGGTGTGAGCTTGCCACACCTGCCTTGAGTTCAATGTCGTGACAGTCAGTCCAGGTTGGCACGGGCATGGCCTGAGACTAGGAAGAGAGCAAAGCTCACTCACCCACCCCATGCCTGTGCTTCAGACTCGACTCCAGAGTGATTGAAATCTACATTGATATATAGGTTCAGCCCACAGTGATGGCAAATCTCAGCCCAACAAGGGGCACAAGGCCCAAAGATTATGGGGTCTACCTGGGCCATGAACTGGAGCTTTATCACCTTCACAATGGAGTACTCACCGCCTATGTCAACAGCCATGCAGACTTGCTGTTCCTCTAATGAGTGAAATGTGCCGCTGTAAGACTGGTACGAGGCCAACATTTCAGGAGGAATTGAGAGAGTCGAATAACCTTCATCCCAGGACTCCTGGGGGACTTCCTCCTCTTCAGACTCCTGCAGATTCCTGATGAGCCAGGCAGGACAGGGATGATAGAAGATTTAACCAACAGACATTAGACAACAAAACCTCCCAGATGATCTGATGGGAGACAGAATGGAGTGGTCACAGAAACCAAAGGCATTTTTCCTTCAAGAGAAATAAAACTAGCCTTCTAAATACAGGGTGGAGGGTGACTGCTCTGGGGACAGAGCAAAAATGGGCAGCATGTGCTCAGTACATTTGCCACAGATGAGCCAACTCAGGGCACCCAGACTCTCCCTGTAAACTACCATCATGACTTGCAGCACAGAGAACTGACACAGGGCTTCAACTACTTTGCATAAATTGGGTTGAATTTTACATGCAGCATTCAAGTGAAGAGAGTTCTTGACGCAGTGCAGACACAGATCTTGTGTATTAAGGGCCCCATTTTCCCAATATTTTGATATAATATATTTACCTTTTCAATTTCTTTTCTTGCAAAAATACTAGCCAACATACTACCAACGAATAGGAAGAAAGCATATATACATCTCTCCCTGGATTTAAACACATGGGAGAGAATAGGCAACACCAAGAAATCCCTGTTTGAGGGTCTGGAGTGGACTTCCAGCAAACTCCAACAGACCTGAAGCTGAGGGACCTGATTGTTAGAAGGAAAACTAACACACAGAAAGGAATAGCATCAACATCAACAAAAAAGACATCCACCCCAAAACCCCATCTGTAGGTCGCCATCATCAAAGACCAAGGGTAGATAAAACCACAAAGGTGGGGAGAAACCAGAGCACAAAAGCTGAAAATTCCAAAAACCTGACATCCCTTCTCCTCCAAAGGATCACAGCTCCTCGCCAGCAATGGAACAAAGCAGGATGGAGAATGACTTTGATGAGCTGACAGAAGTAGGCTTCAGAAAGTCGGTAATAACAAACTTCTCTGAGCTAAAGGAGGATGTGCGAACTCATCGCAAGGAAGCTAAAAACCTTGAAAAAAGATTAGACGAATGGCCAACCAGAATGAACAGTGTAGAGAAGACCTTAAATGACCTGATGGAGCTGAAAACCATGGCACGAGAACTACGTGATGCATGCACAAGCTTCAGTAGCCAATTCGATCAAGTGCAAGAAACGGTATCAGTGATTCAAGATCAAATTAGTGAAATGAAGCGAGAAGAGAAGTTTAGAGAAAAAAGAGTAAAAAGAAATGAACAAGCCTCCAATAAATATGGGACTATGTGGAAAGACCAAATCTACGTTTGATTGGTGCACTGAAAGTGACGGGGAGAATGGAACCAAGCTGGGAAACATTCTTCAGGATATTATCCAGGAGGACTTCCCCAACCTTGTAAGGAAGGCCAACATTCAAATTCAGGAAACACAGAGAACACCATAAAGATACTCCTCGAGAAGAGCAACCCCAAAACACATAATTGTCAGATTCACCAAGGTTGAAATGAAGGAAAAAATGCTAAGTGCAGCCAGAGAGAAAGGTCGGATTACCCACAAAGGGAAGCCCATCAGACTAGCAGCAGATCTCTTGGCACAAACCCTACAAGCCAGAAGAGAGTGGGAGCAATATTCAACATTCTTTTTTTTTTCCATATGTATAGTTTTCCTTTATTATTTTTTGTGTGTATGTATATATATGTATATATATTTTTTAATACTTTAAGTCTTAGGGTACATGTGCACAACGTGCAGGTTAGTTACATATGTATACATGTCCACATTGGTGTGCTTCACCCATTAACTCATCATTTAACATTAGGTATATCTCCTAATGCTACCCCTCCTCCCTCCCCCCACCCTACAACAGGCCCCAGTGTGTGATGTTCCCCTTCCTGTGTCCATGTGTTCTCATTGTTCAATTCCCACCTGTGAGTAAGAACATGCGGTACTTGGCTTTTTGTCCTTGCGATAGTTTGCTGAGAATGATGGTTTCCAGCTTCATCCATGCCCCTACAAAGGACATGAACTCATCATTTTTTATAGCTGCATAGTATTCCATGGTGTACACGTGCCACATTTTCTTAATCCAGTCTATCATTGCTGGATATTTGGCTTGGTTCCAAGTCTTTGCTATTGTGAATAGTGCCGCAATAAACATATGTGTGCATGTGTCTTTACAGCAGCATGATTTATAATCCTTTGGGTATACACCCAGTAATGGGATGGCTGGGTCAAATGCTATTTCTAGTTCTAGATCCCTGAGGAATTGCCACACTGCCTTCCACAATCGTTGAACTAGTTTACACTCCCACCAACAGTGTAAAAGTGTTCCTATTTCTCCACATCCTCTCCAGCATCTTCAACATTCTTAAAGAAAAGAATTTTCAACCCAGAATTTCATATCCAGCCAAACAAAGCTTCATAAGTGAAGGAGAAATAAATCCTTTACAGAGAAGCAAATGCTGAGAGATTTTGTCACCACCAGGCCTGCCTTACAAGAGCTCCTAAAGGAAACACTAAACATGGAAAGGAACAACCGGTACCAGCCACTGCAAAAACATGCCAAACTGTAAAGACCATTGACGCTAGGAAGAAACTGCATCAACTAACGGGCGAAATAACCAGCTAACATCATAACGACAGGCTCAAATTCACACATAACAATATTAACCTTAAATGTAAATGGGCTAAATGCCCCAGTTAAAAAACACAGAATGGCAAATTGGACAAAGAGTCAAGACCCATCAGTGTGCTGTACTCAGGAAACCCATCTCACATGCAGAGACACACATAGGCTCAAAATAAAGGGATGGAGGAAGATCTACCAAGCAAATGGAAAGCAAAAAAATGCAGGGGTTGCAATCCTAGTCTCTGATAAAACAGACTTTAAACCAACAAAGATCAAAGGAGACAAAGAAGGCCACTACATAATGGTAAAGGGATCAATTCAACAAGAAGAGTTAACTATCCTAAATATATATGCACCCTATACGGGAGCACCCAGATTCATAAAGCAAGTCCTGAGAGACCTACAAAGAGATTTAGACTCCACACAATCATAATGGGAGACTTTAACACCCCACTGTCAATATTAGACAGATCAATGAGACAGAAGCTTTACAAGGATATCCAGGACTTGAACTCAGCTCTCCACCAAGCAGACCTAAAAGACATCTACAGAACTCTCCACCCCAAATCAACAGAATATACATTCTTCTCAGCACCACATCACACTTATTCCAAAATTGACCACATAGTTGGAGGTAAAGCACTCATCAGCAAATGTAAAAGAATGGAAACCACAACAAACTGTCAGACCACAGTGCAATCAAATTAGAACTCAGGATTAAGAAACTCACTCAAAACCGCACAACTACATGGAAACTGAACAACCTGCTCCTGAATGACTACTGGGAAAATAACAAAATGAAGGCAGAAATAAAGATGTTCTTTGAAACCAATGAGAACAAAGACACAACATACCAGAATCTCTGGGACACATTTAAAGCAATGTGTAGAGGGAAAATTATAGCACTAAATGCCCACAAGAGAAAGCAGAAAAGATCTAAAATTGACACCCTAACATCACAATTAAAATAACTAGAGAAGCAAAGCAAACAAATTCAAAAGCTAGCAGAAGACAAGAAGTAACTAAGATCAGAGCAGAACTAAAGGAGATAGAGACACAAAAAACCCTTCAAAAAATCAATGAATCCAGGGCTGGTTTTTTGAAAAGATCAACAAGAAAACCCTGTTTGGCTAGTTCACCTGGCTCATCTGATGGCAAGTTCCTATCTTGAGAGGACTATGAAATTAAAACCAATACAAGTGCCACAAATAACATACAACATTGTAAATCAGCACAATTTGTAGCTGGGTGAATGGAAGAAATAGTTCTATTCATCACTTCCTCATTTTCCCTAAATCTACAATCTCCAGATGTCACTACTGAATTAACAGCCAACAATTCCACAACATTACCTGGGAGACACTGGCCCTTTTTCTTCCTCTTCCTCATCATCACTTTCATTTTCTGTAAATAAATTCAGAGAAGCAGGTCACATTAAGCAATTCATACTTCACATATGACCAAATCACTGTCCAGTCATAGCACAAGGACATAACTATTCTCAGTGCAAGAATAAGGATTCTGACAGGAATATTCTAGGGTGCCCTAGATTAACTTTGGTGAGAATTAGATGACCCTGCTTTCCAGACCCACAGGCCAAAATCTCCCTCTACGTGTACACCATAATGCCATATTCCCTGCCTGAGTCAAAGTTAAACAAAATTTTTTCCCCAAAAAAATCTCCAAAAATTGGTCCATTTTCTAAGAGTGTTGCTGCAATACGGACTTATATCACCAGATAACATGGACATTAAATGTTTAGAGGCATCTATACATGAAACACGACTGATAGATAAATTTGAACAACTCTTGCTTTAAAAAGAATCTGTGATTTGGGAGGCCAAGACAGGTGAATCATTTGAGGTCATGAGTTCAGGACTACCCTGGCCAATATGGGGAAACCCTGTCTCTACTAAAAATACAAAAATTAGCCAGATGTGATGTTGTGCACCTGTGGTCCCAGCAACTCAGGAGGCTGAGGCAGGAGAATCACTTGAATCTGGGAGGCAGAGGTTGCACCAAGCCAAGATGGTGCAACTGCACTCTAGCCTGGGTGACAGAGCAAGACTCCATCGCAAAAAAAAAAAAAAAAAAAAAAAAAAAAAAAAAAAAAAAAATCCACGATGCTACAAAGAAACATTGGATCAGCCATTGCATTGACAGGGTGGAGAACCAGGGTCCAGCCTTGCTTTATGGAAATATATCAGCAAAGTAAAGAAGAAAAGTTTCCGTCCTGATTTCAGGGTGACTGTGCAGCTAAGCAAGCTGACTTAAAGGAGATCCAGATGAAAGCTGAGAGCAGTGAAGCCTGGGGAACAATATTTCCAAATACAAAGGCAAGGCTGCCAGCTTCCTGAAACAGGCATAGAAACTCCATGGACATTGTTCAGGGACAGATGACTTAATCACAGATGACAAGAGATACTGAATCGAAGCTAGGAGGCCTGACAGATACTGCCTGTGCACCTCCTGCACTCAGGTGACTATGAGATTGTCACACTTGCCTGGGGTCGAGTAACTTGATACTGGGGACTGGCAGACAAAGGCATGACATTAGCTGAGAAGGACAAAAAAACTCCCTGATATCTGTTTAGAAACCCATCATAGTTTTTTATTCAAATGAATTTGTGTTTATAGAGCCTGTCTTCAGAGTTTATCTTCCTCAGCCTAGAGAGAGGTATGAGACACAAGGAAAACAGAGGCTACCTGGGATAATGTGTACAGCATCCTCCCATTCAACATGAGAGGATGAGCCAATGAGAGTTGAGTCGACTTTGTCTTCCTCAAATGTGATTTTGGTTTTCCTATGTGGCTGGTTGGAGTCATAAGGGCCATGGCTATTTGAACAAGTGATGGCACATTCCTCCAGTGAGTCCTCAGGGACTTCCTTTTCTTCAGCCTTCTGCATCTCCCTGATGAGCCAGGTGGGACAGAGATGACAGAAGATTAAACACAGAGGGATTGGACCCCATGGAGTCCTAGCTGGTTTTGACAGGCGGCATTAAGAGAGTGGTCCCAGAAAGCAAAATGGAGGTTCCCATTAAGAGGGAACATGCAATCCTGTTCTCTCTGCAACAGAGCATGGCTGCCATGGGAACCAGAGAGGAAGAGAGCAGCTGGTGTTCATTGCACTGGACAGATAGGAGCTGAGGAGGATGAAGACTCAGCTATCCCTGTACGGTGCAGACATGACACTCGGCACACATAGAGAAACATGACAGCTGCCGCACCCTGTGTCTAAGCTGGGTTATATTTCACATACTGTGGCCAAGCGAATGTGGGTTTTTGGCCCATCATAGATGCCAGAGAGGGTGTACCTCCTAGATATTCTTCATATGTTACCATCCATTAATTGTTCCTGAGTATTCAGTGTTACCTGGGGGCAGACGATTTCTGCACTTTCTCAGCCACCTCAACTTGAACATCTTCATCGTGATCATTGTCATTTTCTGTAAATACAGAAGTGTTCGTTCAGATATTTACCACTTCACAGTCTGCAAGCACAGTCAGCCCAATGTGCAACAGAGACATGAACATCTAGGCATGGGTCACCGTTCAACTGAAAACTCTCATGTTTTATCTTTAACAGAATGCCCTGGCATGGTTTCCTGATCCATCAGGCAATGCATTTCTGATCTGGAGGGCCACCATCAAGATGTGGCCAAATATTGAAAAGACCTTTTGCTTCCCATATCACTGGAGGCTTGTGCAGCCTCTCTCTGGACTTTGGCAGCTGTCTCCCCCATCCTGCCAGATCTGATTCCCAGGCACAGGCTTGGTGTCCTGTCACAGTTTGCATTTCAAACCTAATTCTTTCTCTTAGAAGCAGACAAACTTGTCCCACAGTCCTCTATGCATCAGAAGATTTCAAGCCTCCAAGTGGCTTCTGCTGTGTTATTCAGGGACATTCTATCCATGGGGAGTGCTCCAGTCTGAAGCACTTCCTACCACGAAACACCACCACATAAAGTGCCTTCTCCAACATCACACGGCGAGGGGCTTCATCTCATTTTGGAAAGCAGTTTTAAGTGTTCCCACATTTGAATGCTTCAGACCCTTGCAAGAGACAATTTGCCATGGAGAGAGAGAAACTCAGGAAGGACAAGTCATTCACTCACTGACAGTTACTAAGAACATTGCCGAAAAGACAGCCTGGGAACCTTCATTCTTAGTCCAGAGCTCTTTTCACTCTAACAAGCCTGCTCCTATCGCAGCCTCCTTCCTGTCCTTTAAAACTAGACAGATGCTGCCTCTTACTCCAAAGACCACCTTCCATCAAGGGAGGAGGGAAACTTGCAATACTGTGACCTCCAACCCCATGGGTTTCCCAACTCCGTTCTTACCCAGGAAGTCCTGGTCATGTCATGGCCACATATGTGTAGCAGAAAATAACCCCACTGATACAACTGTCATTGTGAAAGTATGGAGGTCTGGAGCCTCTCATAAGACTGGGGTTTTGGGTCATCAGGGCCTATGGCCACCTTACCTGGGCTGAGCTTTTGGAAAAGTTGCTGTGCCAGTCTACACCCCTCAGCCAGCTGTTCTTGGAGGTCCTGCCCCTGGGACTTGTCTGGCTCATCCGGAGTGAGGAGGGCCTGGAGATGCTGATTCAATGAGCGGGAGGCATCTCTCCCTTCCCGTAACTTCTCCCTTAACTGGGTCAGCTCTCGTTCCTGAGAGTGAACCAGGACTTTATATTGCCTAAGGTGAGACGGTAGAGAAAATTTAAGAGTGGAAAGGGTTGAGTGATCCGCTCAAATATTGCAACAGAGATTTCTGAGACAATGTCCTCAAGGAGACCTCCAAGCAGAAGGTCAGCACATGTTGAAAGGAATGACTGTGGCCAAGAGAAAGAATAGAAAATGGTTTACAGGCTTCCTCTGTATCAGAGAGGGCTCCTGCAAGATCCTCGATGATGTTCCATTCATCTTTCCCTTCTGTAAACAAAAGTAGGTGTCTTCCTAATTCCGTTTCAAAAAGACATCCTTTCAGTTCCTCACTCTGGCCATGGACATTTCCATCTGAAAATACACATAGTGCATCTTGCGGCCACTAGATACAAAGCCATGTACAGAAATGAGGCCAGGTGCAGATGGGGCGAATTGAAAAGACGAAAGAAGAAAAGAATGACAGGGTCGAGAAGGCAACATTGATTGAGTGAAAGAATGAGAAGACACAGTCAGTCAGAAGGTGATTCTCACTAAGGGTAAGTGGGGTGGTGATGGCACACCATTTTGAGTATACTGAATGCTGCTGTGTGGTTCACACTCCTTTGGTTAATTTTGTGTTATGTAAATTTCACATCAACAATTACTTGTTTGAAAAAGAGAAAACAAGGCTCTGAGAAACAACTGCAACCCATAAATTTTTATTATCCTTCTTCTCTGTTTGATAAATATTTGTGTGTAGCGAGCCTGCCATGGCAATTCCTGCCCTTCCCCTGGCCCAGCTTAGTTCTTAAGTCTCCCCACTGAGCTGCTGTACTTCAGAGATTTACACACCTGTCCCCCTGCCTGCCCCCATGGGGTCCCCTCACCTGAGCTCCTCAGCTTGCTTGAGCTGCTCTGCAAGCTTCTCCTCCTTGAACTGTCGCTCATTCCTCAGCACAGATTTTATGAGGTCTTTGCACTCTTCATATTCTGAGAAAAGACAGACACGCCTGCCTCAGTGGAAGGCTGGACATGCTGCTGTGGTCATTGCCTACAGGGCAGGAGCCAGGTCCATCCCAAGGACAAAACTCTCCCCAGTACCAGGGTCTAGACAGGGATTTCCACATCTTTACTCTTCAGTCTCCTGAATTTCTGGCATCTGATCCTCCAAAATTTAGAGATGAAGAGAACCTCAAGGGCACATCAAGGAAGTTGACAAGATGATTCAACCACAAGGAAGTGGAGTCAGAATTCACAGCCCCTGAGGTCTGACTCTGAATGCAGGGCCACTTTCCCAAGACTTGCAGCCTCTCCTCTAAAACACTGCACTGGGGCATGAAGTAGTGATTTCTTGTACAGTCGGGAAGGCCCCTAGGACTATGGGACTGATGGCTTCCCTTTTACTGGGAATTTCAAGGACAAGTATGCGAAAGATTTTAAAAATCTTTGATTTTTAAATCATATCTTCTGTTATGATTTTAAGAATCATATCTGAAGCATAAAGTGTGACACATAACACCATAAGGCCATGAAGGAAATATGCCCAAATGCTAATAAAGTTTGTGTTAATTTAGAAACAGCAGAATGAAGAACTAATAGATAGTGTTTACTCTGTGCCAATAAATGTTCTAGGAGATTGACAAGAAATAGCTCATGTAATTCACTGCAGCAATTTACAGAGGTAGGTATTATTGTAGTACCCTCTGAACAGGTGAGGAAACAGGGACAGAAAAGACAAGCAACTTGGATGGAGCCCAGGAGACAGGCCCACGGTCTCTGCTCTGTACACTGCACTGCTATCTCCACACATTCTCGGGTGCGATCTTTCTTCCTCTTTAGGAACAAGACTCTGTGCCCCAGGAAGCAGGACTTCATTCTCACCAAGCTACATTCTGCTTCTTATTCTTATTTTTATTTATCATTATTAGTATTATTTTTTTAACAGTCTTGCCCTGTCACCCAGGCTGGAGTGCAATGACAAAATCTTGGCTCACTGCAACCTCAGCCTCCTGGGTTCAAAGGATTCTCCTGCCTCAGCCTCCTGAACAGGGGTGATTACAGTCACCTGCCACCACGCCCATCTACTTTTTGTATTTTTAGTGGAGATGGGGTTTCTCCATGTTTCCCAGGCTGGTCTCAAACTCCTGACCTCGTGATCTGCCCGCCTCAGCCTCCCAAAGGGCTGGGATTACAGGAGTGAGCCACCATGCACGGCCCCTACTCCCTGCTCTTGATGCTGTCACTTATAGATAGCACAGGTTCTATTAGGAGCAGACTCCTCTTGAAGCCCCTCAGAGCGGGTACTGGCTACTATCACCAAGTTTCCCTCAGAGTCACTAGAACAGAGCTTTGCCTGTTGGGCCTCAACAGAAACTTGAACTGAATAAAAGTTCACTAGTCTCAGACATTTAGAACAACAGACTAGATGTTATTTGTCTGCAGGATCTTACATGGTACAGAGAGGATTCTTGAAAACATGATTGAGCCTCTTGGAGAAAACAGGTCATTCTGTGCCTGTGTCAGAAATCAATAAATGGCAGTTTAACTCTAGTCCCACCCCCACCTGATTGCAAACATGGAAAGTTGCTAAATATTTTGGGACCTCTGTCTTCCAACTTTAACAAAATGTTAAAATACCCATTTCTGTTTTCCTAGAAGTATGGGGAGGATGACATTATTTTAGATGGAGAGAGCACTTAGTTTCTCAGAGAGAAGATAGGACTTCGTTCATCACTTTCGTGATGGTGAGCCTATAGATCTTACTGTATTTGTTCTGCTGGTTGGCCAGGAAGCAGGCCAGTTGAGTTACAAAACATTTCTCTTTGAGGTTTCTGAACTGCTGTTTCTTCTCTGCCAGCTGGGGGCGCAATTTCTCATTCATTTCTAGAATGTTCATCTCTGCCTTCTCGCTGGACAAAGGGCCGGCTGATACCACCATGCTGACGTTTGTGGCAGAAGAGGTGGGGCCAGGGACTGGGGAGAAGAAAGGCAAACACATGATGGGTTAAAAACTGGTGAAATCAAATAGGCTTAATCAGGACTGAGGGATGTCACTGGCAGCCTTGTCTACTTATTTGAAGATGATGTTTCCCTGGGTTCACTCTTGTCATCTCCAGTCTTGATCTCCTTTAAGTCAACTTGTCTTAGCTATGCAGTCACCTTGAAACCAAGACATAAACACTTCTACACTTTTCTTGCTTATAAGTTTCTATAAAGCAAGGCTTGGCCCTGAGATTTTTACCCCATGAGTGGCCAATGTTTCTGTGTAGCACAAAAGGTTTCATTTTGCTTTTTTAATTTTTTTCTTTTTTGGTTTTTTGTTTTTTGTTTGAGACGGAGTCTCACTCTGTCACGCAGGCTGCAGTGCAGAGGCACAATCTCAGCTCACTGCCACCTCTGCCTCCCGGGTTCAAGCGATTCTCATCCCTCAGCCTGCCAAACATCTGGGATTACAAGCGCCAAGTAACATGCCAGCTAATTTTTGTATTTTTAGTAGAGATGGGGTTTCGCCATCTTGGACAGGCTGGTTTCGAACTCCTGACCTCAGGTGATCCGCCCACCTCGGCCTCCCAAAGTGCTGGGATTAAGATGTGAGCCAGCACCCCTGGTCAGAGACATTTTTTTTTTTTTTTTTTTGAGATGGAGTCTCGCTCTGTCTCCCAGGCTGGAGTGCAGTGGCACAATCTAGGCTCACTGTAAGCTCCGGTTCCTGGGTTCATGCCATTCTCCTGCCACAGCCTCCCGAGTAGCTGGGACTACAGGCGCCCAACACCGCGCCCAGCTAATTTTTTTTTTTTTTTGTATTTTTAGTAACGACGGGGTTTCACCGTGTTAGCCAGGATGGTCTCGATCTCCTGACCTCGTGATCCACCCGCCCCGGCCTCCCAAAGTGCTGGGATTACATGTGTGAGCCACCGCGCCCGGCCGAGACTTCTTATTAATAGCTGAGACAAGCCAATGAAAAGGAGAGAGAGTCTAGCCTGAGAGGAGCGAACCAGGGTGGGAGGATCGTCTCAGCCGATCCTCCCACCTAAGTCTCCTGAGCAGTTGGGACTATAGGCACGCAGCACCATACCTGCCTAATTTTTTGTATTCTTTGTAAAGATGGGTTTCACCATATTGTCCAGGCTGGTCTTCAACTCCTGAACTCAAGTCATCCTCCCACTTGGGCCTTCCAAAGTGCTGTGATTATACGTGTGAGTCACAGCACCTAGCTCCATCCTAGTTTCTGACTAAAACAATATGTGCGTATACAGCCTGTCCTCAGAATTGATCTTCCATAGCCTAGACAGAGGTATGAGACACAAGGAAAATAGAGGCTACCTGGGAGAATGTTTACAGCATCCTGACATTCATCATGAGAGGATTCTCTGTCTACAACCAGAGCTGAGTTGACTTTGTCTTCCTCAAATGTGATGTTGATGTTCTTGTGAGGCTGGTTGGAGTCACAAGGGCCGTGGCTATTTGAACAAGTGATGGCACATTCCTCCAGTGAGTCCTCAGGGACTTTGCTTTCTTCAGCCTTCTGCACCTCCCTGATGAGCCAGGTGGGACAGAGATGACAGAAGATTAAACACAGAGGGATTGGACCCCAGGGAGTCCTAGCTGGTTTTGACAGGCGGCATTAAGAGAGTGGTCCCAGAAAGCAAAATGGAGGTTCCCTTTAAGGGGGAACAGGCAATCCTCTTCTCTCTGCAACAGAGCATGGCTGCCATGGGAGCCAGAGAGGAAGAGAGCAGCTGGTGTTCAGTGCACTGGACAGATAGGAGCTGAGGAGGATGAAGACTCAGCTATCCCTGTATGGTACAGACATGACACTTGGCACACATAGAGAAACACGACAGCTGCCACACCCTGTGTCTAAGCTGGGTTGAATTTCACATACTGTGGCCAAGCGAATGCGGGCTTTTGGCCCATCATAGATGCCAGAGAGGGTGTACCTCCTAGACATTTTCATATGTTACCACCCATTACTTGCTCCCGAGTATTCAGTGTTACCTGGGGGCAGATGATTCCAGTACTTTCTCAGCCTCCTCAACTTGAACATCTTCATCCTCATCTTCGTCATTTTCTGTAAATACAAAATGTTCGTTCAGATATTTCCCACTTCACATTCTGCAAGCACAGTCAGCCCAATGTGCACAGAGACATGAACATCTATGTATGGTTCAGCATTGTACTGAAAACTGTCATGTTTTATCTTTCACAAAATGCCCTGGCGTGGTTTCCTGGTCCATCGGGCAATGCATTTCTGATCTGGAGGGCCACCATCAAGATGTGGCCAAATATTGAAAAGACCTTTTGCTTCCCATATCACTGGAGGCTTGTGCAGCCTCTCTCTGGACTTTGGCAGCTGTCGCCCCCATCCTGCCACAGATCTGATTCCCAGGAACAGGCTTGGTGTCCTGTCACAGTTCGCATTTCAAACCTCATTCTTTCTCTTAGGTGAGGACAAACTTGTCCCACAGTCCTCTATGCGTCATGAGACTGCACAGGCCCTCCATGTGGCTTCTGCTGTGTTATTCAGGGACATTCTATCCACGGGGAGTGCTCCAGTCTGAAGCACTTCCTACCACCAAATGCCCCTACACCAAGTGCCTTCTCCAACACCAAACGGAGAGGGGCTTCATCTCATTTTAAAAAGCATTCGTAAGTGTTCCCATACTTGGATGCTTCAGACCCTTTCAAGAGACAATTTGTCTGCCTTTGCAGATGGAGAGAGAGAAACTCTGGAAAGATAAATCACTCACTCACCGACAGTTACTAAGAACATTGCCAAAAAGACAGCCTGGGAACCTTCATTCTTAGCCCAGAGCTCTTTTCACTCCAACAAGCCACCTCCAATCACAGCCTCCTTCCTGTCCTTTAAAACTAGACAGACGCTGCCTCTTGCTCCAAAGACCACCTTCCATCAAGGAAGGAGGGACACTTGCAATACTGTGACCTCCAAACCCATGGGTTTCCCATCTCTGTTCTTACCCAGGAAGTCCTGGTCATGTCATGGCCACATATGTGTAGCAGAAAAAAACCCCACTGATACAACTGTCATTGTGAAAGTATGGAGGTCTGGAGCCTCTCATAAGCCTGGGGTTTTGGGTCATCAGGGCCTATGGCCACCTTACCTGGGCTGAGCTTTTGGACAAGGTGCTGTGCCAGTCTACACCCCTCAGCCAGCTGTTCTTGCAGGTCCTGCCCCTGGGACTTGTCTGGCTCATCCGGAGTGAGGAGGGCCTGGAGATGCTGATTCAATGAGCGGGAGGCATCTCTCCCTTCCCGTAACTTCTCCCTTAACTGGGTCAGCTCTCGTTCCTGAGAGTGAACCAGGACTTTATATTGCCTAAGGTGAGATGGTAGAGAAAATTTAAGAGTGGAAAGGGTTGAGTGATCCGCTCAAATATTGCAACAGAGATTTCTGAGACAATGTCCTCAAGGAGACCTCCAAGCAGAAGGTCAGCACATGTTGAAAGGAATGACTGTGGCCAAGAGAAAGAATAGAAAATGGTTTACAGGCTTCCTCTGTATCAGAGAGGGCTCCTGCAAGATCCTCGATGATGTTCCATTCATCTTTCCCTTCTGTAAACAAAAGTAGGTGTCTTCCTAATTCCATTTCAAAAAGACATCCTTTCAGTTCCTCACTCTGGCCATGGACATTTCCATGTGAAAATACACATAGTGCATCTTGCGGCCACTAGATACAAAGCCATGTACAGAAATGAGGCCAGGTGCAGATGGGGCGAATTGAAAAGACGAAAGAAGAAAAGAATGACAGGGTCGAGAAGGCAACATTGATTGAGTGAAAGAATGAGAAGACGCAGTCAGTCAGAAGGCGATTCTCACTAAGGGTAAGTGGGGTGGCGATGGCACACCATTTTGAGTATACTGAATGCTGCTGTGTGGTTCACACTCCTTTGGTTAATTTTGTGTTATGTAAATTTCACATCAACAATTACTTGTTTGAAAAAGAGAAAACAAGGCTCTAAGAAACAACTGTAACCCATAAATTTTTATTATCCTTCTTCTCTGCTTGATAAATACTTGTGTGTTGCGAGCCTGCCATGGCAATTCCTGCCCTTCCCCTGGCCCAGCTTAGCTCTTACGTCTCCCCACCGAGCTGCTGTACTTCGGAGATTTACACAGCTGCTCCCCCGCCTGCCCCCATGGGGTCCCCTCACCTGAGCTCCTCAGCTTGCTTGAGCTGCTCTGCAAGCTTCTCCTCCTTGAACTGTCGCTCATTCCTCAGCATAGATTTTATGAGGTCTTTGCAGTCTTCATATTCTGAGAAAAGACAGACACGCCTGCCTCAGTGGAAGGCTGGACATGCTGCTGTGGTCACTGCCTACAGGGCAGGAGCCAGGTCCATCCCAAGGACAAAACTCTCCCCAGTACCAGGGTCTAGACAGGGATTTCCACATCTTTACTCTTCAGTCTCCTGAATTTCTGGCATCTGATCCTCCAAAATTTAGAGATGAAGAGAACCTCAAGGGCACATCAAGGAAGTTGACAAGATGATTCAACCACAAGGAAGTGGAGTCAGAATTCACAGCCCCTGAGGTCTGACTCTGAATGCAGGGCCACTTTCCCAAGACTTGCAGCCTCTCCTCTAAAACACTGCACTGGGGCATGAAGTAGTGATTTCTTGTACAGTCGGGAAGGCCCCTAGGACTATGGGACTGATGGTTTCCCTTTTACTGGGAATTTCAAAGACAAGTATGCGAAAGATTTTAAAAATCTTTGATTTTTAAATCATATCTTCTGTTATGATTTTAAGAATCATATCTGAAGCATAAAGTGTGACACATAACACCATAAGGCCATGAAGGAAATATGCCCAAATGCTAATAAAGTTTGTGTTAATTTAGAAACAGCAGAATGAAGAACTAATAGATAGTGTTTACTCTGTGCCAATAAATGTTCTAGGAGATTGACAAGAAATAGCTCATGTAATTCACTGCAGCAATTTACAGAGGTAGGTATTATTGTAGTACCCTCTGAACAGGTGAGGAAACTGAGGGACAGAAAAGACAAGCAACTTGGATGGAGCCCAGGAGACAGGCCCACGGTCCCTGCTCTGTACACTGCACTGCTACCTCCACACATTCTCAGGTGCGATCTTTCTTCCTCTTTAGGAACAAGACTCTGTGCCCCAGGAAGCAGGACTTCACTCTCACCAAGCTACACTCTGCTTCTTATTATTTTTATTTATCATTATTATTATTATTATTATTATTTTTACCAGTCTTGCCCTGTCACCCAGACTGGAGTGCAATGGCAAAATCATGGCTCACTGCAACCTCAGCCTCCTGGGTTCAAAGGATTCTCCTGCCTCAGCCTCCTGAACAGGGGTGATTACAGTCACCTGCCACCATGCCCATCTACTTTTTGTATTTTTAGTGGAGATGGGGTTTCTCCATGTTTCCCAGGCTGGTCTCAAACTCCTGACCTCGTGTTCTGCCCGCCTCAGCCTCCCAAAGGGCTGGGATTACAGGAGTGAGCCACCATGCACGGCCCCTACTCCCTGCTCTTGATACTGTCACTTATAGATAGCACAGGTTCTATTAGGAGCAGACTCCTCTTGAAGCCCCTCAGAGCGGGTACTGGCTACTATCACCAAGTTTCCCTCAGAGTCACTAGAACAGAGCTTTGCCTGTTGGGCCTCAACAGAAACTTGAACTGAATAAAAGTTCACTAGTCTCAGACATTTAGAACAACAGACTAGATGTTATTTGTCTGCAGGATCTTATATGGTACAGAGAGGATTCTTGAAAACATGATTGAGCCTCTTGGAGAAAACAGGTCATTCTGTGCCTGTGTCAGAAATCAATAAATGGCAGTTTAACTCTAGTCCCACCCCCACCTGATTGCAAACATGGAAAGTTGCTAAATACTTTGGTACCTCTGTCTTCCAACTTTAACAAAATGTTAAAATACCCATTTCTGTTTTCCTAGAAGTATGGGGAGGATGACATTATTTTAGATGGAGAGAGCACTTAGTTTCTCAGAGAGAAGATAGGACATCATTCATCACTTTCGTGATGGTGAGCCTATACATCTTACTGTATTTGTTCTGCTGGTTGGCCAGGAAGCCGGCCAGTTGAGTTACAAAACATTTCTCTTTGAGGTTTCTGAACTGCTGTTTCTTCTCTGCCAGCTGGGGGCGCAATTTCTCATTCATTTCTAGAATGTTCATCTCTGCCTTCTCGCTGGACAAAGGGCCGGCTGATACCACCATGCTGACGTTTGTGGCAGAAGAGGTGGGGCCAGGGACTGGGGAGAAGAAAGGCAAACACATGATGGGTTAAAAACTGGTGAAATCAAATAGGTTTAATCACACTGAGGGATGTCAGTGGCAGCCTTGTCTACTTATTTGAAAATGTTGTTTCCCTGGTTTCACTCTTGTCATTTCCAGTCTTGATCTCCTTTAAGTCAACTTGTCTTAGCTATGCAGTCACCTTGAAACCAGGACATAAACACTTCTACACTTTTCTTGCTTATAAGTTTGTATAAAGCAAGGCTGGGCCCTGAGATTTTTACCCCATGAGTGGCCAATGTTTCTGTGTAGCACAAAAGATTGCATTTTGCTTTTTTAATATTTTTATCTTTTGGTTTTTTGTTTTTTGTTTGGGACGGAGTCTCACTCTGTCACCCAGGCTGCAGTGCAGTGTCGCAATCTCAGCTCACTGCCACCTCTGCCTCCCGGGTTCAACCGATTCTCATCCCTCAGCCTCCCAGGTAGCTGGGATTACAAGCGCCAACCACCATGCCAGCTAATTTTTGTATTTTTAGTAGAGATAGGGTTTTGCCATGTTGGCCAGGCTGGTTTTGAACTCCTGACCTCAGGTGATCCGCCCACCTCGGCCTCCCAAAGTGCTGGGATTAAGATGTGAGCCAGCGCCCCTGGCAGAGACCTTTTTTTTTTTTTTTTTTTTTTTTTTGAGATGGAGTCTCGCTCTTTCGCTCAGGCTGGAGTGCAGTGGTACAATTTCGGCTCACTGCAAGCTTCCCCTCCCGGATTCACGCAACTCTCCTGCCTCAGCCTCCCAAGTAGCTGGGACTACAGGCGCCCAACACCGCGCCCAGCTAATTTTTTTTTCTATTTTTAGTAGAGACGGGGTTTCACCGTGTTAGCCAGGATGGTCTCGATCTCCTGACCTCGTGATCCACCCGCCCCGGCCTCCCAAAGTGCTGGGATTACATGTGTGAGCCACCGCGCCCGGCCGAGACTTCTTATTAATAGCTGAGACAAGCCAATGAAAAGGAGAGAGAGTCTAGCCTGAGAGGAGCGAACCAGGGTGGGAGGATCGTCTCAGCCGATCCTCCCACCTAAGTCTCCTGAGCAGTTGGGACTATAGGCACGCAGCACCATACCTGCCTAATTTTTTGTATTCTTTGTAAAGATGGGTTTCACCATATTGTCCAGGCTGGTCTTCAACTCCTGAACTCAAGTCATCCTCCCACTTGGGCCTTCCAAAGTGCTGTGATTATACGTGTGAGTCACAGCACCTAGCTCCATCCTAGTTTCTGACTAAAACAATATGTGCGTATACAGCCTGTCCTCAGAATTGATCTTCCATAGCCTAGACAGAGGTATGAGACACAAGGAAAATAGAGGCTACCTGGGAGAATGTTTACAGCATCCTGACATTCATCATGAGAGGATTCTCTGTCTACAACCAGAGCTGAGTTGACTTTGTCTTCCTCAAATGTGATGTTGATGTTCTTGTGAGGCTGGTTGGAGTCACAAGGGCCGTGGCTATTTGAACAAGTGATGGCACATTCCTCCAGTGAGTCCTCAGGGACTTTGCTTTCTTCAGCCTTCTGCACCTCCCTGATGAGCCAGGTGGGACAGAGATGACAGAAGATTAAACACAGAGGGATTGGACCCCAGGGAGTCCTAGCTGGTTTTGACAGGCGGCATTAAGAGAGTGGTCCCAGAAAGCAAAATGGAGGTTCCCTTTAAGGGGGAACAGGCAATCCTCTTCTCTCTGCAACAGAGCATGGCTGCCATGGGAGCCAGAGAGGAAGAGAGCAGCTGGTGTTCAGTGCACTGGACAGATAGGAGCTGAGGAGGATGAAGACTCAGCTATCCCTGTATGGTACAGACATGACACTTGGCACACATAGAGAAACACGACAGCTGCCGCACCCTGTGTCTAAGCTGGGTTGAATTTCACATACTGTGGCCAAGCGAATGCGGGCTTTTGGCCCATCATAGATGCCAGAGAGGGTGAGCCTCCTAGACATTTTTATATGTTACCACCCATTACTTGCTCCTGAGTATTCAGTGTTACCTGGGGGCAGATGATTCCAGTACTTTCTCAGCCTCCTCAACTTGAACATCTTCATCCTCATCTTCGTCATTTTCTGTAAATACAAAATGTTCGTTCAGATATTTCCCACTTCCCATTCTCCAAGCACAGTCAGCCCAATGTGCACAGAGACATGAACATCTATGTGTGGTTCAGCATTGTACTGAAAACTGTCATGTTTTGTCTTTCACAAAATGCCCTGGCATGGTTTCCTGGTCCATCGGGCAATGCATTTCTGATCTGGAGGGCCACCATCAAGATGTGGCCAAATATTGAAAAGACCTTTTGCTTCCCATATCACTGGAGGCTTGTGCAGCCTCTCTCTGGACTTTGGCAGCTGTCGCCCCCATCCTGCCACAGATCTGATTCCCAGGAACAGGTTTGGTGTCCTGTCACAGTTCGCATTTCAAACCTCATTCTTTCTCTTAGGAGAGGACAAACTTGTCCCACAGTCCTCTATGCATCATGAGACTGCACAGGCCCTCCAAGTGGCTTCTGCTGTGTTATACAGGGACATTCTATCCATGGGGAGTGCTCCAGTCTGAAGCACTTCCTACCACCAAATGCCCCCACATCAAGTGCCTTCTCCAACACCACACGGAGAGGGGCTGCATCTCATTTTGAAAAGCATTCGTAAGTGTTCCCATATTTGGATGCTTCGGACCCTTGCAAGAGACAATTTGTCTGCCTTTGCAGATGGAGAGAGAGAAACTCTGGAAAGATAAATCACTCACTCACCGACAGTTACTAAGAACATTGCCAAAAAGACAGCCTGGGAACCTTCATTCTTAGCCCAGAGCTCTTTTCACTCCAACAAGCGACCTCCCATCACAGCCTCCTTCCTGTCCTTTAAAACTAGACAGATGCTGCCTCTTGCTCCAAAGACCACCTTCCATCAAGGAAGGAGGGACACTTGCAATACTGTGACCTCCAAACCCATGGGTTTCCCATCTCTGTTCTTACCCAGGAAGTCCTGGTCATATCATGGCCACATATGTGTAGCAGAAAATAACCCCACTGATACAACTGTCATTGTGAAAGTATGGAGGTCTGGAGCCTCTCATAAGCCTGGGGTTTTGGGTCATCAGGGCCTATGGCCACCTTACCTGGGCTGAGCTTTTGGAAAAGTTGCTGTGCCAGTCTACACCCCTCAGCCAGCTGTTCTTGCAGGTCCTGCCCCTGGGACTTGTCTGGCTCATCCGGAGTGAGGAGGGCCTGGAGATGCTGATTCAATGAGCGGGAGGCATCTCTCCCTTCCCGTAACTTCTCCCTTAACTGGGTCAGCTCTCGTTCCTGAGAGTGAACCAGGACTTTATATTGCCTAAGGTGAGACGGTAGAGAAAATTTAAGAGTGGAAAGGGTTGAGTGATCCGCTCAAATATTGCAACAGAGATTTCTGAGACAATGTCCTCAAGGAGACCTCCAAGCAGAAGGTCAGCACATGTTGAAAGGAATGACTGTGGCCAAGAGAAAGAATAGAAAATGGTTTACAGGCTTCCTCTGTATCAGAGAGGGCTCCTGCAAGATCCTCGATGATGTTCCATTCATCTTTCCCTTCTGTAAACAAAAGTAGGTGTCTTCCTAATTCCGTTTCAAAAAGACATCCTTTCAGTTCCTCACTCTGGCCATGGACATTTCCATGTGAAAATACACATAGTGCATCTTGCGGCCACTAGATACAAAGCCATGTACAGAAATGAGGCCAGGTGCAGATGGGGCGAATTGAAAAGACGAAAGAAGAAAAGAATGACAGGGTCGAGAAGGCAACATTGATTGAGTGAAAGAATGAGAAGACGCAGTCAGTCAGAAGGTGATTCTCACTAAGGGTAAGTGGGGTGGCGATGGCACACCATTCTGTGTATACTGAATGCTGCTGGGTGGTTCCCACTCCTTTGGTGAATTTTGTGTCATGCAAATTTCACATCAACAATTACTTGTTTGAAAAAGAGAAAACAAGTCTCTAAGAAACAACTGCAACACATAACTTATTATTATCCTTGTTCTCTGATAAATATTTGTGTGTCATGAGCCTGCCATGGCAATTTCTGCCCTTCCCCTGGCCCAGCTTCGTTCTTACTTCTCCCCGCCGAGCTGCTGTACTTCAGAGATCTACACACCTACCCGCCTGCCTCCCCCAACGGGGTCCCCTCACCTGAGCTCCTCAGCTTGCTTGAGCTGCTCTGCAAGCTTCTCCTCCTTGAACTGTCGCTCATTCCTCAGCATAAATTTTATGAGGTCTTTACACTCTTCATACTCTGAGAAAAGACAGACACGCCTGCCTCAGTGGAAGGCTGGACATGCTGCTGTGGTCACTGCCTACAGGGCAGGAGCCAGGTCCATCCCAAGGACAAAACTGTCCCCAGTACCAGGCTCTAGGCAGGGATTTCCACATCTTTACTCTTCAGTCTCCTGACTTTCTGGCATCTTATCCTCCAAAATTTAAAGACGAAGAAAGAGAAACTCAAGGCACATCAAGGAAGTTGACAAGATGATTCAACCACAACGAAGTGGACTCAGAACTCACAGCCCCTGAGGTCTGACTCTGAATGCGGGGCCACTTTCCCAAGCCTGGCAGCCTCTCCTCTGAAACACTGCACTGGGGCATGAAGTGGTGATTTCTTGTACAGTCGGGAAGGCCCCTAGGACTATGGGACTGATGGTTTCCCTTTTACTGGGTATTTCAAGGACAAATATGTCAAGGACTTTAAAACATTTCATTTTTAAATCATATATTCAGATACGGTTTTAAGAATCATATCGGAAGCTTAAAGTGTGAGACAGAAGACAATAAGGCCATGAAGGAAATATGCCCAAATACTTTATTAGTATGACAGGCAGCATCAAGATTTAGATTAGTTGTGTTAATTTAGAAACAGCATAAGATTAGTTTGTGTTAATTTAGAAACATCAGAATGAAGAACTAATAGATAGTGTTTACACTGTGCCAATTAATGTTCAAGGAGATTGACAGGAAATACCTCATGTAATTCATTGCAGCAATTTACAGAGGTAGGTATTATTGTAGTACCCTCTGAACAGATGAGGAAACTGAGGGACAGACAAGACAAGCAACTTGGATGGAGCCCAGGAGACAGGCTGAGGGTCCCTGCTTTGCACACTGCACTGCTGCTTCCACACATTCTCGGGTGTGATCTTTCTTCCTCTTTAGGAACAAGAGCCTGTGTACCAGGAAGCAGGACTGCACTCTCACCAAGGTACTCTCTGCTTTTTATTTTTATTTTTGTTTGATTTATCTTTTTGTTTGTTTGTTTTTTGACGAGTCTTGCCCTGTCACCCATGCTGGAGTGCAATAGTGCAATCTTGGCTCACTGCAACATCTGCCTGCTGGGTTCAAAGGATTCTTCTGCCTCAGCCTCCCGATTAGTGGTGATTACAGTTGCCCGCCATGACGCCCATCTACTTTTTGTATTTTTAGTGGAGATGGGGTTTCTCCATGTTGCCCAGGCTAGTCTCAAACTCCTCACCTCGTGCTCTGCCCGCCTCAGCCTCCCAAAGTGCTGAGATTACAGGAGTGAGCCACGTTGCACGGCCCCTACTCCCTGCTCTTGATGCTGTCACTTATAGATAGCACAGGTTCTATTAGGAGCAGACTCCTCTTGAAGCCCCTCAGAGCAGGTACTGGCTACTATCACCAAGTTCCCCTCAGAGTCACTAGAACAGAGCTTTGCCTGTTGGGCCTCAACAGAAACTTGAACTGAATAAAAGTTCACTAGTCTCAGACATTTAGAACAACAGACTAGATGTTATTTGTCTGCAGGATCTTATATGGTACAGAGAGGATTCTTGAAAACATGATTGAGCCTCTTGGAGAAAACAGGTCGTTCTGTGTCTGTGTTAGAAATCAATAACTGTGAGTTTAACTCTAGTCCCACCCCCACCTGATTGCAAACATGGAAAGTTGCTAAATACTTTGGTACCTCTGTCTTCCAACTTTAACAAAATGTTAAAATACCCATTTCTGTTTTCCTAGAAGTACAGGAAGGATGAAATTATTTTTGATGGAGAGAGCATTTAGTGTCTCAGAGAGAAGACAGGACATCATTCATCACTTTCATGATGGTGAGCCTATAGATCTTACTGTATTTCTTCTGTCGGTTGGCCAGGAAGCCGGCCAGTTGAGTTACAAAACATTTCTCTTTGAGGTTTCTGAACTGCTGTTTGTTCTCTGCCAGCTGGGGGCGCAATTTCTCGTTGATTTCTAAAATGTTCGTCTCTGCCTTCTCGCTGGACCAAGGGCCGGCTGATACCACCATGCTGACGTTTGTGGCAGAAGAGGTGGAGCCAGGGACTGGGGAGAAGAAACCCAAACATATGATGGGTTAAAAACTGGTGAAATCAAATAGGTTTCATCAGGACTGAGGGATGTCAGTAACTGAAATTCTTAACTTACTGTTGTGAAAAATGTGATCACTCCCCACAGCACTTTAGGATCCTTCACCACAAAAACAAGGTTTGAGGTGCCTGAACTCACAGCTGAAAGCACTGCCAGTAGCTCAGACTCTGATAAGAGTGAGGTAGACTGTGGCCAGCGTGCCAGGTAACCGTCTGCAGTTGCAATAACAGAATTAGAAGGTGGGGGTGTCATGGAATCTTAGGAGCCCTGCATTCCAATTGCCCAGGCTTTGCTGAAACACAGGCACCCTAGTCTCACCTGAGGGTCACCACCAATGGGGATCATTCCTTCAGCATTCACTCTCAGTATTCGTGTACCCTTGTGATGATGCCACAGACCCGTGTCTTTCCCAATACATCTAAGCATATTCCTCACTGTTTATCTCTTGTCTGTACAACATCATCAAGGCAGAAACAGTTTCCCAACAGGTTGTATTTTCTTAATGGTAGTCATGAAGTCACCCCACCTGCTCTCAGTTAAAACAGAGCTTAAGGCTTTTCCACAGGTGTAAGATATCAAACTTTTAGCCTGCCCTGATTTCCTCTGGGTCTTCTGCAGTTTTGTCTGTATCCACTAGAAAGTGAATGAATAATTCACTTGTAAAAAATGTTGTCTTTCCTGTCTCAGTATTCTTCTTGCTGTTTCCCATTGTTATGTTGATTTCTTTTTTCTCACTGGGCCACCATCTTTGCTTTTCATTACACTCTAGACCAGTTTGACATCCCTATGTCCAGAGCTCTTCCTCTATGTGGGTTGATTTGGTTTTTGATGTCACTGAGCGCTACATTTTATACTTGTCACTTATGGATGTCATTCTAGTGTCACAAGAGCTCTTTTCAAGGTATCAAGTGATCAAAATCATTTATATAGAGATCTCCTGAAAACATGTGTGACCATCTATCTTGGGAAGTTTCATAAACCTGATGCTATTTTGTTGTTTCCATTTTGTTTTCCCATATACTGAAAAGAACAGGGCCATGAGTGGTTCTTATGCAATATGGTTTGATATATATTTTGTTCAGATGACCTAACACCATTGATTTTGGGTTGCATTCCACTAACAGAACATGGCAAGATCAAGGTTATGGTCACGGTTGGTTGGTGATCCTCAGTGTTGCAGTAGAAGGTGAGTTTGAGATGAGAGGAATGAGTAGGAAAGAGTGATCCCCTGAACCACCTCCTCGCTTTCTCAGCTTTCATCCCCACCTAGGTTTTGTGAGCCTGGAACTTGGGAGACTGTTCTGTAGCCCAGGTCTCCTAAGATTGGCTGCTGGACTTGCCTGAGTTGAGGGTGCGGTGGGTTGACCCTGGGCTGCCCAGCATTCATGTGGTAGTGAAGGAAGGAGCACTGGATCAATCCCATTTCAAAGCATGTCTCTCTGCACTCCACACTGTCCTCCAATGACACTGTAAGGAAACCGCTTTAAGACGTATCAACGGCTTTAAGTAAATGTATTTTCTGGCATCTGGGAGACCTGACATTCTGTGTCATAATGAAAATCTGTCATGTTTCTTTATTTTAAAAATGATAAAACTGCAGGTTCACAGAGTTACATGGCTTACTTGAGGTCACACGGGGATGAGTTTTCAGCACTGCCAATAAAAGCAATCACATGAATTATTCAGTAATTATTCATAGGATCCATATAATTCAGTAAATATTCACATAATTATTTACTAGTTGTTCATTGACCAATTCGTACAAGGCATTTTGCTCAAAACTGAGCTTATATTTGGACATTGTATCTTCATCATAATCCTGTGGTAATGCTATTATCCGTAAGTAACAGGTAAGAAACCTGAAGAGGAGGGATAACAAATCATGTATTTGGACATATTTCCATTTTTTTTTTTTTTGGTTTTTGTGATGCTGGAAGAATGACCAGAATGAGTCATAGGAAGAGTATACATTCCTGTAGTATTTTGCAGGACAGAGGTGTGACCTCCTAGAGTACTGGGACCAAAATTCCCAAGTGTCTGCAACCTTGCTTTAACAGTATGGGAGATCACCTCTATCACCTGGAATTCCCCTGGAACTCTGGAATATACAAGAGAAGTATGAGACTTGGGTCTTCCCTTGGCTGTGTTTAATTCACTCTTCTATGGAATACCAATGATTCTCACTAAGACTTTGGCCTTTTCATAAGCACAATGTGCATTTTATGGAGAAGATTTTACACTTTGCTCTATTTAGAAAGAATAAATATGAGCAGTGGTTTAGGTTTTATGCCCTGGACTTAATATGTTTCTGATTCCTGTTTTGAGATTAAATTCTCATGTAAATAGAAAAATACTTATTATTTCTCATAAGGCCAAGTTTGTTATTAGTTTGAGTTTTTGAAGATGAAGCACAAACTTTTGATTTTATCTTTGTCTGTCTCTGTCAGCGCCACTCGTTGTCTCTCAGTATGACCTGGACTTGCCCCTGCACTTACCCTTGTCCTGCTGAACCATCTCCATGCACTGTCCAATTCCATCAGTGATTCGGGCTCCTTCCAAGGCTCCCTGAAAAGGGCACAGAGATCAGGACATTAGGCACATTCCGGACACAAAGGCAACCCATACTGTAGAGTGGGCAGCTGTGTTTCCACTTCCCTAATATTCCAGTGATGTCCTCAAACTGAAAGGAACACTTTCCCTTTTTAGGGGTCTGTTCTTCATGTCTCAGTGCCTCTGATCTAGTCAACACAACTGTCCTGAATGTGAAAGAACTTGCTAAATTTCTAGTTTCTTGTTAGGTGGCTAAAATAGATTTATAAGACTTCCTTACTTACCCATGACTGCTGAAGTTTGAATTCTTAGCAGTACGATTCGTTTTCTTGTAAGGTGAGCAGCTTAGGAAAGATTGGCCATCTTCCTGTGCAAAAAGAGGCAAACTTAATTTCTACTCAAAGCATGCTTGAATTTGGAATCAGGGCTTCCACTCTTCCGAAGTTGGAGTGTCACTGCGACAGGCATGTGTCCCGAAGGGCTCGTGTCTCTGCTATACTCAAAGTTTAAATGGAGCCCAGCAAGCCAGATGTCCTTTACTTCTAGGTTCCCTCAACAGTTTCTCCTCCGCTTTAGAGACCGCATTGAAAATATTCTTGTTCTGCTGTTGTGTTTTGGCTTTGGAATGATGTGATGCAGCTCAATGGGTCCCACCCCCAAGTTGATCAAAGTAAGAAACAGCTGGGAAAGTCAGTGCAAATACAAGTTCATTGTCCTCCTTGCAGGGATTCTGATTCAGAGGGCTCAGGTGGGGCCTGGAATGTGTTTGTTAACATGACTCAGATGTGCAGTCAATTTGGGGACTCACTGACAGCATTGACCTTACAGTTTATGGGATGATTCTTTCTGTTTTGCTGATGAAGAAACTGAGGCACACAGAGTCTGTAACTTGCCCAAGTTCCCCTTGTTGTAAGTCCTGGAGCCAGATCTCAGGTGGACCAGTGCTTCTCTCCCCTATACCTCATTTCTGAGAAAAAGGAAATCTTCTGGAATTTGACTTCTTTCATCTAACACATTTCCTCACAACATGCAGCCAGCATCATATTTTGGCCACTTACTATTAAAGTGAGATGCTTTTTTTTTTTTTTTTTTTTGAGACAGGGTCTTATTCTGTCACCCAGGGTGGAGTGCACTGGTGATTATAGATCACGGCAATCTTGAACTTCTGGGCTCAAGCGATCCTCCTGCCTCAGCTTTCCAAGTAGTTGGAACTCTAGGCACACATCACCATTTCTGGCTAATTTTATATTTTTCATAGAGACAAGGTCTTGCTATGTTGCTCAGGCTGGTTTTGAACTTCTGGCCTCAAGCGATCCTCCCACCTAGGCCTCCAAAAGTGCTGGGATTACAGAAGTTAGCCACTGAACCTGGCCCTGAAATGCTTTTACTTTCTTTCTTTTTTTTTAAATGAAAATACTGGACATGGAGATGTGGAAAGACACCTTGCTTTATTACTTTTGTTGTTATTATTATTTCTACAGTAGAATTTATACATCACAAAATTCACCATTTTTAAGCATACATTTCAGTGTCTTTTACCATATTCCAAAACTTTCGCAACCATCGCCACTACCTAATTCCAGAATATTTTCATAATGCCAAAAAGCATGCCTGTACCTGTGGGCAGACACTCTCCAATTCCCCCCTTCTTGCGCTCTCTGACAACCACTAATCTACCTTCTCTATATATTGATGTACTTGTTCTGGGCACTTCCTCTATATGGAATAACAAAGTGTGGTATTTTCTATCTGCTTCTTAGAATATTGTTCTCAAGTTTCATCCTTTCTAGCCTGCGTCAGTACTTCAACTTTTTATGGCCAGATAATATTCCACTATATGGTTATACCACATTTTGTTTATTCATCAACTCATGGTGGTTTAAGATGTTTCCACTTTTTAACTATTAGGAATAATGCTGCTGTGAACAGCTTTGTACAGGTTTTTGAGTGAACAACTGTTTTTCATTTTCTTGGTTATAAACCTAGGAGTGCAATTGCTGCATCATATGTCACTTTATGTTTCACTTTTTGAGGAACTCACACACTGTTTACTAACTTCAGTAGCTACATCATTTTAGATTCCCAATAGTAATATATGAGAATTCCATATTCTCCATCACTTTTGAAACATGTGTTGTCTTTATTTTTTTCTTAAGTCATACTGCTGGGTGTGAAGTGGTATCTCATTTTGGTTTAAATTTACATTTTCCTAATGACGAAAAACATTGAACATCTTTGCATGTGCTTCTTGGCCATTTGTGTGTTTCCTTTAGAGAAACCTCTACTCACAGCTTTTTTTCCCCATTGTTAAATGTGGTTGTCGTTTATTGCTCAGTTATATGAATTCCTTATATACTCTAGGTACTAGACCTGTGTCAAACATACAATTTGGAAATAGTTCTCCCATTATGTGGATTATCTTTTCACTTCCTTGACAGTGTCCTTTGAAGCATACAAGTTTTTTATTTTAATGAAGTCCATTTATCTATTTTTCGGTTGTTTGTGCCTACTTA
Source organism: Homo sapiens (assembly GCF_000001405.40). Taxonomy (NCBI): domain Eukaryota; kingdom Metazoa; phylum Chordata; class Mammalia; order Primates; family Hominidae; genus Homo; species Homo sapiens. The sequence goes on from NW_025791756.1 coordinate 412,445, forward strand.
AAAAATGTCTAATCCAAAATCACAAAGATTTGTACCTAGGTTTCCTTCAAGACATCGTCTTTTGAATGAGAACTTTCCTGGGTTTTAGAGGAGGGTGGACATTGTTTATTGATGCCTCCTGTCCATTACCGATGTTTCTCCTGATTGTTATTCATATGCTCACCACCCCTCCATGGAGCATCCATGGCCTGTGACAGAGCTCTGGGGACTGATATCCTTCCACTGGCTTTGGCGCTGGTGAGAGCCCTGGTCATGTGATTCAGCTTGGCCTTAACCCGACCCAGTTGCACATATTCCTCAGGCCCTTTAGAGTTGAAGTCGAGACCTCTCTGAGAACGCTTGCCAGCCCATGCTCTTCTAAGGCTGGAGCAAACTTCCTCCATCTATTCCAGACAGAGGGGACTGCAGGGGTTGGACTCACTCAAGATATCTCTGGTGTTAGAAAGAAGACCTGTTTCAGGCTTTGGGGAAGATTGTTCAATATGAACTAGGTCCTCTCTAATTATTTTTACCGTATGTGTGACTTCTTTCTAGAAACAAGGGAAGAATATTTATGTTAGAACATTTTGTCTATTCTTTGTCAATTGTTGTTTATCTACAATTTTAACATGGATAAAGGAGAGTTCAGTGTCAATATATTCTTAACAACTAATTACGGCTCATGTCCACCGCCATGCGATCATATTTAAATCTGTCAACTATCCTGTTACTTAGGTATTATCCTGTTCCTGATGAGAAAACAAACTCAGAAAGATTGCAAAATTTCCCTAGGTCACAAAACTAGTGAGGAGAGGAGTAAGAATTAGATATCCGTTCCTTTTGGCCTTCAAAGCTAACCTTGTACCATTAGATCAAACTGATTTACATACTTTTGCTGGAATTAGTCTCAGACTTGTGGTTCTCACTTGATTTTCCCAAGGAAACAGTGTGCCACTTTAATATCGTTTCAAACTTTGAAATTTAAAACTCTTTTTATTATACTTTTTTGTCTTTGTTCTATTCCGTTGCTTTTGGTTTCTTCTCAACGGATCCCTCTTATTTATATGCTAAATATTTGTTACCTATTTTCTGTCAATTTTCACCTTTTTGAGTGTTTGTTATCTGTCTGTTGTATGCTAACCGTTCTTCACTGAGGTAAAATTTGCATAGAGTATACTGCAAAAAAACCTAAAGGCACAGCTTAATAAATTTTAATATAATTATAATTGTAAAGTAACACCCAGTTAAAGACAGAGAACATTTTCCCCCATGCCACAAAGTTCTGATGTGGTCCTTGCCAGTCAATACTCATCCCCCAAATGAAGAATATATTCTGAATGTTGTCACTGCCTTAGCCCCTTTGTGTTGCTGGAAAGGAATACCAGAGGCTGGGTAAGTTATCAAGACAAGAGGTGCCTTTTGCTCATAGTTCTGCAGGCTGTACAAGAAGCATGGCCCCCGCATCTGCTCCTAATGAGGGCCTGAGGCTGCTTCCACTTGCAGCAGAAGGTGAAAAGGAACCAGGGTGTGCAGAGATCATATGGCGAGAGAGGAAGCAAAAGAGAGCAAGGAAAGGTGAGAGGCACTTTTTAATAACCAGCTCCTACAGGAACTAAGAGAGTGAGAATTCACTCACTACCTTCTCCCAGGGTGGGGATTCATCTATTCATGAGGGATCCACTCCCATGACCCAAACACCTCCCATTTACCCCCACCTCCAACACTGGGGACCACATTTGAACATGTGATTTGGAGGGGACCAATATTTAAACTTAGCAGCCACCATAGATTCATTTTGCTTGATCATGTGCTTCATAAAAATGGAATCATTTTGGCTGGGCCTGGTGGCTCATGCCTGTAATCCCAAGATTTTGCAAGGCTGAGGCGGGCAGATCACCTGAGGTCAGGCGTTCAAGACCAGCCTGGCCAACATGGTAAAACCCTGCCTCTACTGAAAATACAAAAAATTAGCCAGGCATGGTGGCCGGTGCCTGTAATCCCAGGCACCGGATATGTACTGGTATCTCATATGTACAGGATATGTACTGGTATCTCATTGTTGTATTGATTGATGTTCCTGCTGGCTAAACAGTAGAGCATCTTTTCCTATGCTAATTGACCATTCATGTATCTTCTTTTCTTAAGTACCTATTCAAGTCTTTTGAGAAATTGTTTCATTGTGCTGTTTATCTTATTAAACTTATATATATATACATACATATATATATACAAATACACTCTAAAAAACCCCTTTGTTGGAAATAAATATATCTCCTATATTGTGGTTTCTTTTAATGTTCTCTTAATGTTCCCTGTTTGGAGATAACGATAGATAATCTTCAAAAAGGTGAATATACACACCCACACCCACCCACACACACACACACACACACACACACACACGAGCCACCGGATCCAGCCTGTTGAATTTATTTCTAAGCACAACATGTATTTAGATGTTACTTGAAATGAAATTGTATTTTTATTTCATTTTCCAAATGCTCATTGCTAATACACAGAAATACAAAAGACTACTTCTATTGAGCTTATATTCTGCAACATTACCAAACTCACTAATTAGTTTTGGCAGATTTTTATAGATTTCTAGGATTATTAACATACACAGTCATTATCTGTGAATAAGACAGCTTCAATTCTTTCTTTTCAATCTTTTCAATACTTTTATTTATTTTTCTTACTTTATTGCATTGATTTAGATCTCTAGTATAATGCTGAATTGAAAGAATAACAACAGATATTCTACTTTTTTCTCTGATTTAATAGAAAAGCATTCAATCCTATGCCATTTAATATAATGTTACCTCTGAGTTTTTTTCAAATCTACCCTTAATAGGGTTGAAAGTGTTGCCTTCTCTTCTTATCATGCTGAGAGTTTTCTGGGGTTTGTTTTTATAAATCATGAAAAAAGTTTTCAATTGTGCCAAATGCTTTTACTGTGTATGACAAGGTAATCATATGGTTTTTCTCTTTTGCCCTGATAATACATAACATTACATTTTCTTAAATATAAAAAAGATTTCTTGAATCAAGCTAGGACAGTTTTTTTAATTATAAACTTTTAACAAATATATTGAAATATAACTTACATGCAATTGAGATGCATGAAAGTGTATAATCATTAAAGTGTATAATTTTAAGAGTTTGAGCACACTATACACGAGTCAAAGAGAAAGGACAGAAAATACTAAGGATGGCTCAGCACATGTGGTCTATCTTGCTGAATGCTCTATGTGAGTTTGAGAAGAGTTATTTGTTAGCTGTTCTTAGATGTATTTTGCTTAAATATCGACCTGGCTAACATGTGTCATTGATTGTGTGAATTAATTTTGTTCTAGTGGGCAGTAAAATTACTGTCTGATCACTTTGGACTTATGTGGACTGGTTTATGTTTTATTACAACGGATTCATGGAAAGCCCACAGCATTTCCCAAGACCCTCTAATTTGGCAGGACTCAATCACCAATCCACCCCTTTGTGAATTTGTCAGGGTTTGCTTTTAGGCTTTAGCAGGTTGGTCTACAATAGGCCTTATTGAAAAGTGTGACACTTATTCCTAAAGCACATCCATTCTAGTGTCTCAGTTGGATACCTGGGTGCTAATGAGGTGTGCATCAGTTCTTCCCACCATGGATGGCAGAAACTCCATCATACATTCCCCAACCCTCCTCCACCTCAAGTATCTCTGGTCCAAACTCAATTTCATAGCAGCCACCCCTCTGTTAAATCTGTTAGTCTTTTCCTTGTGCAGGTAGAGTCCACTCCTTGATAAGTATGCACATGGAACCCCACATAGACTTTGAGAGCTGCACCTTTGATCAGCTGTCTCCTCACTGGTGCCCTGCCCTGCAGATTGCAGTTGCTTCAGCCGTCTTGAACTCTGATCTCTGCCTTCTCAGCTCAGTGAGCTGCCCTGCCCTGAGTGGACTCTAGCTCACTATGCAGCTGCTGAGAAATTCTCCCCAAACAACTAGGAAATCATGGGGCTTCCCCCTTAAGTTTTCTCTTGGACTGCCTGTTGTACACTGCTGAAAACAATTTTACGTTTGTTTATGGAGGCAGGGTTAGTCTGATATGATTTATTCTAACAGACAGAAGCAGAAATCTGTTATACTCTTTTAATTACTGTGTCTTTATAATATTATGGTAGACAGAATCCTAAGATGACCCCCAGTGATCTTTGCTCTTATATAATCACTTCCTCCTGAGTGTAGACAAAGCTACTGAGGAGATGTCACTCCTGTGATTGTGCTACAATTTATGGCAAAAACAAGTTAACAGATGTAATCGAGATCCCAAATCGGTCAAATTTAAGATAGACAGATTATCTGATGAGCTTGACCTAGTGAAGGTGAGTTCCTTGGAGGGACTGAGGACTTCCTGGAGAGATGTGAAGTGCAGGAGGGTTTCCATGCAGGGCGATCCTCCTCTGCTGGCTGGAGGAAGCATGCAGTGGGAACATGGGAGGCCTCTACGAGCAGCGAGAGGCCCCTGGCTGACAGCCAGCAAGAAAACAGAGATCTCAGTCCTACAGTCACAAGGAACTGAACTCAGCTGACAACCTGAGGAAACTTGAGAGGAAGTTCTTCCCCAGAACCTCCAGAAAGAAACCCAGCCTAATTTCAGCCTGTGAGGCCCTGAGAAGAAGACCCAGAGAATCCAGGCCTGAACTTCTGATCTGTGGACACTGCAAGAAAATAAATCATTCTTATTTTACGCCGCTAATGCTTGCAGTAATTTAGTATGCAGCAATAGAAAATTAATACAAATAAAATGGAGAAGGCTTTGGAGTGGGGACAAGAAGGAAACGGTGGGAGAGGGATGCCTGTATGCTGATATGGTTGATGCCTGTATGGTTGAATTGGGTCTACCGTTCCTCATCTAATTAGCTATGGTCTATTAAGGTGCATAGCTACACACAAATATTGGTACTACGTTCAATTCAGAGGAATAAGATATTGCATTCTTGACAGTAGACAAGAACACCCTGAATTTGGGGTCACTGTATCATAAGTCATGTTATCAGGTCCCTCTAGGAAGGCTTAGAGGAAGATTTCCAGGATACACTTGTGACAACATTGAAGGCTTCTTTCTTCCCCAAAGGGACCCGATCTCCCCTCAGTCGAGAAGCTCCAAGTCTCTGAACTGGATGCCAGGTTATAAATTCCCCCTATACTGACTCCATCAGGCTTCTGTCCTCAGAACTAGAGTTTATCAGTAAAAGATAGACTCATGGGAGTCTAGGCATTTATTCTCTTATTTTATATAAATCAGTTAATGTGCAGGAACAAAACAGACTTTGAAGAAAGACACTCACAGTTGCCACAGGAAAACACCTTCAACATCCTCATGAGTCATCATGGGTGTTCTGTTGGGAGGACTTGATAGGAGGCTTTCCTCCTCACGGGCTAGTGCAGATCCAGGGGAAATGTCATCAAGTCCTCCATTCGGAGGGTAGCAGCTGAGGCTGCTGATTCGTTAGGCCTCCTGCAGCTGGAGATGCAAGTAGTGCATTTTCATGGCCACCGCAGGGCCCTCAGTTTAGCATTCTTCAGAGCCAGCATCCAACAAGCCACAGAAGCTCTGAGTATTTCCCTTTCCTCAGTCACCCACATAAATGGCTTCAGAGCCTTCTGGGGAAGGCCTGAAGGAAGATTTACAGCATACACTTGTGGTAGCATTGAAGGCTTCACTCTTCCTCAAGGGATCCAATCTCCCCTCAGTCAAGAAGCTCCAGGTATCTGAACTGGATGCCAGGTCATAAATTCCCACTATGGTGACTCCATCAGGTCTCTGTCCTCAGAACTAGAGATTTTCTAAGTGTAACGTAAGTTGATTTCTTAGTAGATGTCCCATCCATTACATTCCCAGACACCTCACAATGATTCGAATGATTAGTAACCACCACATATCCCTGCCTCTCAGGGAAATCCCTCCCGCCTTGTCTCTAGATGGCCAAGTCCCACGGCCTGTCCTCTACTCTTCCAGAACCCTGTTGTTCTCACTGACAGCAGGGAGGGCAAATCCATGCAGCAGCTCCCGCCATGACCTCCAGCCTGCAGAGGATGGGCGCCACAGGACTTTTAAACGCATGCCGCTGTTCCCCTCACCTGTGCATTTCTTAACGCCTTGGTGAGGAGAATGTCTCTGGATCTTCCTTGATGGGAGCTAAAGGAACAAAGGTAAATAATGCTATGGGACCCACTGAGAACTGGGGCTGTGGAAGAGTGGCCACTGAAGTAATAGACAGATGCAGCTATTGCCAGATACTCAGTGCCAGAGCAGGGAGGGACAGGGAAGAAATACGGACCTCACCTTCCTCTCACTTCCAGGATCCATCGGGGGCCCTCCATTGCTAAACCTAACTAGAAGTGTGCACGCAGGGGAGCCAGGGATGCATTCTAGGAGGGACGAGCCCCGAGTGGCATGAGACAGGATGGAAATGAGTGGACAGTGGATCTGTGGGAAGAAGGAGGGGATGTTATGGGAAAACAAAAGGAGAATACTAGCTAAGAACGCTAGGTGACATTAATATTCCGAAGTCTGTGCTCATATTCAGAAAAGAAAGTTCAGCATAAAGCACTAAATAAGGAGTCAAGATATTGTACTTCCAACTGTTGTTCCAACAGCTGTATTATAAAGGGCCACTTTATTTCATGCCTTTCTAATTTGACCTAAAGTGCCAGGTGGCATTGGGGCTGGCACAGCCTTGCTCAATTATGTGTTGCAGAGTACACAGAGACTGCCAGGCTGAGGGAAGATGCAAGAGAATAGAAGAGATGCTCTCAGGGAACAAGAGACCACATGGCCCCAGAGTCAGGGGCAGCATCAGCCACTGTCAGCTGCTCATTTTCCCAGACAGAGCCCACAAGCCTCAGCCATGCTTTGCTTCTGCAAGACGCTTCTTCACCTTTTCAATAAACCTGCCTGAATTTAAGCTGACAGGGTTTATTTCTCCTTCATCATAAATGAAATTCTTCACCACAACAATCTCCAATGAATTTTGGGCACAGCAGGCAGGCCCATTTCTGCTTCTGTTCCACTATCTCTCCTGTAGGTTGAAAAGGAGGAGGTACTGAATTACCTCCAAATGTTCCTCTGGCTCTGATATTCTGTTATTCTGGTTCCTTTTTGGCTACTTTGTTTTTGGTAGCGTGTATCCTAAGGCGTCCAGTTGAACAACTTTTGTCTACTGTGTCCAGGCATTCCTGGTGGTATTTCAGATAAGACTCTCTTGGGTTGCTGAACTCACAACCACTGAACCAATTCTATGACCATCTGTTTCATGGCCACATGTTTGCTCATTTTATATGTACATAAAGGGAGGGGACAGACAGCAAACTTGCGTGTTACAAATTGTATCATCTTAAAAAGGAAACAAGGCAACACTTTGCAATAAAACCTTAAGATGCATGAAATTTGAGCCTAATGCAATAAAGGATGCCCATAAAATTCTTATCTAAAGAATGTTTCGAAAATTGTTGTACAAGGACATCATCATTTAAAGTGATATGAAGAAACCTTCTCAGCTAAGCATATGGGCTAGATTAGAGAGAAAAATAAAGGACCCATCTCTGCCCTGGAAAAACTGCTGGTAGCATCTTTCAAAAAGCTCTCTGTGTTTGAGTACGCACCTTGATCCATAGGCTCACATTTGATCCCAACTGGCAGCTGCTTCTTGGCATTAACATTGGATTCCCAACAAGTAAATCTTACCAAGATCTGACTTTCTGCAGATATAATATTATTTTGTTTGACCATCCTTATCTTCAAGGGCTACCAAGAAGGAACCAAGAATTTATTTACCTCCCCAAGGGAAAAGGTTTTACCAATGAGACACTTTCTCACCATGACCCCAGGACCCCATATGCCCTGTTCACTTGAGTGCCCTGTGTGGCCTGACAGAAGCTCATGCTGGTCACAGGATTCCTTATATGACTAGCCTCCTTCCTGAATCCCAATTTCATGGTGGTGGTCATGACAGGTGTCCTGTATCCCATGCTCATGTCCCTGAAGTCACCAGCCTATCTCCAGTTAGAAAAAATTACATGTATATAGAGAGGCCTCTTTGGAAGGAGCAAAAACTTTCTCACCTTCGTACACTAATGGTTGGAAGGTACAACAGCATATGCACTTTGGGAAAAAATATCTGGCATATTCTTACAGAAACAAACAACTACCTATTCTATGACTCAGTAATTCCTAAGCATTTATCCAAGAGAAACTAAAACGTATGTCCAGAAAATCACTTATACAAGAATGTTCATAGCAGTTTTATTCATAATACAAAAAACTGAAAACATTCAAGTATCTGTCAATACAAGAATGGATCAATAAACTGTGATACACTCATTCCATGGAATGGCTAAAGGAACAAACTGGTGACACACAGAACAACAAGGATGAATCTCAAAAACATTTGGAGTGCGATAGAAGCCATACCCAAAAAAGTGCGAGAAAAAAAGATAAATAATAATGGTTCCAAGAAATGCCCAGCAGACAGCCCAGAGGCAAAGACCCACAGGACGGCGGGCCGGTCCCAGGCTGTCGATCCTAATTAAGAAACTTCTGCTGGATTTTGCCCAGCTCCATTTCCAAACTATTTTGGGTCAGTGACTTCTTTATCCCTTCCATGTTGCCTCATTTTGAACTAGAATCACTGTAAGTGTTATTCTATGTCTGTCACATCATTCCACAGTAGGGGCAGATAAGCTGTTTAGAATGGCTAAAATTCAAAAAGGTGAACACACCAAATGCTGTCAAAGATGAGGAGCAAGCAGAACTTTCCATCGCTAGTGGAAATCAAAAGGGTACAGTCACTTTGGAAAACTTAAGTTCACTCAAAATCCTGCACAGAAGTACTTACAGCAATTTTATTCATCATTGCCAAAACTTGGAAGTGCCCAAGATGTCTTTCACCAAGCGAAAGAATAAACAAACTGTTGTAGCCATACAAGGAAATCTGATTCACTGATTTTAAAAAACAAGTTATCAAGCCATGAAAAGACATGAAGGAACTTAAAGTACATAATGCTAGAAAGAAGCCAGTCTGGAAACCCACATACTGTACCACTCCAACTCTAGGACATTCTTGGAAAGTCAAAAAGATAGAAGTAGTAAAATGGTGAGTGGTTGTCAGGGGTGGAGGAGAGGAGGACGCGTGAAATGGTGAAGCACAGGGAATTTTCAGCAGTGAAACTCTTTCGCATGACGCTGTATTGGGGATTTAGGACATTATGTAATTGCCAAAACCCATAATCCGTGAAACTCAAAGAATGAACTCTAATGTAAACTATGGACTTTAGTTGATAATGACGTATCAACAGTGGTTCATCAATTGTAATGAATGGACCACACTAATACAACATACTAGTAGGGAAAATTGTGTGCTGGAGGACAGGGGAGCCTAGGAGAACTCTCTGTATTATCCACTCAAGTTTTCTGTAAACCTAGAACTGTTCTAAAAAATAATGTCTATTAACTTTTTTTTTAATTAGGATGCAGCAGCCCCATATCAAGGTTTTGGTGGCATCCTGTAATTGTGTGGTTAGTACTTGGCATTGAAGTGCACCAACCTGGAGTCAGAGCAGTTGGAGATTTCAAGGCCTGTGCCATTTACCTCTAACCCTGGGGTGCCCCTGGAATACAGATAGCAGATCGGTTAAGGAGAAGCAGCCTCAGCAATCTAGACAGTGCAGGTTTCTGGTGAGGACAGGTAAAAACCATCTGGGTGGGCAGAACTTGGTGAAGACTAGAAACCACTGAGACTCAGCAGCTGCCGCAGTGGCACCCACAAATCAAAGGAGGGGGCTGGGAAGAGCTAAGGGCTACTGGATGAGCTCTCTGCCTGCAAGACAGAAGCAGATCCAGAGATTTTGGAAAATAATGTAGGTTTCAGTACAGTGTGATCTCTTCAAAAAAGTAGAGAGAATGAAAAGGAAAGAAAAAGAGAGAGCATGAGAGAGAAAGAAGAAGAAAAGAAGAAAGGAAGAAAGGAAAGAAGGGAGGGAAGGAGGGAAGGAGGAAGGAAGGGAGGGATGGAGGGCGGGTGGGAAGGAGGGAAAGAATAAAAAGAGAGAGAAAGAGAGTTGGAGGGAAGTAGGGAAGGAAGGAAGGAAGGAAGGAAATGAACAAATTTACATGAAGATGAGAACAGTGGGGAAACTTACACCACCAATATTTTCCATTAACAGGAACACGCTAAGTAGTTATTAGAGAAAGACACGCTACTGTAAAACAATATACTGTTTCCATGGGGTACAACAACCCCGTCCTCCTCCTCTGAAACACATTCTATCTCTGGCTCACTGTTGCCAGAGACACTGAGTCTTGTCTTTGGATACGTTCTGGTGCCCACAAGAATGAGATGAGACAGTGGATCCCAGAACACCAGGCCACGAACTTCCCTGTTGCTCCTTGTCCACTCCAGAAGCTACCCAGCTGCAGTTGGGGACCTCAGCCCCTGGGTCTGATGTCATCCATTTGCCTTTCTCAATGGACTTCTCTCCTTGCACTGGCTCCTACTCCCCCAGGACCTGTGGGTGACCACATGAGAAGAACACAAACAGGCCATGCCCCTTTCTTTCTCCCCCTCTCAATGCCTGCAGTAGTGGGTTCCATGGGGTAGTGACCTGAGATTTACTCATTGTGGGGCCTCTAGCCCAGAGCAGGGCCTACTACCTCATAGTCACCCCATGAATGCTCAGTGAAAGAAGACGTCCACCACAAGGTCCTGGGGAACCAAGAATTCCACTGTGGCCCATAAATTCTAAGTCTACAGGATTCTGGAATGGGAGATGGGAAAGGCCTTCAAAAGTGGCCACTTTTAACCCATTATACTGGCAACTGAGCCATGTTTCCCCATCCTGGACACATCCAGAGGGCACTGCCTAAAACCAGACACATCTCCCCACCCAGGACAGTGTAGGAGCCTTAGCCTGGGGGATGCAGGTGGACAGGGAGGGGGTGAGCCACCAAAGCTGAAGAGCAGAAAGCAGGTGAAAGGGGACAGTAGGGTGGAAACAGAGAGAAATGGGGGCAGAGAATGGGGGGTGAGAGGGGAAGAGTGAGGAGAGGGATGCAGATCTAGCTAGTAAGGAAAAGTCCTGGAGAGAACACTGTCCTCTCCTGAAGTAAAATCACTTCTACCTGACCACGGCACTGCAGCTCATGGGCAGCACATGCTGTGGATATTTGTTCATTCATTTAACAAATATTTATTTAATATCTGTTGCATGCCAAGCAAGGCCCTGCGATGTTTAGGGACCTTGACATCTTCCCTTCACATCTGAGTCATAATACAAAGAGGACTCTCTGACCCCACTGAGCTGGCAATGCCTCGGGATTTTTACCTGTTGGATCTGGCAGCTCTTGATGTCAGCCCACACCATGTGAGGCTGCTCTTGGTGCACCCAATGGGGAAGTTTCTACATCAGGGCCTCGGAGAATCCACTGGAAGCCCTGGACAGTGGGAGTCAGCGGCATCCCCAGTGTGGAGGCCAAGAGCACACAGTGCTTAAGCTCCAGGCACCCTCAGGAGGACGGCAAGGGACAATTGGCTGGTGAGAGCCCGGGTCACCGGGAACCTTCGCCTGGGTCTAAACAGGATTTGCCTTCAGATTGCCTGTGAGATAAAAGAGAGAAATCAAGGTTAACGTTGAGATTTAGGGCTTCGGTAACTTGAAGGATGGAGCTGCCATTTACGGAGACTGGGAAGACCCAGGGAAGAGCAGGTTGAAAGGTGGTGGGAACTAGAGGTGGTTGGGTTTCTGTCATATGTAATCAACAGTCCTGACCAGCCTGGGCAACATAGTAAGACCCCGTCTGGGAAAAGAAAAAAGGAAAAATAAGCTGAGCATGGTGGTGCACACTTGTAGTCTCAGCTACTTGGGAGGCTGAGGCAGGAGGATTCCTTGAGCCTTCAGTTAGCGGTTAGTGAGCTATGATGGCACCACTGTACTCCAGCCTGGGGGGAAAAAAATAAAGAGTCCTGACTAAATACTAGAGTAGCCAGGGAAGTTTTCACAAAGTAAGTAATATTTGAGGCAGATCTTAGTGAACAAGAATTCCATTATTTCTGTTAGGGAATTAAGAGAGTGTGGGTGTCGTTAGTTAATGCTTATTAAAGTAGCTTTGGAATCTCATCTACTGGTCTAGCTGGTCTATCTGTACACGTATATTGTATATGCTGTCTCTCTGAGCTTTCGCTAGGTTATGCTACGGTAACAAAAGCCCCAAAATCTTAGCAGCTACACATACGAAGGTTTATTTTTCATTGACATGTCCTTTTATGGCAGGTTGACTGTGACTCTACTCTATACAAGCTACTTTATTTGTTAGATGGTGAAAACTGTGATACTCGGAGGTTGTTGAATATGGTATTAGTATGTTCATTCATTCATTCATTTAAGAAATATTTATTCAATATCTGTTTCATGCCAGGCAAGGTCAAGTACTGAGAATACACTGGTGAATCAAAGAGACAAAATCTCTAATTGCCAGGAGCTTATATTGAAAATCAGATTAAACACATACAAAATCATCATAATAACAACAATGAATACTATATTCATAAATAATAGCTGTAAGAGATTTTAGTACATCTTTTAAATTAGAAAAATATAAAAATTATTAAAACTAAAATGGCCAGGTGTGATGGCTCATGCCTGTGATCCCAGCACTTTGGGATGCCAAGGTGGGAGGATCATTTCAGCCCAGGAGTTTGAAACCAGTCTGGGCACTACAGGAAAACCCTGTCTACAAAAAGGAGAAAATTAGCCGGGCACAGTGGTGCATGCCTGTAGACCCAGCTACTAAGGAGGCTGAGGTGGGAGGAGTGCTTGAGCCTGAGAGATCAAGGCTGCAGAGAGCCATGATCATACCACTGCACTCCAGCCTGGGCGACAGAGCGAGACACTGTCTCAAGAAAAAAAAAAAATTATTTGATGTAGTCCTAAAACTATTATGTAGAATACTATTGTTTATATCACATCACGTGAGCCCCTTAAATGGCTTAACACTTATTTAGGTATGATCCATAAAGCTTTTCTGGTAATTAAGTATACTTAAGAACAATTAAGTATAAAAGAGTTACTGCCTTGACAGGAAGATTGTAAAAATTTTAAAAAGACAAATAAATAAAAGAGTCAAAACTGTAGCTCTGTGAGGCTCAAATAACATCTAATTCAAGTCACAATGAACATCTAGCAATCATTCTGAACACCATATAATTCACTTAATACGTTTTGCCTGAACACCCAACACATCTGAATTACCAACACCCATATGTAGCCAAGAAACTGGCAATCATTTATAAATTATCACCTATGACTCCATCTGCTCTACGCACTTATTTTTTAAATTTTATTCATTTATTTATTATTTTTATTTGTTGTAGAGATGGGATCTCACTATGTTACCCAAGTTGGTCCAGAAACAGAAACAGACCCACACTAATTTCATAAATCAGATGACCATACAGTCATTCGATTTATGAAAAAAAGTGCCACATGGTGCGGAAGGAAAAGGATGGTCTTTTCAATAAATGGTGCTGGATCAAGCAGACACATCCATGTAGTAAAAAGTGAATCATAGCCAGGTGGGGTGGCTCACACCTGTAATTCCAGCACTCTGGGAGGCTGAAGCGGGCAGATTACTTGAGCCCAGGAGTTCGAGACCAACCTGGGAAACATGTTGAATCCCCATCTCTACAAAAAATATGAAAATTAGCCAGGCATGGTGGCACATGCCTATAGTCGCAGCTACTCAGGAGGCTGAGGTGGGAGGATCACTTGAGCCAGGAGATGGAGGTTGAGTGAGCTGAGATCCTGCCACCACACTCTAGCCTGGGCAACAATAGACTGAGGCCCTGTCTGAAAAAAAAAAAAAGCAAAAACTAAAATAAAATCGTTATAAGGTTAACACAGAAAAATGTGTTCATACTCTTAGGTTAGGCATTGATTTCTTAAACAGGACACAAAAAACAGTAACCATAAAGGAAAAGATTGATAAAGTATAATTTCATTAAAATGAAGAATCTCAGGCTGGGTGCAGTGGCTCATGCCTGTAATCCCAACCCTTTGGGAGGCCGAGGCAGGTGTATCACTTGAGCCTAGGAATTCCAGACCAGCCTATGCAACGTGGCAAAACCCATCTCTACTAAAAATACAGAAAACAGCTGAGTGTGGTGGTACTCCCCTGTAGGTCCCAGCTACTTGGGGGCTGAGGCAGGGGGATCACCTGAGCCTTGTGAGGTCAAGGTTGCAGTGAGCTGTGATTGTGCCACTGCACTCCAGCCTGGGCGATGGAGTGAGATCCTGTCTCAAAAAGAAAAATAAAAAAAGAGAATCTCCCTTCATGAAAAAACACCATAAAAGAGTGAAAACGCAAGCTACAGATTGAAAAAAGGGAAATGCAATACATATAAATCCTAGAAAGGAGGCATATCCAGAATAAAGTATTACAAATCAACAGGAAAACAAGCATATCAATGAAAACTGGATAAAAAGATTTAACAGGCACGTCACAAAAGAGGACATATAAATGGCAATAAAAGATACTCAATCTCAATGAAACCACACTGATATATTACTGCACCCCTACTAGAATGGCAAAATAATTTTTAACTGACAGGTATCAGCGAAGATGTGGGGTAACCAGCATATCCCTGCTAAATGGTACAACTACTTTGGGAAAATGTTCAACAATATGTAATACTAAAGTTTTATCATTCATATACCTCTAAAACCAACAATGCCACCCCTACAAATATACCCCAGACTAGTAATGTTCAATTTCTTGATCTGTGGTGGTTCACTTGGTAAAAATTCATTACTTTTTTTTTTTTTTTTTTTGAGACAGGGTCTCACTCTGCCATCCAGGTCGGAGTGCACTGCCATGATCACGGCTCACTGCAATCTCAACCTCCCGGGCTCTGGTGATCCTCCCAACTCAGCCTACCGGGTAGCTGGGACTACAGGCACACGCCACCACACACAGCTAACTTTTGTATTTTTAGTAGAGAAAGGGTTTTGCCACATTGCCCAGGCTGGTCTGGAAATCCTGGGCTCAAGTGATCTACCCACCTTGGCGTCCCAAAGTGCTGGGATTACAGGTGTGATCACTGCGCCCGGGCCACCTGCACATGTAAAATTGTGAACTTCTGTATACTTCAGTAACTTTTCCAAGATTTCTTTGACGCAAAGTTCTCAGAAATCTTAAAGCTAGCATTTCAGAATAGAAAAAGTAGCTTCTGGTTCACTAGTGAAATTTTACCAATAGAATTTAAAAACAAAAAGCTACTAACGCATATCAGCTCAGAACACTACCAGCAGATCTTTTCTTTAACTTCCTGAAGCACTGGGATTCATTCTTTTGGCAAAGAAAGGATGAACAACACTGTAACCCAAAGAAAAGATACCACTGCCAGAAAAGACTTCTTTTCGAAAGCAGCTCTAAGCAAAAGATAGGAGGAAAACAAGGAAGCCAGGCCAAACGTCTTGGTTAACTCTCCGCTGAAAGGACGCCACATGAGATGATCTAAGAAGCCAGCCAGCCAGCCAGACGCAGGGAAATCACAGCAACTCTTTGGAGTGCAAACAGCAACCCCACAATCCAATCTACCCGAAATCCTGCGGTTCATTTGAGGCTTGCCCCGCTAGTCAGGAGGTGATTCAGTGATGGCTACAAATGCTGCTCATGTGCATCCTGGAGCTGGCACACCTGGCTTGCCCATCACCAGCCTGGAGACACCGCCAGGAGCAGAAGCCCGGAGGCCAGTAAAGACCCCAACTTTGCAAGTCAGGGGCGCGAGCGCGCTCGCCTCTCAGGTCCGCAGAGGGAACGGATTTCTGGCCTGGAGGGTGGGGTGCGGGGTCAGTGTCCTCTACAGGATATAGGAGGACGTGCCCCCGAAGCTGCTCCGTCCCTCCACCCCCTGGGATGCCACAGAACACCCGCCAGCGAGTTTCTTCCCCAGCGCCCACGAGAGTTGGGCTGCGGGCGGCAGCGGCAGGCGAAGAATCCAGCGCGGGGAACTCAGGCCCCGGCGGTGCACGACCCCCCACACCCCCCACCCGCCCCCGCGCTCGCGCAACAAAACTTGCCACGGCCGCGCCTCGACCCAGCTGTGCGCCCGCGGGTCCCGGATTCACCGCCCGCCCAGCCTGGCGCGGCGCCCTCACCTCAGAAACGCTGGGTGGACTTCGCGTAACTTCCCATTCACAGGGCAGCCGGCAGCCGCGCCGCCGCGCCTCGGCCCAGCTCCTGGCGCCGCAGATCGCCCGTCCCGCGTTCCCAAAAGCACCGCGCTCGCTCAGAAGCTCGGGCAGCCTCGCGACCCTCACCTACGCCTCCCAGTACCGCCGCTGTCTCAACCGCCACCCAGCCCCTCGCCTGCGCCTGCGCCTGCAGCCCACTGGCTCCTCAGGATCCCGATGGGCGTGTCAGGATAACCCAAGGCGCAGGCGCGGCGGGGCCTTAAAGGGACCCGGCGGCCTCTTCTGCACAACGGGTTAGAGCAGGTTAGGGGCCGCGCAGGCGGAGAAAAGGAGTAACCCAGGGGAAGGACCGAGTGCAGCGGGGACGGGGAAATCCCTCTCTCCCCTCCGCCTGTCTTTCAAAGCACCAGCCCTCGACCCTCCAAATCGCTGGTTTCCCCGGCCACTTGAACAGCCCCTGCCAGGTTGAAGAGGCAGGAGACACACCCCCTCTGGGGCTGGAGCGACCCCGCGCTTAGGACTGCAGGCCTCGCGCTGCCGCACCGCCCCGAATCTGACTTCCAGGCACGGGCACGCGGTGCAGTCGGGCAGGCTTCAGAAGAGCCCCCAGCTCTCCCAGAGGTGGCCTTAGGTCACTCTCAAAAAGAATAACCAACGTGTCAATGGCACTTGTAGTTATTTTCTAGTTTAAATTTATTAACAGATTTTGCAGATGGGCTTCCACTGAAATAAGCCTTTGAGAAAAAGAAAAACTTTTTTTTTCAACAGGATTAGAATACCAAGAAATAGGAAGTAAAGCCATGCCGTCCACCCAGCTAAAAACTTTGAAAACTTGATATTTTATCTAAGGCAAATGTTTGCATAACTTTAGGTCATGCCATTATTTAAAGTCAATTTCAATTAACAATTTCATTGCAACTGAATCTATCTTGTATAAGAAAACTAAGATACATCCCTGATAATCTACCTCTCCCCTCCTATACTCCATCCGTCAGCAAATCCTACTGGTTTTTACCTTCCAAATTTTCCTTGAATCTGTCCTCTTCTATCTCCTCCGTCACCACCCTAGTCTAGGCTGCCTTCACCTGGGGAGTGAGGGTCGAGGGACTACTGACCTAGTCTTCTTGTGGTTTACCCATATCCCCTTTATCGCCTCTCTAATCTCAACACAACAGGCAGAGTGGCTTTTCCAAAATATAATGTGACCGTGTCACTTCCCAGCCTAAAGCACTTAAACACCTTCCCATTCTCTTAGACAAAACCTCCTAACTAACCAAGCCCCGAATGGCCAGGCGCCTTGCCCACTTCTTCATCTCTTCTCACTACTCAGACCAATTCCGTTCTGCTCTCTCTGCTCCAGCCAAACTGGCCTCTTTTATTCCCTATTTACCAGCTTCCTGGCCTCCACAGAGCTTTTGCTCATGCTTTGCTCTGTGCCTGGAAGGTTCTTCTAACCCCTATTCTTCTGAGAACAGCTGTAGTCTCCACCTCTGAAAAGCACCTTCTGACCTCCCTATGGTGGTCCCTTACTCCTATCACATTGCATGAAACTGTAATCGGGTGGTTATTTTGGTGAATTTTTTACTATCGGCTACGTAAGCCCAGGGTTTGGTTTTGTTTGCTTCATGATTTGTATTTCCACATTTGTTAAATACATATTTGTTCATAAATGAGAATGATGGATGCTAGAAGTTGAAGTAAATTTGGCATAAAGTCAGAGAAAGAGAAAATGTCACAATCTGACAGTTGGAGTCAGAATGTAGAAACTTCAGTTATATTAAAACTGATTTTATATGGTTTTAGGCTGAGTTGTCTTAGGATGCTTTGGGTAACCTTTAAAACTGAGTTCTCAAAGAGCCTTGTATAAACACCTGAATTAATAATGATAAGCCATGGGGTGGCCCACATAAAACTAATAACATTGGTTGCTTTAAGAGAGGAAGACTGAGCCAGGCACAGTGGCTCATACCTGTAATCCAAGCACTTTGGGAGGCCAAGGCCCGCAGATCATTTGAGCTCAGGAGTTTGAGACTAACCTGGGCAACTTGGTGAGACCCTGTCTCTACATAAAATACAAGCAAAATTAGCCAGGCGTGGTGGCGGGCACCTGTAGTCCCAGCTATTTGGGCTGCTGAGGTGGGAAGATTGCTTGAGCTCAGAAGGTTGAGGCTGCAGTGAGCCATGATCATGCCACTGCACTCCAGCCTGGATGACAGAGCAAGATCTTGTCTCAAAGAGAGAGAGAGAGAGAGAGAAATGAAGACTGGTGACTGGTGGCTACTGGTGGGAAGGAGATTTTTACTAAATGCCCAAAAGGTTTAAAATTGTAACTTTTTTATTTCAAAGTCTGTGAAGATAAATGACACAAAAGAGCACATACCTTCCCATTTATTTGAAATTCTAGAAAGGGGAAAATTAATCTGTGGTGAAAAAATCATAGCAGTGGTTCCCTCTGGCAGGGGATTGACTGGGAAGTTACATGAGAGAAATTTCTGGGTGGTAAAAATGGTCTCTGTCTTGATAGGGATATGAGTTATATAAGTGTATTCATTTGTCAAAAAACATACAGTTAACATTTCAATGAATGTAAATTTTACCTTAAAAACTATACGAATAAATGCAAATTTAAAATCTGCTAGCTAACACCTAGTTGAGTACTCAGTGTCTATGGGCATTGGCCGAGGCTATACATACACGATTTTCTTTAGTCCTCATACTGTCCTCATGGGGTAGGTATTATTATCATAACCCCCTTGCATATGAAGAAGCCAAAATGCAGTAAATACCAAATAACTTGCCTCGATTTATACCCCTGGAAAATGCGGGAAGAGCTTTAAACACCATCAGTCAAATGCCAGAAGTTGTTAAACATTAGACTCTATAGCACTTCTCTGAAATTATAGTATTTTTGGTATATGTATATATATATATATATATATATATATATATATATATATATATATATATATATCTCATCTACTAGATCAAGAGCTTCACAATGATTGAAATCATAGTTTGTCTTTTTGTTTGAGGTTTATGTTTTTATTTTACTTCATTATTTTAAAGACTGAGTCTCGGCCGGGCACGGTGGCTCATGCCTGTAATCCCAACACTTTGGGAGGCCAAGGTGGGTGGATCACTTGAGGTCAGGAGTTTGAGACCAGCCTGGCCAACATGGTGAAACCCCATCTCTACTAAAAATACAAAATTAGCCAGGTGTGGTGGCACGTGCCTGTAATCCCAGTTACTCAGGAGGCTAAGGCAGGAGAATCGCTTGAACCTGGGAGGTGGAGGTTGCAGTGAGCCAAAATTGTGCCACTGCACTCCAGCCTGGGCGACAGAGTGCGACTCCATCTCAGAGAAAAAAAAAAAAAAGACTGAGTCTCACTATGCTGCCCAGGCTGGACTTGGACTCCTTCATTCAAGCCATCCTCCTGCCTAGGCTTCACCTGGGACTACAGGCCCAATATTTTTGTCTTAAGTTTCTAAGCAGTCCCAAGACTTTGCACAGTAGCTGTTCAATGTATTTTGAGTGAATGATTAAAAACAAGCTTGATGTCGATTTTATTGGTACAATTTATATTTACATATGTAATATTTATATGCTTTTATATATTTATGTGTGCATGTATATAATTGGTACTAACTTAGCACTGCTGTGCCTAAGTGCCTGAGATGCATCTCAAATGAATAGGCCTGAGGAGAGAAGCTTGTGTCATTAGCTCTGACCCTGCAGCACTAATCCTGGTTTACCCCTTTCTTTCAGTCTCCCTGAGCACAATTTATTTGCTGAAAGGCCACATCTCACTATGGAGTGAGGATCAAGAAGTAAAGGTCTGAAAGAGAGAAGCTGCGGGGCTGGGGAGACTGTTGGTCGGAGAGGCGTCGGGGGCCCAAGGAAAAGGGAGGATTGTGGGGAGGAATCGGCGTAGAGATGAGAGGAGCCGCAGAGACAGAGTCTCACGCAGAGGTGTGCCCAGACACCCTGAACCAAGTTACTTAACCTCGTCCACCACCGTGGCACCCGTGGGGTCCGTGGGCCCGTCGGTCTTCCAGGAGGGATTCTGTGTCCCTGTTATTGTGTGTCAACATGTGTTAGCCTGTTATTTATATTTTTAATGAGAGAAAACGAACTCTGGAATTTGCGAACTGTTTTTTCGGTTTTGCTTTATACCTCTTGGACACTCCTTCCGAAGGATTGGGTCTCAAGGGCAGTGGGGTGTGACTACGGTAGACAGGGCTGATTAATTTTCATCCAAAACTCTTTGGCGGATTCCCCTGCTCTCCGATTCTCCGGTCTAACAGTAGTTTAAAACAGAAGATCAGCAACATTTGGAGAGTTTTTTTCTTTGCATTTTAATGATAAACTTGATTTACTCAATTCCAAAAGTTTTCTTATTCTGAGGTTGTCTTTCTATATTTTGAGTATAAAACAATGGCCATACTATGTTGGAACCACCAAGGTTCTTCTCTTCACTTGTTCATTTGTAATGTCTCTTTATAATCTGAGAATTTCCTGAGCAAACTGGGAACTGTTATACATAATTCCTTGTTTTTCAACATTCTTTGTAAACAGGAATCAGGATTGGGGATGGGGAGGGAGGGAGGAGTAGGAGTCCTGATTTGTGGAACAGAAAATCATGGATTACTTATGTGATGGAGCAAAGGGTTTAAAAACTCTTAGCATCCCCAGATTTCCCCTTTTACTGTTTGCTGAAGAAAATTCTGTCTTTGACTCCCTTCCTTACCCTCTCCGGGCCTGTGAGAAGCTTCCTCCCTATTCAGTTTATTTCCTCCTCTGCTCCCCGACCCACCCCCCACAGCCCCCTCCTCTTTTTCAGTGAAGCCGCTGGAGGAAAGTCGGGTTTGGGAGAAGACCCACACAGGCAAGGACAGCAGGAGAACACTGACATAGTTACACTCTTGTCACCAGCACTTTTATTAAGACGTGAAAAGACAAAGACAACAGAGGACAGCAGAGAATAATATCTCTGTTTCAGCTATTCCAGGATGTTATGCCAATTATCCAGAGTCCTTGATCTGATGTAGTAAAGAGCTAGGGACATTTTCCCTGAAGGCTTTGATTGCTGGCAAAATCTCATTAAACGTGTATACATTCATAGGTTGGCCATAGGATGGATAAAAGAAGAGCCTCTGGCCTACATCTGCCACGATACATGTGCAAAAATGCTCTCTGCAGCATTATTTTTCATTGTAAAATAGCAGAACGAATTTATTATTCAATAATTATAAAATGGTCAAATGTATGTGACTATATTTGGACAATGAAAAATGCAGCTGTTAAAAGCAGACAATACTGATGATTCAGATGATGTTACTGATGAAAATAATAACAGATGACAATTATTGAGCATTTATGGCATTCTTACAGGCATTACCTTATTTAAAGTTCAGAACTACCAAGGAAAAGAGTAACTTGTGGCAGGCGTGAGAGGTTCCGAGGCACAAAAGGAAGATAGGCATTCAAGGAACACCAGGATAGAAGACCCAGAGTAGGAGAAGAGAGAGGAAGAGGAGTCCGCCAGATGGGATGCTGGAAACCGCGGGATAGCTCGGTGGAGAGAGGGCGCTCCTGCTCCGCAAGCCTCCCTACGACGGCAGGCCTACCCGGTCCTGCTCCTGCCGGCTCTGGGCATCTGGTTTCTGCCGCTCCATCTCCAGGGAGATGGTGGCCAGGCTGTGCCGTGTACCCATCAACTTCTCTGACAGCGCCATCTTCTCAGACTCCTTCAGAGACAAGGCCTGGGCAGAGGCAGGGGACAAAGGGCTTGGGGGATGGGCTGGTCCTGGGGGCATGCTCAGGCTTCTTGCTGCCTAGGAAATGTGCCCACTGGGGGCTTAGAGGCCTGAGTGTGCCACTGCAGGTGGACCCAGGGCAGACGTGCAGCCCTGGAAAAGGGCACAACGGCAGTCACAAGAATCCCGGACGTGGATACCACTCATAGAGCTCACTAACCCGCCACAGCACCCTGACTGCAGAGTCTTTCTTTCTACCCATCTTACAGATGAGGAAACTGAGGCTCAAGGAGGTAAAGTGACTCGCCCAGGTACACAGCTGGTGAGGAGAGGAGATGGGCACAGTCTGCCCTGTCTCCGTTACATTATAGGAAAGTTAGGGATTTGTTATTTGGGGGGACACGTCAGCTGATGCCTGTGGGCATCGTGGGGACTGCTCAGAAGGCAGCCATGAGGATCCATGCCCAGCGTGGGGTGGGACGAGGCATGGGAGAATACGGAACAGCTTTCCTGGTGTCACGACTGTCACTGTCACTCAGTAAGTGCTCACTGTGTGCCAGGCATGGAGCACGGCAAAGCCTCACGAACCCCCTTCTAATCCTCCCCTCCTGCAGGTAAGGAAACTGAGGCCCCCAAGAGGGCAGTGGCCTGCCCCAGGGCTCCTAGCTGCCAAGTGGCAGAGCAGGGCCCGGCCCCAGAACTGGAGCAGCTCAGAGAGCAGCAGAGGCCACGCCAGGGCTCACGAACCTGCTGCTTCTCGCTCTCGGCCAGGAGGAGGCCCTCGTCATGCTCCTGCTGCAGGGCAGCAATCTCCTCACTCAGCTGTTCCTTCTCAGCCTTCTGCCGGGCCAGCAGCTCCTCCTGCTCACGCTGCAGCTGACTCTGCAGCTGGGCCCGCTCGGCCTCCAGCTCCCGCCATGCTGCCTCCTAGGGGGCCAGGACCGGACGCGTGTGACACACCAGGAGGGGCCCAGGCAGACCCCCCAAAACATCAGGGCAGCAAGAGCCATCTGGCCCCCATACCCTCAGAGATGGAGAGTGACCAGGTAAATACAAGGGACTGATAAGGGCTATGACGGGGACACGCCAGGGCCGTGAAAGTGCCAAGGAGCAGCAGTGGGCTGGCCTGGAGGTCCGAACATGATCCTCTGCGGAGGGACAAGTAACTGTCAGCCAGGTAAGGAGAGAAAAGACCACCCCAGGCCAAGAGCACAGCCCCTGGAAAGGACTACAGGATGCAGGGTGCAGAGGGAAACAGGGCGCGGTGAGTCACAGGGCCAGAGCCCCAGGCAGTGGCTGGGCCAGGACAGGCCGTGTGGGCCATGGGGATTCTAAGGACAGTGAGGGGAGTGGGAGAGAGGACTCGAGCCAAGGTGACAAGGAGCAATCTGATTTTTAGCTTAGGGGATGTTCCGACAGCTGTGGAAGAGGGATTGGGGTTGGGATGGAGGAGAGTTAGGACTGGCTGTGAGGAATGAAGGGGGTCAGGGGTTGCCAGAAGAGCTGGAGAGAAGAACACAGATTTGGGGACATTAATGAGGCCAAGCCAGGCAATGCAAAGGGCAAGAAGAGCAAGGGGGAGGTCACAGTTCAGATCCCTGGGGACTGGACAGGCGGGCAGGCAGAGCCCACAGGCAAATAGCAGCCCACCCGGGGAGCCCGAGGGCAGGTGCCTGCCTCAGCAGTTGTCCTAGCAACTCTGTGAGAAGCAGACAGAGCTGCCACTTCTTTTTTTTTTTTTTTTTTTAGACAGAGTCTCGCTCTGTCACCCAGGCTGGAGTGCAGTGGCGTGATTTTGGCTCACTGCAACCTCTGCCTCCCAGGTTGAAGCGATTCTTCTGCCTTACCCTCCCAAGTATCTGGGACTACAGGCGCGTGCCACCATGCCCAGCTAATTTTTTGTGATTTTAGGAGAGATAGGGTTTCACTGTGTTAGCTAGGATGGTCTCGATCTCCTGACCTCGTGATCCGCCCACCTCAGCCTCCCAAAGTGCTGGGATTACAGGCATGAGTCAGCACGCCCGGCCAAGCCACCCCTTCTTTAAGAGCTTCACCATAGCTCATGCCTGGAATCCCAGCACTTTCGGAAAGAGCTTTACCGCCCCCTGATGGAGAAGCGTGATAACCACCACCCAAGGCCATGGGGACTGCAGGGTGACTGGCATGCCCTGGAGCCATGTAGTCATAGCCTGCACCTCTGTCAGAGGAAGCCCTGTCTAGGATTTGGTGGCTGAGGGCCCCTGTCCTGAGGGCCACTCTGGAGAGCATGCCAGTGCCAGCAATCATAACTCATGGAGCATTTGCTAAGTACCAGTCACTATGTTAAGCCCTCTATGCAGATGGTCTCAGCTCATCCTCAATACCTTCCACTATCCTATCCCTATTTCTACAGGTGGGGAAATGAAGGCACAGACACCTTGGGTAGCATCACCAGTAAGCGACCAAGATTAGATTCAAACCCAGGCAATATAACCCCAGAGTCAGTGTTCTAGTAACTTCCCTGGCCCCTTGCCTTTCTACATGCTCAGGTCTGCGTGGCCCTTCATATGGAAACTTCTTAGCAAATGAAAGTGCTTTCCTGCTGTACATTAGGTCAGCATTTCCCAAATGTGGTTGTGGACCCTCTGCATCAGGATTACCAGGGCTGGACCAGATTTGGGACCTGGGTATCTGAATGTCTAATAAGGACCACAACCTCCCCACCACCCCTCCAGTCCTCCCAGCTGTCCCCAGGGCCTCCACAACAGAGAGGGAGTCCCATTTCACAGATGTACAGACCGAGGCAGAGCAAGAACGATGATGAAACACTGGCTCAGACTTCTGCCCACCCCTCCCCAGCTGCCTGAACCTTTTCACGCTGGAGTCACTGTAAGTCCTCCTCGTGGGCTGCCCACTGCTCCCGCAGAGAGGCCTGGGCCTCCCGCTCAGCCTGCACCAGCTTCTGGGCCATCAGCTCCTTGTCTAGACTGGCTTTCTCCTGCGTAGCTATTATTTGCTGCCGCAGGCCCGCCAACTCCCCTGCACGAGAGGAATGGGGGAAAGGGCAGGGTTGGGTTGAAATTTTTCCTTGGGCCAGCAGACTTAGGCCAGTTGAGCCATATGGGCAAAATCCCAGAGGCAGAGGGCCTGTCTGGCATCCAGTTTGGGTCCTCTTGAAGAAGTGGCTTGTCCTCTCTGGGCCTCAGTTTCCCTATCTGCTACATGGGCCCACTGGCCCTGACCCCTTTCCTGCCTACCTAGAATGGCATTAAAGGCATAAAATGACTGATGAGAAGGCCTCCCAAATGGGACGGATGTCAAACATATAACAACCCTAGGCCAGGTGCCATGGCTCACTCCTGTAATCCCAGCACTTTGGGAAGCTGGGGCAGGTGGATCACCTTAGGTAAGGAGTTCAAGACCAGCCTGGCCAACACGGTGAAACCCTGTCTCTACTAAAAATACAACAATTAGCTGGGCATGGTGGCGGACGTATGTAGTCTTAGCTACTTGGGAGGCTGAGGCAGGAGAATCGCTTGAACCCAAGAGGCAGAAGTTGCAGTGAGCTCAGATCGCACCACTGCACTCCAACCTGGGCGACAAGAGTGAGACTCTGTCTCAAAAAATCAAACAGGCTGGGCGCGGTGGCTCATGCCTGTAATCCCAGCACTTTGGGAGGCCGAAGTGGGCAGATCACCTGAGGTCGAGAGTTCGAGACCAGCTTGACCAACATGGTGAAACCCCGTCTCTACTAAAAATACAAAATTAGCCAGGCATGGTGGCGCGTGCCTGTAATCCCAGCTACTTGGAAGGCTGAGGCAGGAGAATCGCTTGAACCTGGGAGGCGGAGGTTGAGGTGAGCCAAAATCGCGCCATTGCACTCCAGCCTGGGCAACAAGAGTGAAACTCCATCTCAAAACAAACAAACAAAAACAAACAAACAAACAAAAACCCTATTACTGACTCAGCACTTACTATGCGTCAAGCACCCAGCTAAGTATTTTAGACATAACCTCATTTTGTCTTCATAACATGCCTATGTAGTTTATCCTCATCCCCGTTTAACAGATGATGAAATGGAGGATCAGAGGAGATCAGCAGCAACTTCCCACAGCTGCACAGCTACACATAAAGCATCTCCTTTAATGACTGACATGAACATACCTGTCAAGCGTTAACTATCAGCATTAATGGAAACGACTACAGGGAATGGAAATGGTATAGCCATCATCTAAAAACCATCTCCCGGGTTGGAAACCCACCAGCATTTCCCTTCCTGGTTCTGTCTGGCTCAGGTGTACATGGACAGGAAAATTAATTTCCATGACCCAAGTAGGTGCTTAGTCAATGTTAGATGAGCAGAAAGAAGCCCTGAGTTCAGAGATTCGATGGGGAACAGTGCAGGGAAGTGGGGCTCGGATTCTGGGGCCAAGAGAGTCATCTGAAAACCACAGAGAACTCAGACTAACAGGCCTGATGACCGATGAACAGCAGTTACTGTTGACTCAGCCAGGCACCGTGCCACGGCCTTACACGCTTTTCCCATGTCATCCTGGCAACAGGCTTAGAAGGTGGGCATTGCCACCTCCAATCATCAGCTGAGGAATCTGCAGCCCAGAGAGGAAAGGGGCTTGCTCAAGGGAAGGTGAGATCTAAGTGGTGGCACAGGACTGGAACCCAGGCCAGCCAGACTCCTACTCCAGTGCTCCCAACTTCTGTGAGACCCCAGACCTTGGGAGGCTGCAGTCTGGGCTGGAACCTGGTGTTCCCCCCAAGTCCCCAGCCCCTCGTACCAGTCAGGGTCTCCTTGGCCAGCAGCAGGGCCTGCCCCTCGGCTTCCAGCTGCTCCCGGCGGGCCTCAAGCTGGGCCAGCTGCCGTTGCACCTCAAACAGGCTGCCCTCCAGGGCTTCCTTCTCCAAGCTGCAGCACATACAGTCCCTGAGGCCCTGGGACTCAGCCTCCCTGGCCCCAGGAAACTGTGGATCTCAGGGAGTGGCCAGGCATGGGCCAAGTGCCAATCTACCTGCCTGGCCAGGCCCACACTCCCTGGGGAAGCCTGAGCCACAGCTAGGACGAGTCGGCAAGCCAGACTCCTTAGTAACTGCCCCTGGGGGCCCGTGCCTGCGTGTGGCTGGTCATGGCGTGGCCCCAGGAGGACCGCCCAGGGCGGGTTGGGCAGAGCCCAAGGCCTTACCGCAGGCGTGTGGCCTCCTCTGACAGGGTCCTGCCTTCACGCTCCGCAGCCACCAGCTGCACAGCCAGGCCAGCGTGCTCCTTGGCTAGCGCCTCCTTCTCACGGGCCGCTCGCTCCAGCGCCTCCACTTGCCGCTGGGCCTCCCGCCGGGCCTGCTCCAGCTCCTGCTCCCGCCCGCTCAGCTGCCGGGAGAGCTGGCCCCCACCCAGAGACTGAGTAGCACTCCCAGCGTCCCCCAGCTTGTTCATCGTGCAGCACCCCAACTCTGGGCCTAACCCAGTCCTGGCAGAAGGCCTGGGTTTGAGCCCAGGGTCTGCCCTGATGTGCTACATGTACTTGGGCAAGTCATGACCTTCTCTAGATCTGCAATGCACGTGTGTACAAAAACCAGGGCCCAGCCAGGTACGGTGGTGCGTGCCTATAATCCCAGCACTTTGGCAGGTGGATCACTTGAGGTCAGGAGTTCAAGACCAGCCTGGCCAACGGGGTGAAACCCTGTCTCTACTAAAAATACAAAAATTAGCCGGGCGTGGTGGTGCACGCCTGTAGTCCCTGCTACTTGGGACGCTGAGGCAGGCGAACAGCTTAAACCCTGGAGGCGGAGGTTGCAGTGAGCCCAGATCGTGCCACTGCATTCCAGCCTGGGCAACAGAGCAAGACTCTGTCTGGAAAAAAAAACAAAAACAAAAACAAAACAAAACGAAACAAAAAAAATGAGGGCCCTCACTCAGCTCTGGGAGTAACAGAACCCTTGTATTACTCTAAACTTGCAGAGAAGCTGAATATATAAACCAGACCCAAGTGCAGCTGCTCGGCAGGCCTCAAGGTGGAGACCTGCACCCTGCTTCCTGCACCCCCTACCCCATCCTCTAGAGGCCCCTCCCAGAAACCCAGGCGCTCCAGGATAGACCTTGCATGAAGGTCCCTGGATCCCTGAAACATTAAGGTCTCTTCCAGATGTGATGTTCCCAAAAGTCTAAGATTCCAATTCTAAAAAGTCTCCACCTATTATTAATCTGTATCATTATTATTATTATTATTATTATTATTATTATTATTATTGAGATGGAGTCTTGCTCTGTTGCCCAGGCTGGAGTGCAGTGGCATGATCTTGGCTCACTGCAACCTCTGCCTCCTGGGTTCAAGCGATTCTCCTGCCTCAGCCTCCCAAGTAGCTGGGACTACAGGCGCGTGCCACCACGCCCAGCTAATTTTTTGTAGAGATAGGGTTTCACCGTGTTAGCCAGGATGGTCTTGATCTCCGGACCTCAGGTGATCCACCCGCCTCGGCCTCCCAAAGTGCTGGGATTATAGGCGTGAGCCACTGCGCCCGGCTGGCCCCATGTTATAGATGGGGCAACTGAGGTATGGGAGATTGGGCAGCTTGTCCAAGGTCCCCAGCTAGCAGAAGTGGGGCTGGATTTAACCCAGAAGCAGGCTCCAGTGCCTGTGACTTAACCCAGGACTGGATGCAGGGGGCTGGGAGCCCGGCCTGCCCCACATGCTCTCCACACCACCCCCACACACAGCTTGGCCCACCTGCGCTAGCTGCTCCTGCAGCTGGCTGCGCTCATGGCGCAGCGTGGGGAGCTGCTGCTCCAATGCCTCCTGGGCCTGCTCCGCCACTCGTAGGGAGCCCTCCAGGCCCTGCCGCGCCACCTCCTGCTCCAACCGCAGCTCCTCTAGCCGTTCCTGCTCTTCCCGCGCCACTGTGGCCTCCTGCTCTGCCTGCCGTTGCCGGCCCTGCAGGGCGGACTTTTCTTCCTCCAGCTGGAGGCCAGGTAGGAGTGGGGCCTCGTGAGCAGGGCGTCCCTCCCAGGACCAGGACGCCTCCTCCACCCACCCACCAGCAACAATAGCCCAGGGGAGGCTCCCAGGGAATGAGGGACAGTGCCCTTGGGTGTATGGGACACTGGGGAGGGGGAGATGAGGAGGGCCCATGGAACTTCTGTGCTTTGACGCCTAGAGGGGATAGACAGACAGACAGAGAACCAGAGACAGACAGAGAACCAGGGACAGAAAGGGAGGCAGGGGCCAAGACAGGTACAGGGCTGGGCCCGGGGTGCCTCACTGAGTGGGGAGGATGGGTGGGCAAGGCAGGTGGGCCCGCAGGTGCACAGCGTACCTGGGCGACAAGGCGGTTCAGATCCAACTTGTCCTGAGCAAGGCTCTCGTTGAGGGCGCTCAGCTTGGACAGGGAGTCCTGCAGGGAGGCCTCCTCTGCCCTCAGCTTGGTCATGGAGAGCTCGAGCTCCACGCGGCCAGCCTCAGCCTGCAGGGTCAGGCCCCGAGAAATGAGGAAAGGCAGAAAGGTCGGGAGGAGGTGAGGAGGCCCAAGAAGAGACCCAGAGAGATGGACCCTCAGAGACAGGGTAGGGGAGACAAGGAGGGGACACAGTGTGAGATGGAAAAAAAAAAATCACCGCAGAAAGCCTGCTGCTTATGAGCCATTTAAAAGCCACACACCACAGAGCTGTGCAAAAATAGCTCAAGCTGCAGGGCAGGGCCAGAGTTCAGAGGATCCCCTGAGTAGGGTCTAGGGATAGCACTGCTCAGAGCCCAGGCTGCAGCGGACAGCGCAGGCCCCCCCGCCAAGGACCCTCTGCGCTGTGGCCACAACTCTCAGACCCCAGGAGCTGAGTCTCAGGCACTGGATGACCCTGAGCTATAGGCATTGCCCCCAGGAGCATCCAGAAGAGCAGGGATACGGCCATAAAGAGAGGTCAGTCCACTTATGGCTGGGACCAGAGGTCCAGAGGTCTGTGGCCTGTGACAAAGATCAGCCTGTATCCAGAAGGAAGGGGTCAGTCTGTGACCAGGCTCAGAGGTCTGCCTGACACTGGGACCAGTCTGTGCCAGAGTGACAAGGCTTGGGGCTGGGGGTCAGAGGTAGGTTTGTGGTTGTGCAGCAGACAGGGACCCACCTTGGTCAGCGCCTCGGCCACCTCGGCCTTCTCGGCCTGCAGCATGTCCCGTTGCAGTGTGGCGCGGCTCAGCGCCTCCCTCACCTCCACCAGCTCCTTGGCCAGGACTGAGCGCTTCCCTTCCAGCTGCTCTAGTTGTCTATGGCTGTGGGACAAAGGGTGGGTGGGTGGCCCATGTCACTTTCCTGCCCCGAACCTCCTGTAGCCAGCGAGATGCTGGGCTGGGGACCAGGCCTGAGGCAGGAGTTTGGAGAGAAACAGCCTGAGCCACAGGGCAACCAAGCCCACTACCGCTTAGCTCCATGA
Source organism: Homo sapiens (assembly GCF_000001405.40). Classification (NCBI taxonomy): domain Eukaryota; kingdom Metazoa; phylum Chordata; class Mammalia; order Primates; family Hominidae; genus Homo; species Homo sapiens. The sequence continues at coordinate 442,820 of NW_025791756.1, forward strand.
CCCTGGGCCTCCGTTTTCACATCTGCAAAATGAGGTAACACTTACCTCGTGACATTGTTTGTTTTTTTGAGACACAGTCTTGCTCTGTCACACAGGCTGGAGTACAGTGGTGCGATCCTGGCTGACTGCAACCTCTGCCTCCCAGGTTCAAGCAATTCTCCTGCCTCAGCCTCCCGAGTAGCTGGGATTACAGGTGCTCACCACCACGCCTGACTAATTTTTGTAGTTTTAGTAGAGACGGGATTTCTCCACGTTGGTCAGGCTGGTCTGGAACTCCTGACCTCAGGCGATCTGCCTGCCTTGGCCTCTCAAAGTGCTGGGATTACAGGCGTGAGCCACTGCGCCCGGCCTGTTTTAAGGATACAAACTTCACATGTGCTTAAAATAGTGCCTGACACATCTCCCCAAGGACCTTCAGAAACAAGAATAACATGCTCCACCACAGTCTACTAAACATCATCATCGATCACGTCCCTGAGAGGTAAGCAGCGCAGTGGTGAAGAGGTTAACTCTGAAGGCAGAATGTCTGGGTTCAAATCCTGGCTCTTCTGCTAACTGTGTGACCTGGGGCAAGTGACATGGCTTCTCTGTGCCTCAGTTTACCATCCACAAAATGGAGATAACAGCTTCTATGTCACAGAGTTATCATGGAGTTAAATGAGAGAACTGAATTGCTTAAAATGGTATCTGGCACTTAGTGAAATTAGTAAGGATATTATTATTCTTCTAACTAAATTTTTAAAATACTACTGCTAATATTACTACTGTTATTTTAATTATTCTTGTTATTATCATCCAAGTTCTACCTTTTAACTAGTTCTCTGACTCCAGGTAAGTGACTATACCTCCCTGAGCCCCAGTTTCCTGAAATGGGTCTGGTTAGAAAACCCGACATCGGAGGGGTCCAGACGGTAGGAGGCCCAGGACCCAGTGGGTGTCACCTAACCCCACGGGGGGCACTGTCAGGGGACCCGAGGCACATCTGAAGGGTCCTGGCAGGGTGGCGAGATGCTGCTCACCTGCGCTCAAGCTCCCGGCGCACCCGCGCGCCATCCTGCACTGCGTCCTCCTGCTCTTCCTCCAGCCGGTCCCGCTGGCGCCGCAGCTCCTCCTGGGCAGCCTGCAGCTTCTCCCGCTCCTGCCGCAGCTCCTCGGCCTGCTGCTGGGCCACCTGCAGGCTGTGGGCCAGGTTGCTCTTCTCCCTTCAGGACAAGGGGAGGGGGAGCAGAGGGGATGCTGGGGCTGCTCTCTGCAGGGAAGGTGGCTGGCTGCTCCTCTAGCCATGAGCTACATCCTCCCGTCTTCCAAGGCACCTGCCTCCAGGAAGCCTTCCCTGACCACCCTGTCCATGGCTGACTCATTTCACTCACACACTCCAGCAGAAGAACCTGGCTTTCCTTCTCTCCAGTCCGCCCACTTGGAGTGGATGGAGGTGCTGGTGTGATCTCCAAGCACCCTACCAGGTAGAAGAGGCCGAGCTAGGCTCCTGGGACACACGGCAATTGTGTCACCAGCTCTGCTAGGCCATGTGACCAGGAAATGTCCCCTATAACACCCCATGCCCCTCAATTCTGGGAAGCCTGATAGAGCTGAGTCTGCAGATCCCACAGCTTCCTGCTACACAGGCACATGGTGGCCACGGCAGGGGAGGGAGGAGAAGGGAACAACTGGGACCCCAAAGACTTGCCGTGAGCTGCCACGTTCCCCACTGGCCATAGGTGCGAAAAAACTTCACAGCGTGATTTTGTTTTTTTTTTTTTTTTTTTTGAGACGGAGTCTCGCTCTGTCCCCCAGGCTGGAGTGCAGTGGCGCAATCTCCACTCACTGCAAGCTCCGCCTCCCGGGTTCACGCCATTCTCCTGCCTCAGCCTCCCAAGTAGCTGGGAATACAGGCGCCCGCCACCATGTCCGGGTAATTTGTTGTATTTTTAGTAGAGATGGGGGTTTCACTGTGTTAGCCAGGATGGTCTCAATCTTCTGACCTCATGACCTGCCTGCCTCGGCCTCCCAAAGTGCTGGGATTACAGGCATGAGCCAATGCGCCCAGTAATTTTTTTTTTTTTTTTAGACGGCGTCTCACTCTGTCGCCCAGGCTGGAGTGCAGTGCACGATCTCGGCTTGCTGCAACCTCCACCTCCAGAGTTCAAGCGATTCTCCTGCCTCAGCCTCCCAAGTAGCTGGGATTACAGCCATGTGCCACCACGGATGGCTAATTTTGTATTTTTAGTGGAGACAGGGTTTCTCCATGTTGGTCAGGCTGGTCTCGAACTCCCAACCTCAGGTGGTCCTCCTGCCTCGGCCTCCCAAAGTGCTGGGATTACAGGAGTGAGCCACTGTGCCCGGCCAATTTTTTTTTATTTTTAGTAGAGATGGGGTTTCGCCATGTTGGCCAGGCTGGTCTCAAACTCCTGACCTCAAGTGATCCACCCGCCTTGGCCTCCCAAAATACTGGGATTACAGGTGTGAGCCACCTTGCTCAGTCGACAATGTGCTGTTAAGTAAAAATAGCAGAATGCGAAATGGGATGTTTGCTGTGAACACAACTGCTTAAAAAGACCTTCTCCTTTCCAGGCATGGAAAGCTTGGGTTTACTCTCACATGGACCTGAATTCCAGTTCCCACCCTGCCACCCCCAGCCACACACGCTGTATGAGTCTGAGCCAGTCTCTCAAGCTTACAACAACAGAGTTCCGAATTGCATGAGTTTGACAGGAAGACTAAATCACAGAGTACATACAAAACACTCGGCCAAGAGCCTGGCACACAGTAGGTGTGCAGGAAACGTTTGCTATCTCACTGCCAGGCAACACAATGGGAAGGAAAACCAGTGCCCTAAATGAATTAGGATGGGCAGATGAGGCTGTGAGAAGGCGCTGTCTTTTTATTCCTATTTTTCAAACTTTTCATTAGATGGTTACATTTATGAAGAGAAAAACCAAACAACAAAATATCAAAAACAACCTGGCAGCTAAGAAGTGGATAATTTCTTGTCTTAAAAATCTTCAGGGTGCCTGGCGTGATGGCTCACACCTATAATCCCAGTACTTTGGGAGGCCGAGACGGGCTCAGGAGTTAGAGATCAGCCTGGGCAACATGGCGAAACCCTATCTCTACAAAAAACAGAAAAATTAGGCAGGCGTGGTGGTGTGTGCCTGTAGTTCCAGCTACTCAGGAGGCTGAGATGGAAGGATCACTTAAGCCTAGGAGGTGGAGGTTGCAGTGAAATGAGATCGCACCACTGCACTCCAGACTGGGTGACATAACAAGACCCTGTCTCAAATTAAGAGAAAAAAAAAATCTTCAAGGCTAGGCATGGTGGCTTATGCCTCTAATCCCAGCATTTTTGGAGGCCGAGGCAGGGGAATCACTTGAGGCCAGGAGTTTGAGACCATCCTGGGCAACACAGCAAGACCCCATCTCTAAAAAAAACTCCAAGAAATACAGTCCAAAATAGTGCTGGCAATAGAACTCTCTGAGATGACAGAAATGTTCTATGGCCATGTATGGTTGATGAGTGCTTGAAATGTGGCTAGGGCAACTAAAGAACTGAATTTTTTCTTTTTTTTTTTTTTTTGAGACGGAGTCTTGCTCTGTCGCTCAGGCTGGAGTGCAGTGGCGACATCTCGGCTCGCTGCCAGCTCCGCCTCCCGGGTTCAGGCCATTCTCCTGCCTCAGTCTTCCAAGTAGCTGGGACTATAGGTGCCTGCCACCACGCCCAGCTAATTTACTTTTTGTATTTTTAGTAGAGACGGGGTTTCACTGTGTTAGCCAGGATGGTCTCAATCTCCTGACCTCATGATCCGCCCGCCTTGGCCTTCCAAAGTGCTGAGATTACAGGTGTGAGCCACCGGGCCCAGCATTATTATTATTATTTTTTTTTTGAGATGGAGTCTCGCTCTATCTCCCAGCCTGGAGTGCAGTGGCACGATCCTGGCTCATTGCAACCTCTGCCTCCGGGGTTCAAGTGATTCTCCCACCTCAGCCTCCTGAATAGCTGGGATTACAGGAGCATGCCACCATGCCTGGTTAATTTTTGTATTTTTAGTAGAAACAGGGTTTCACCATGTTGGCCAGCAAGCTGGGTGTGAGCCACCACACCCAGCCTGAATTTTCACTTTTTAAAAATTTTAATTAAATTTTAATAGAGCCAGGCACAGTGGCTTATGCCTGTAATCCCAGCAATTTGGGAGGCTGAGGTGGGAGGAGTGATTGAAGCTAGGAGTTCAAGACCAGCATGGGCAACATAGTGAGACCCCCATCTCTACAAAAAATTTAGAAATGTTGGCGGCTTGTCTACTATCCTCAAGGCTGAGATCAGAGTTGCCCAGGAACCCAGGGAGGTGAGGGCTCAGAGGGTGGTGAGGGCACAGAGGAAGGGAGTGGAAACCTAACTCTCAGGCTTCGGTCCCATATCCTTCCCCAGGCCAGGCCCAGGCCCCCAACTAGGGGCAGTTGGGAGGTAGAGGTGGGAGGATCGCTTGAGTCTGGGAGTTCCAGGCTACAGTGAGCTGTGATGGACCAATTGTGCCCCAGCCTGGGAAACAGAGCAAGAGTGTGACTCAAAACAAAGCAAAACAAAACAAAACAAAACAAAACTGAATACTAAAAAATAAATGTTGGCCGGGCGCGGTGGCTCATGCCTGTAATCCCAGCACTTTGGGAGATGGACGCGGGTAGAACATGAGGTCAGGAGTTCAAGATCAGCCTGGCCAAGATGGTGAAACCCCGTCTCTACTAAAAATACAAAAAAAATTAGCCGGGCCTGGTGGTGGGCACCTATAATCCCAGCTACTTCAGAGGCTGAGGTGAGAATTGCTTAAACCCGGGAGGAGGAGGATGCAATGAGCCAAGATCGCGCCACTGCACTCCAGCCTGGGCCACACAGTGAAACTCCGTCTCAAAAAAAAAAAAAAATTAGCCCAGCATGGTGGCAGGGGCCTGTAGTCCCAGATACTCGGGAGGCTGAGGCAGGAGAATGGCGTGAACCCAGGAGGCGGCGCTTGCAGTGAGCCGAGATCGCGCCACTGCACTCCAGCCTGGGCGACAGGGCGAGACTCCATTTTAAAAATAAATAAATAAATAAACGTTAATAGGCACATGCAGCTAGTGGCGACCATATTAGTGCAGAGCCATACGCATAAGGCTTGACTGGTGTTATGCCCAGACGGTGACTTATTCTTCAGCACCCCCAGCTCAGACCTCCCCGGCACCTGCTCAGGAGCTCGTTGGCGCTCCGCAGCCGCTGCACCTCGCGCTGGGCGTCCTCGTGGGCCTGCATGGCGCCGTCGGTCTTGTCCCGCAGGCGCTGCAGCTGTTCCTCTAGGGCCCGCCGCTCGCTCTCGCTGTCGCTAAGCTGCTTCCGCAGGGTGCCCAGTAGGTCCTGGCTTGCCTCATAGCGCCCACGCATGTCCTGGGGTGTGGGGGGTCACAGAGTCTGGGGGGGCCTGAGAGGCCTCCAGAGCCACCTACTCTCTTCTGGTTCCAGGGATACACACTAGCCTACGCTAGGCGGGGTCCAGGGCCTGGACCTGGCCTGGGGCAGGATAGGGGCCTAGGCCTGAGAGCCAGGCTTCCGCTCCCCTCCTATGTGCCCTCGCCACCCTCTGAGCCCTCACCTCCCTGGGGTCCCGGACAACTCCTATCAAAGCCCCCCGGATGCCAGACAAGCCCCCAGGCACACTCGTCTCCTGGGTTCTGATCCCACCCCCAGGGCTCCTAGGCTCCTCCCCCTTGCATCCTGGTTCCACTCTCAGACTCCTCCCTACCCTGGCTCTGCCCCTAGTTCCCAAGCTCTGATTCCCCTTGCTAGACCTTTTCCCAGGGTCCTGGCTCTGTATGACCAGGGACCTGTCTCCCTCTCTACCAGGACCCTAACACTGCCGCAGCCTCCTCCCTCCACCAGCTGCCCAAGCACCCACCCCCAGCTGCCCAAGCACCCCCACTTCTGGGCTCGGCTTCACCGCAGAGCTCTCGGCCACCTCCTTGGGGGTCCTGACACCCTCAGAAACTATTTCTCAGGGCTCTGGCTGCACCCCAGGGCGCTCAGACTCCTCCCTCGGACCCTGGCCCCGGACCTGCCCCCGCCCCCGCCCACGCCCCCACCCGGAGGGCGCGAGCCCCTCCCCCAGGCCTCTGGCTGCGCCCAGAACGCTCAAGCCCCTTCCTACCTGGACCTGCAGCTGGCGCTTGTGCAGGGCGGAGTGGATCAGGGCGAGCGTGGAGGAGTCTGAGCAGGCCGGGGAGGAGCCTCGGCGGGGTGAACGGCCTCGGCCGGGCGAGGAGCGCCGCGGTGGGGACGGGGTCCGCTGGCCCGAGAGCCCCCGCAGGCTGCCGTTGGAAGCATCCGCGGTGCGCTCAGAGCCGCTCAGCTGGACGCCGCTCTCAGAGTCTGACAAGACGGCCTGAGGGTGGGGGAGGGAGGCAGAAGGAGGCTGCTGACTTAGGAACCGCGGGGTTAGCTGGGCAAAGACGCCCAGGCGAGGCTGGGGGCTGCCTCATTCCAAATGCTGCCTCTTACAAGAAGCCTTCCTGATTTCACCTCCTCCACTAGCTCAGTCCTCGGCTCGCCGCTGAGGCCTCCCATTTATTGGGAAGACATCATTTGGCCTTGCTCACAGGTGGGCTCCCAAAGGGCCGTGCCTCCCCTCTGAGACTGGGGGCTCCCCAAGGCAGAGGCTGGGTGAGCTAGCAGGGGTGCTGAGCAGCTACAGCCTGGGTCCCAGGCCCCCACCCATTTGCAGTTCAGTCCCAGGTCACCGAAAGACGTGGCGGGGGAGCCTGGGACTGCCTGGCAGGGCGCTGTCTTCCCGCCTCTCTGGGCTCACACCTGTGCCAGGTCCCTTAGGGTCTGCTGTAGCCCCTCTCCGTCCTCTGTCTCCAGGGCCACCTGCTCCTGTAGCCGCAGGGATTCCTGGAGTGCGGTTAGGGAGACAAAGGGTGGTCGGGGTTCTGTCTTATCTGAAACCTCCCCTTTCCCTCCCTACCTGGCCCACCACTGACCAGGTGGCCTCTGAAGCCATGTCCATAGGCCAGCCACCTGGTAGACCCCACAGCAGGCCCGAGGCCCTCACTGAACAGACCAGGCCCAGAGAAGAGCTATGTCCTGCCCCAGGTCACACAGTCGATTGGAGGAGAGCCGGACCTAGAACCCAGGCCAGGCCCCACACAGAGGGGTGACCAAACCAGGCTGTACCCTGGGGGAGTGAGTGTCCCACTGGTGGGGGTGGGGGGCAGCTAGGTTGCCAGAGGCCGCATCTGGACCTGGAGAGCGTGGATGGGAGTTCAAGTCCCGACTCTCCCGCTTAGTGGCTCTGAGACTGGACAAGCATTTCCCCTCTTGGGCCTCAGTTTCCCCATCTGTGTTATGAGGATTATGCTACAGGGCTGCTGGGAGGAAGAAATGGGATGGAGGTGAGTGTGCTTCCCACAAAGCCTGCACACCTGTGAGGGCTGAACCTGAGTGTGAGTGGGACGCTGGGGGTGACCCAGGCAGCCCAGCCCTAAGCCTGCGTCCATGGATCTGGCCGGTACCCCATCTCACCCTGCCCCATCTCAGGGGCACCTGCAGCTCACCAGGGCCTCAAGCTTCTCAGTGAGGTCCTTGTTGACCTGATCCTTCTCCAGATTCTGCTTCTCAAGACGCTTCACTGCCAGGCCCAGCTCTGTCACTCTGGAGTTGGGGGAGCAACAGAGGTGAATACGGGACCACCCCAGCCTCTCAAATCCACTAGCTCTGTGTCCACCATGCTTCTCCAAACCCGAGGCAGGGACCCTAACATCCACCTCCCTGGCTGTGTGACCTCAGACAAGTCCCGGCTCCTCTCCAGATCTCACATTTCTCATCTGTGAAATGGGAATGAGGTTCCCACCAGCTTTATCTCATGGGAAAGCAGTTGAGGACTTGTCCAGGTGGCAGGAGTAAGGGGCACGAGTTCTTTTTTTTTTGTTTTTTTTTTTTTTGAGACGGAGTTTCGCTCTGTCATCCAGGCCGGAATACAGAGATGTGATCTTGGCTCACTGCAACCTCCACATCCTGGGTTCAAGCGATTCTCCTGTCTCAGCCTCCCTCGTAGCTGGGATTACAGGCACGCGCCACCACGCCCAGCTAATTTTTGTATTTTTAGTAGAGACAGGGTTTTGCCTGTCGGACAGGCTGGTCTTGAGCTCCTGACCTCAGGTAATCCCCCACCTTGGTCTCCCAAAGTGCTGGGATTACAGGTGTGAGCCACCACACCCGGCCACAAGTTCTGCCATAGGAGGCTAAGCTGTTTATGATAAACACTGGGCAAGTGCCTTCGGAACCTCAGTGCATGGGAAGACTGGCTGAGCTCACAGAGGAAGGCCCCTCCCCTAGTGAACAGATGCTCCCTTCTCCCCAACTCTCCAGTTTTACCTTCTGCAGGGACGCCTGCCTCGTGCGGCATCCACCAGGTACCCACCTGGCACTGAGGTCAGCCTTGTCCAGGTCGCTTTGCATCTGCTGCTGCGCCAGGTCCTTCTCGCGGAGCACCTTGTCCCGCAGCTGCTCCTCCAGCTGGGCCTGCAGCAGGGCCTGTTTCTCCAGGGCTGCCTCGGCCCGGCTCTCTGCCAGCCGTAGGCCCGTGCTCAGTCCCAGGCCCGCCTCCTGGACAGCTCGTGATGTCCGGGCCAGCTCCCCTCCCAGCTGCAGCAGGTCCCTTCGGGAGAGAGCACAGGCTGGGGATGGATGGGGCTTGCTCCCAACTACAAATTAAAACTATGCTTGGGCAGGGCGTGGTGGCTCACACCTATAATCCCAGCACTTCAGGAGGCCAAGGCGGGCAGATCACGTGAGGTCAGGAGTTCGAGACCAGCCTGGCCAACATGGTGAAACCCCATCTCTACCAAAAATACAAAAAATTAGCCAGGCATGGTGGCGCACTTCTGTAGTCCCAGCCGCTTGGGAGGCTGAGGTAGGAGAATTGCTTGAACCCAGGAAGTGGAGACTGCAGTAAGCCGAGATCATGACACTGCACTCCAGCCTGGGTGACACAGCAAGACTGTGTCTCAAAATAAATAATAAAATAAAAATAAAACTATACTAGGCTGGGTGCGGTGGCATACACCTGCAGTCCCAGCTATGCGGGAAGCTGAGGCAGGATTGCTTGAGCCCAGGAGTTTGAGGCCAGCATGGGAAACATAGTGAGACTCCATCTCAAAAACTAAAGAGGAAGAAAAAAAAAACCCTACACTGGGATGCCATTTGTCCACTCTCAGATTGGGGAAAAAAAAAGGGATACATAATACACAAGGAGGGGCTCTGGGGTAACAGGCCCTCCCCTACTCAGCTGGTGGGAGGGTGATACAACCACAACGGAGGGCACTGAGGGAGAGCTCTGAAAACTATGCATGCATAGGACCTTCCCCACCGGCTCCTCCTCTAAGAACGTATCCAACGATATACCCCAGCACAGAGGAGATGGCTTGTGGACAAGGAGGTTCACTGCAGCATTGCTCATGTAAGAAATCCTGGTGACAACCTAAATGTCTATCAAAAGGGGACTGCTACTAAGTACATGATGGTACATCCATTCTGTGGAACACTCTGTGGCCAAGAAAAAGCAGTGGAAGGCCGGGCTTGGTGGCTCACGCCTGTAATCCCAGCACTTTGGGAGGCCGAGGAGGGCGGATCACGAGGTCGGGAGATCGAGACCATCCTGGCTATCACGGTGAAACCCCGTCTCTATTAAGAATACAAAAACAAAATTAGCCGGGTGAGGTGGCAGGCGCCTGTAGTCCCAGCTACTCGGGAGGCTGAGGCAGGAGAATGGCGTGAACCCGGGAGGCGGAGCTTGCAGTGAGCCGAGATTGGGCCACTGCACTCCAGCCTGGGCGACAGAGTGAGACTATGTCTCAAAACAAAACAAAACAAAACAAAAAAACCAGTGGAGAAGTTCTTCCTGGCCTGACACAGAGCCACCTCCCAGTTATAACTAGTAGGTTAGGGAAGCATCTTCAAGAACTGTGAAGATGAAATTTTACCAGGCGTATATGCAAAAAAGTGTGCATGTGTCTGTGTGTCTCTGTGTGTGTGTGTGATCTGCTTTATTTGATTATGTAAGATAACCCTGGAAGGTCACTTAAGAAACTGATAGGCCAGGCGTGGTGGCTCATGCCTGTAATCCCAGCACTTTGCGAAGCTGAGGCAGGAGGATCACCTGAGGTCAGGAGTTCAAGACCAGCCTGGCCAACATGGCAAAACCCCACCTCTACTAAAAATACAAAACTTAGCGGGGTGTGGTGGCTCATGCCTGTAATCCCAGCTACTTGGGAGGCGGAGGTGGGAGAATCGCTTGAACCTGGGAGGCGGAGGTTGCAGTGAGCCAAGATCGTGCCACTGCACTCCAGCATGGGAGACAGAGCAAGACTCTATCTCAAAAAAGAAAAAAAAAAAAAAAAGAAACTGCTGATAATGCTTCTCATGGTAACTTGGTGGCCAAAAAAAAAAAAGAAGAAGAAGCAAAAAAGAAAAAAGAAAAAATCTGTATATATAAAAAGAAAAAGAAGCTGATAATGCTGCTTGCCTCCAAGGAGGGAAGAGGAATATCTGGGGTCAGAGGTGAGAGGGAGCCATTTTACTGTGTACCCTTTTGAAATGTGAACCTTGTGAACATGTGACTTAATCAAAAGTAAAATATAAAAATTTTAAAGGCTACTTAAAATTTTTGGTTTTGTTTTGTATTTTAAGGCCAGGCATGGTGGGCCATTTCTGTAATTCCAGCACTTTCGGAGGCCAAGGCAGGTGCACTGCTTTAGCCCAGGAGTTCAAGACCAGCCTGGGCAACATGGCAAGACCCTGTCTCTAAAAACAAACAAACAAAAATTAGCTAGATATAGTGGTGCACACTTGTAGTCCCAGCTACTTGGGTGGCTGAGGTGGGAGGATCACTTGAGCCTGGGAGGTCAAGCCTAATGTGAGTTGTGATTGTGCCACTGCACTCCAGCCTGGGCAACAGAGAGAGACTGTCTCAAAAAAAAAAAAATGTATTTTCAGTCCATAATACAGGTTAAATCCTTTCCTTTCCTGAATGAACAGTACCACTGGTTATCTAATAGTAAGGAGAGAAAGTGCCTCATTCCAGAATTCTAATTAACATACACAGGAGTGACTAAATGAGAAGCTCACAGTTTTGCAGCCTTTGATGAGTGGGTTGGATCTTGAAAAGAGAGACAGCTGGCATAGGGGCATCCTGCTGGAAGAACACATTCTACTTATGGAGTCTTGATCAAACAAAAAAGCAAGCAGAAGAACCTGAATCTGACCTAGCTTTAGATCCAACATCCAATTTACAGGAAATACATGGGATAAAGAAACATGTTAATTGACACCATAAGGATGCAACCAGCAAAATCCAGACCATGAGAATCTCCAAGGACAACTAGCCCAGTTTCCTGAACAAATAAGTTAAAAGGGACTTAAAAGACAAAGCAGGGGCCGGGCACAGTGGCTTGGGCCTGTAATCCCAGCACTTTGGGAGACCAAGGTAGGTGGATCACCTGAGGTCAAGACCAGCCTGGCCAACATGGTGAAGCCCCCATCTCTACTAAAAATACAAAAGTTAGCTGGGCGTGGTGGCGCACTCCTGTAATCCCAGCTACGCAGGGGGCTGAAGCCATAGGATTGCTGAACCCAGGAGGGAGAGGTTGTGGTGAGCCAAGATCGCGTCACTTCACTCCAGCCTGGGCAACAAAGCAAGACTCCATCTCAAAAAAAAAGAAAAAAAAGACAAAGCAAACATTTACGTTTTGTAAATGTCTATGGATCGAGATTCAAACAAATTGTAAAGAAAAAACTAAAGCAAGACTATCTGTGACTTTTTTTTTCGAGACAGAGTTTCACTCTGTCACCCAGGCTGGAGTGCAGTGGTGTTATCTCGGCTCACTGAAACCTCCGCCTCCTGGGTTCAGGCGAGTCTGGGGCCTCAGCCTCCCCAGTAGCTGGGATTACAGGCATGTGTCACCACACCTAGATAAGTTTTGTATTTTTAGTAGAGATAGGGGTCTCACCATGTTGGCCAGGCTGGTCTCGAACTCCTGACCTCAGGTGGTCCGCCCGCCTCGGCCTCCTGAAGTACTGGGATTATAGGCGTGAGCCACTGCACCTGGTCTATCTGTGACATTTATGAGACATATGGAAAATTTAGACACTGGCTATTTGATGATATTAACAAAAGATTATTAAACCAGGTGTGGTTGCTCATGCCTGTAATCCCAGCATTTTGGGAGGTCAAGGCAGGAGGATCACTTGGGCTCAGGAGTTCAAGACCAGCCTGGGCAACAAAGTGAGACCTCGACTCTACAAGAAATAAAAAAATCAGCAAGCCTGGTGGCATGCACCTGTAGTCCCAGCTGCACAGGATCTGAGGTAGGAGGATTGCTTGAGACGAGGAGGCTGAGGCTGTAGTGAGCCATAAAGAAAAGAAAAGATTACTAACTAAAATGTTTTTAACGCACTAAATGAAATACCTTGGCCTCCTGCCTTGGGGCTCTCTCCGCAGCCTCCCTGACGCTACTGTTGAGCTGACTGCTCACACGGATCAGGCAGGCCCAAGCTCCCCCGCTGAGGCAGGCTCTCCTTTCCCTGTACCAGCTCTTCATTGCAACCCCCCTGGCTGCCATGGGCTCCCACCTCCATGCCTTTGCTCATGCCTTGCTCCTGCTTGGAGCGCCTGCTGCTCTGCTTCAACCCTACCCATCCCTTGAGGCTCTGTGCAAATTCCATCTCCACAAAGTGGTTTTTCTGACCTCCCCACCCCTCCCATCCTTCTGAGCCTCGAGGACATTCCCTCTGTTCCACGTACATATCACTGACCACTCGCTTCCTCAGTCTAGAATTTTATTTTACTTTTTTTGGATGGAGTTCTGCTCTTGTTGCCCAGGCCAGAGTACAATGGCGAGATCTCGGCTCACCGCAACCTCTGCCTCCCAGGTTCAAGCAATTCTCCTGCCTCAGCCTCCCGAGTAGCTGGGATTACAGGCATGCACCACTATGCCCGGCTAATTTTGTATTTTTAGTAGAGACAGGGTTTCTCCATGTTGAGGCTGGTCTTGAACTCCTAACCTCAGGTGATCCACCCGCCTCGGCCTCCTCAAGTGCTGGGATTACAGGCGTGAGCCACCGTGCCCAGCCTAGAATTTTGGGGATCTACATCTTTTCATCACAAGAGGCTGTGAGGTCCTTGGTAGCAAAGCTGAATATTCTAGTGGATTAAAATCAGGAACTTCAGCCTGGCGCTGTGGCTCATGCCTATAATCCCAGCACTTTGGGAGGCTGAGGCTGGCTGATTGCTTGAGCTCAGGAGTTCGAGACCATCCTGGGCAACATGGTGAAACCCCGTCTCTACTAAAATACAAAAAAAAAAAAAAATTAGCTGGGTGTGGCGGCATGTGCCTGTTATCCCAGCAACTCAGGAGGCTGAGGCAGGAGAATTGCTTGAACCCAGGAGGTGAAGGTTGCAGTGATCCAAGATCGTGCCACCTCACTCCAGCCTGGTGACAGAGCAAGACTCCGTCTGAGAAAAAAAAAAATCAGGAACTTCAAACTCTGACTCAGCCACTTATGTACTACTGTGTGACCTCAGGAAGATCACTCAACCTCTCTGCGCCACAATGTCCTCATCTGTAATATGTGAATGAACACAGTTCCTACCTCACAGGGAAGCTATGAATATTAGTTGAAATGAAATATACAATGAGCCTAGCCCAGAGTAAACATCTAATAAATGCTGACTGCCACGACTGTGGTAATGGTTATTACAAGTTGCCTCTGTGTCCTCACCGGCCCTTGTGCACAGTAAGTGCGTTGAGTTGAACTGAAATTCAACTGAGTTCAGTTGGACATAAAGAGCAGGGCTGGCTCTCAGCTGCTGCCCCGTCCCCGGCCAGGCCTCACCTCTCAGTGAACATCTTCACCTCGCTGACCAGCCGCCGGAACCCCACCACCTGCCTCCAGAGGAGGAGCAGGCGACTGTGCTCGTTGCTGAAGTAGGCGTTGAAGGACTGGAGGGAAGACATGCCGAGGGAAGGGTTGGTGTGAGAGCGGGTTTACTCCCTCCCACTGCTTCCCTCATCTCCGACCATGCTGGGAGGCACCGTCGTTCAGGGATTGGGTCTTCCTGTGGGTCTGTGCACAGAGCTGTGTTGCAGCGGCCATGCTCAGCCTCCCAAGCCTCATGGCTCCCTCCTGCACAGGGACCTGGGTTTCAAGTCCTCTTTTGGCTGCAAGAGGCAGCAACGAAGGGCAAAAATGCAAGGGACCTAGCTTTGCATCCCAGCTGCCAGTTGCATGACTGTGGGCAGGTTACTTAAACTCTCTTTATTTATTTACTTATTTGGAGACAGAGTCTTGCTTTGTTGCCCAGGATGGAGTGCAGTGGCACGATCTCTCAGCCTCCCAAAGTGCTGGGATTACAGGCGTGAGCCACTGCGACCGGCCTTAACCTCTCTTTAAAATGAGGAGAATGATAGCACCTACCACATGCAATTATCATGAGGAATAAAGGTCAACGCACACCGTGCACGTGGTACATGCTACACACTGATAAAGACCAGCTATTGTGATGACGGCTATTTACTTCTGCTAACAGGCTCCCTTGGAGAGTGCTCCCTCGGACAGTGCTCCCTCTCCCTCTCCAGGCTTCTGAGTCCTCCCTCCTCTGCAGTGCCCCTTCCTCTTGGGTCAGGCTGGCCTCCCTGCACCCCCATGCCCACCTCCTCCTCGCGCCTCCACGCCGCCTCCCGGTGCTCCAGCTCCTTGCGGCAGCGTGTCCAGTCATTGGTCACCTTTCGTATGTCCTCACTCAGAGCCTGGTTGGCCGAGCCTGCCTGGTCCAGCTGTTCTCGGAGCATGGCATTCACCTGGGCCAGGCTGGCACTCCTGAATGGGGCACAGGGGATCAGTAGGCGCTCGCGCAGGGGGCCATCCTGCCAGCCCTGGCCCTCCCTGCTGCGCCCTCACCTCTGCTGCTCCTCCTCCAGCCGGATGAGGGCGCTTTCCAGGTCTTGGCTGTGCTCTGTGTCCTGGGTGGGAGAGAGGTTAAAGCATCAGGTTGGGCAGGTGGAGGGCAGGGCCTGCCCCTGCCCCACACTGGCACCCACCCTCAGCCGCTGCTGCTCCAGCTCTCCGGATCTCTCCAGCAGCTGCTGCTCCAGCTCCGAGCACCTCTTCTTGTACTGGAGAATCTGGGGATGGGGAGCTGATGGTGAGCCCCAGGGGTTGGGGCGGGGCAAAGTGAACAGGTGGGAGGACAGGAGCAGGAGTGGGTGGTCCTGACCTTGCCCTGCAGCCGCTGCACAAGCTGGGCCTGCCGCTGCTGGCCCTCCTGGTAGGCCTGCAGCTTGCGCCGGTAGGAGGCCTGCTCCTCCTGCAGCTGCCTCCGCAACTCCACGCTCTGCCGTACCAGCCCCCTGGGCTCCTGCGTCTCCAGCTCCCCAGGCTCCAGCCGCAGAGCCTGCTCCAGCTGCAGGGAAGGGCCCTGGGTGAGAGTTCTGGGCCTCCTGGGAAGGCAGGCTCAGGCTTCTGTAGGGCGTGGCAGGCTGGGCCCAGACCCACAATGCCTTGTAGGCTGATAGCCTGGCGCCCTGGGGAGCAGCACATGTGGGCAAGCCCAGGGGCAGTGCACGTGTGTATGGGGTGATGCAGCCATGCACGGGCACGCAGACGGGGCATGTATGGACACATGCAGGTGAGCCCACAAACCCAAACCACGCAGGCAAAGCTCAAAGGTGCACCTGGGTCAACCTCAGGGGCCTCAGTACACCATGCGCCTCTCCTCCAGAACACTTAGCCCTGTCGTGGTTTCTGTTTATTACATTGATGCCTGTGTCTTCCCACCATGCCCCGACCCCAATGTGAGCTCAGAAAGCCTGGATTTTTTGTTCCTCATTGTATCTTAGTGCTAGAATGGTGGCTGTGGAATGGCATGGCTCACGCTCAGTAAATATTTGTTGCGATAGTGAATTAATGGGATGAGCTCATGGGAATACATTCAAAACAGAGGTGTCAATCCGCCTATGCATATCTGACCTTAAAGATATGCACACACATAACACATACAGGCAACCTCAAACATTCCCGGAGGACACGAAGGAACCCCCTCATATACACAGCATTAAGATTTGTAAGAGGTGCACACAGATGTTGCCCTATACGGCGCCTGCATATTAATGCCCCATTCTGGCTGGGTGCAGTGGCTCATGCCTGTGATCCCAGCACTTTTGGAGGTCAAGGCGGGTAGATCACTTGAAGTCAGGGGTTCAACACCAGCCTGGCTAACGTGATGAAACCCCGTCTCTACTAAAAATACAAAAATTAGCTGGGCATGGTGTCATGCACCTGTAATCCCAGTTACTCAAGAGGCTGAGGCAGGAGAATCACTTGAACCTGGGAGGCGGAGGTTGCAGTGAGCCGAGATCGTGCCACTGCACTCCAGCCTGGGCGACAGAGCAAGACTCCATCTTTATTTATTTATTTTTTATTTTATTTTATTTATTTATTTTTTTGAGACAGAGTCTTGCACTGTCTCCTGGGCTGGGGTGCAATGGCTCGATCTCGGATCACTGCAACCTCCACCTCCCGGGTTCAAATGATTCTCCTGCCTCACTCTCCCAAGTAGCTGCGACTACAGGTGCACGCCACCACACCTGGCTAATTTTTTGTATTTTTAGTAGAGATGGGGTTTCACTATGTTGGCCAGGCTGGTCTCGAACTCCTGACCTCGTAATCCACCCGCCTCGGCCTCCCAAAGTGCTGGGATTACAGGTGTGAGCCACAGCATCCGGCCCAAGACTCCATCTTAAAAAAAAAAAGGTCCCCTCCATCCTCACTGCAGGAAAGCCTCTGTTGCTGCTGCCCTTCCTCCACCCCCAGGAAGCTTCCATCCCCCGCATCCTCAGACCCCTGTGGGCTCTGGCTGTCCCTACCAGCCATAGAACCCTCTCAACTCCCTTAAGGCACCTGCTGGCCCCAGGTGGCCCCTCATCTTCCCCAGCTGTTGGGGGAAGGGAGGTGAGGGAGGAGCAGGGCAGTGGGAGAGCACACAGTGGGTCAAGGGCACCTGGCAGCGACAACACCCCAGCCCAGCTTACTCTGATGCTAGCCCTGCACTCACCATCTGCATCCTCAGGACCTGGCCTGCTATAGCCCAGGCAGGGCATTCAAAAGCCCACCCGTGCAGGGCCACGCCAGCCACAGGAAGCCAACAGGAGGGCAGCTGCTCTCACCCACGCTCATCTCGGGTCTTGGGTCCAGGCCAGGTTAGCGGTAGGGAAGGTGCCCTCCAGGCCTGCATTGACCCCATATGCTGAGAGATGTTCTATGAGCCACAGACAAAGCAAGGACATCTCTACCCACCCCACCCCCGGGACACGTGCATGGCAGCCCCACCAATAGGGAGGAGCTAACTGTGACTACTTGGGGGCTTCCCCCTGAGTCTGGAGGAACACAGTCCAAGGCTGTGCAGGGGAGGTGGAAGTAGGGGGTTTCTGCCTGGATGGCGGCTGCAGGCCTGTCAAGCGTCTGTGCCAAGCCCACTGAGGTCAATGGTGAGCGGTGTCCACATCTGTGTGTGGTGGCGGTGGCCTGAGGCAGCCACACAGGCTGTGCACTGATGTTGGTGGCTCTCACTAGGTGCGAGTGGGGTGTATTTTGTCATCTGTCTCCACGCAGGACACTGTGTGTGTAGTGTGTGGGTGCTGAGTTCACGTCGACTGTTTGGTGCATCTGAGCCTTCCCGTGAACGGCTAAGGCGGCATCTGTGGCTGAAGGTCTATGTTGTGGCGCGGGTGTTGGGCCTGGCTGTGTGTATCAGGGTATATGTCTGTGTGTCGGTGAGGCAAGTGTACAACCGCATGTGGGTGGGTCTGGGGGGTGTGCCTGGGCTCCCTGGTATGTGTGATACACACTTTGTGCATCTGGGCATACCTTTGTGGGCCGATTGGTGGCTGTGTTGAACTGTATGCTTTTCCTGTCCGTGTGCACCCATGAGGTGGGAGATAGCGTGCTGTGTCATCTGCATATGGTTGTTATAGGTCCCCGGTGGTGGGGGGACTGTTCTGTGCCTGTGTGGGGTTGTGTGGCATCTGGCTGTGTGTGCGGCTAACACTGTGCATATTCTGTGAATTGGAGTGTTTCTGTGTGGCCTGGTTTTAGGGTCTCACTATGTTGTTTGTGGAATGTTTTGTGCATCTGTGTGTCTGTGTGGGGCCCAGTGTAGCCCATGTCGTGTACACACTGCATATCTGTGTGAAGCAGGTGCTGTTTGCCTCTGGGACACAGAGGGGTTCAGGCCGTTGCTGGGTTCTCCTCCCCCTTCTCCAGTGCTCAGAACCAGAGCCAGGGCCCTCTCGGCCACACCTCACCCCTTTCCACAAACTTCACCGTGAGCAAAACAGCCTTTCAATTTTACTTGCAATTCAAAAGGGAAGGAGGCTGCCACTAAGCCAGAGATGAAAGAAGTTGACTGTCTCCCCTAGCAACTGCTGCCCTCAGACCGCCATTCAATTTACTCTTTCCAGGTTGCTATGGACACGAGGGAGCCCAGGGGGTCTGTCCTCTGGAGCCAAGGGAGGCGTGACCACTCCCTCCTTTCCATTCCCAGCTGCGCCTACATCTGCTTCTCAGGGACAGCAAGAAGGGGGGACCCCCATGGGGGCCCTGAGGTCCTCTCTCTCGGCTGGGAGGTGGCCTCTGGGAGTGCCTCAGTTTCCCTGCAGGACATGCAGTTAACAGGACACAGACCTGACCCTCCCTCCGCTCCCCATGCCAGGGGTGCTGCAGGGTTGGAAAGATCAGAACAATCTCGCTGACTGCCCACCAACCCAGCCCAACATGCCAGTGAGGGCCACAGGGGCAGGCACTGCCACCTGTGGCCATGGGGACAAGGGGGTGGCAGGGAAAGAGAATGTTGCCCAACTGCAGAGCCCTGGACCAAGGGTCTCATCCCAGGACCACCACTGACCTTGGGCCTATCATGCCCCTCTCCCGGACTTACTTTCCCTATCTGTGATGAGGTGATCTCTAGGCTCTGAAGTTCTCTGGGGACCCACCCTCCAGGAAAGGCCTTTGAGGTCATTCCTGTTCCACCCCTGCCTCCAGGTGGGGCCTCATTCAAACCATGGTGGATAGAGGACAACTGAAGCAGCGGGCGCCCTCTGCGTGCCATTTGGGCCCCCACTAACCACAGGAGGGAGCTTTCTAGACTAACCCAGACCCCCTGTGCTGCAGTCCCAGCCCCAGCAGCTGTGTCCCAGCAGAGGAGGAACCTGCTACCTCCCACCTCTTCCCTTCCCTGCCAACCTGGGGGCAGGGCTAGCTTCAGAAGGTGGCATTTAAGAGGCGGCCCTGGGGGTGTGGCACTGTGCCATGCATGGACCAAAAGAAAGGGGTGCCTGGCTCAGGGCCCCATCACCACCCACAATTCATGACTGGGGCCAGCGTGCCCTACACACCCGCTGCAGACCCTGGGGAAACGAGCTCTCCACTGTCCTCATGCCAGGGGCCACTGCGGGCCGCCTACTCTGCTCCTCTACAAGTCCCAACTAGTCGTGGGTTTGTCCAGCCAGGCAAATCCCAGGACACGGGCACACCCCACAGTCATACACAGGAACACACACCCTCCTGCCAATGCGGGCTCCAGCCTGGACAAGTCCAGCTCAGGGGTCCCATGCCAACCCTAGCTCTGCCACTACCACACAGGGGACCCTGGGCCAGCCCCTGCCTCTCTGGGTCCCTTCCAACTTTGTGGGGGCCAGCTGTGCCCTGAAATCCCTAGCCCAGTGTCTCTTCCCATACACAGGAAATGAAACTTCAGAACTTTGTTTCTAGACTGGGTTAGTTTAGAAACCAAACAGAGCCCTGGGCTGGGAGTTGGAAGACCTGGTGTCTAACTTTAACTGGCTGTGTGCCCCCAGCATGGTGCTTCCCCTCCCTGAGCCTCTGTTTTCTCCTCTGTTACATGGGCATCATAATGGTCCCGACCTTGGTGTATTAAATGTGAAACACTCAGCACGCGCCTGGCACATAGTAGGCACTCAATAAACAGTAGCTACTGTTAATACGTTATTGCCACCTGCATGCCTCTCATCTGCACACATACACTCTGTCCCAGCTGCGAGTGTCCCTTACCAATCTTCAGCCACCACCAACTTCCCAGGGCCACCTCCCGGCCACCCGGAGGCCCAAAGCAGACAGTGCATCAAGAGCATCCCGCACCCCTCGCACCGGCTCACACCCAGCTCCCGCCCCACACCCTGGGACCCCCACAAGCCTGCAGCACGGGTGATGTGAATCCTGCCTGGACATGAAGACAGGCCTGCTTCTCCTTCCTTCCCTGCCTGGAACTCATTCCAATAGGCAGTGGCGGCAGGTCTTGTGGCTGCCCCAGATGGGCTGCAGAACACCGCGGGTGCCCACACCAGCCTCGAGCCAGCATCCAGCCACCGCCTCAACCCCAAGGCCCGTGGCAATGGGAGATGCCCAGAAACTCAAGGGGCAGGAATCTTTAGGGATCTCATTCTCCGTGTCCCACACCCCTAACAGGCCTGGGACAGATGGGAACAAAATACCCCTGGTGCCAGGCACTTTATTCTATTATCTCCTTGATTCCTACAATTCCACGTCCCATTACAATCCCCACTACAGAAAACAGGCTTAAAGAGCATAGTGATTTGCTCAACGCCACTCAAGGTGGCAGAGCCTCAATCCAAGCCCAGGCCAACCTGACTCCAGGGCCCATCTTTTGCCCTGTGTGTGGGCCTGGTCTAGATGCCTCCCTGCCCTTGAACGAGGGGAACCCTGGCCTAGTCCACCGCCTGGGCGGCACCCACCCTCTCGCTGACCGCATTGTACTTAATGGCGAGCTCATCGCGCTCGGCACGGCTCTGGGCCAGCAGGTCCTCCACGCGGGACAGCTCCTGCTGCAGCAGCTGGTTCTCCTCCTGCAGCGACAGCAGCGATGCCATCTCCGTGGCCGGCAGCAGGACTGGCAAGGGACAGTGGGCACATGGTTGGCTTCTGGGTCCAGTGGGACATCCTCCCCGCAACAGGGAGGGCAAGAAAACCATCCAGGCCCCTGGGAGGAGTCCAGATGGGAATGGCTGCAGCACCAGGCCTGCAAACAGAGCTGAGAACAGGGAGGAAGGCAAGGAGGGGATACAAAGCTGGACGTAAAGTGAACACAACTCCAGCTAAAGTGTGGCCCAGCAGGTTTGGGAGGTGCAGGAGAGACGCTCAGTCTAGGAGCCAGGAGACCCCTGAGTTCTTGCTCCCTCCTTTTCCAATTAGTCTTCTTCTCCGGGGCCTCAGATTTACTTATCTGTAATATGGGTGGGGCGGGCACGGACTCACGCCTGTAATCCCAGCACTTTGGGAGTCGAGATAGGAGGATCACCTGAGGTCAGGAGTTTGAGACTAGCCTGGCCAACACGGTGAAGCCCTGTCTCTACTAAAAATACAAAAATTAGCTGGGCATGGTGGTGTATGCCTGTAGTACCAGCTACTTGGGAGGCTGAGACAGCAGAATCACTTGAACCGGGGAGGTGGAGGTTGCAGTGAGCTGAGATTGCGCCACTGCACTCCAGCCTGGGCAACACAGCGAGACTCTGTCTCAAAAAAAAAAAAAAAAAAAAAAAAAAAAGGTAGAATCGTAGTAACCAGATCCTCCCAGAAAAGCATCAAAGCCTCGCTCAAGAGAAGGGCTTCATGGAACTTTAAAGGCTAGGGCTCAGGAGAGCATAGCATAGGTCAGGTTGTGAGGAGAAGGAGAAAGAGAGAAGAGGGAAAGAAAGGCCAGCGGGAGAAGCGGGGTTGTCCACCTCCTGTGGGTTCCCCTTCTACCCTGGGAGAACTGGACATACACCCCAGGTGTCAGGGTGAGGGCCCTCTGAGTCTCTCCCTGTCTGGGGCTCCAGGGCACCAACATCCCTGGCGCTCCCAAGGAGGGGGCCCGTCTGTAGCTTGGGAGTTGAACACAGACAATGGTTAGAGCACCAAAACGCCACACGCCAGCACACCAGCTGCAACTGAGTGTGCCTTTCCCAGATCCTCAAGCCACATAACTACACCGTGTGCGCCACCCACTGAGAGGAGCAGGGACCATCCGCCTTCCTGCCCACGTGGGAAACGGATGGATGGCGCCATCCACTCAGACTTCCGCAAAACCCTGGTCTGAGCTGAGCTGCCCTCTTCCTGTATCTTGGGTTCAGCCAGCTCACACCTTCCCCGGGTGGGAATACGGGATTTGGGGTTCACATCTCTGCAGCAGGCTACAGGCAAGCACGCAGGAGATGCTCGGCCCTTCCTTCTAGTTGCACCACATGCGGAATAAGTCTGGACAAATTACATCCCTGAGCCTCTGTTTCCTCATCTGTAAAATGGGTTCTTCTGTCATAAAGCTGTGCCTGCCCCACAGCGAGTTACAGTCATGATCATCATGGTGACTGCTCAGGAAAGGGACATGAGAAGAGGTAAAATGTGGGTGGTGTTTGTGGAGGGGAGCGGATGGGGGTGGCACCTGGGCTCTCAGGCTGGGAGAGGTTGCGGGTGACAATCTCCCTGATAAGGGCAGGCAGGCTGGTGATCTGAGCGTCCTGGGCCAGGTCCCGCGCGCCCAAGCCTTTCTCCTGGCACAGGACGCTGCTCTCCAGTGTCTGTGGGAAAAGCGAGAGGTTCTTCAGGGAACATGGGACCCGGGGCTCCCTGGCCTCGTGGGGAGAGCCACAGAATCCTACTGCCCAAGATACAGGTCCCCAGGAGCCCCCTCAAGATGGAGTGAAGCCTGGGAGTTAGAATCCAAAAAATCCCCATGCAAAGAGCCTCTTGTGTGCTCACTGCCCCAGGAAGAAGGCCCAGGGCCAGAGATGAGAACCAAACCCTACGGGTAACTCCCAAACCCCACTGGAGGCAGTCCAGTGTTGGGGGCTCCAATCCGGTTCCGACCCTAGATGGATGAGGATCTGGCTATGCCAGAGGTCCCCCAAGCCCTAAAATCTGGCAGTAGAGACCCCCTTCTCCCAACCCAGGGCACTGGGATGAGGGAGCCACAGCAGGTGCACCCTGTGTGTACCTCTGCCCCCCATCTTGCCAGGAACTGCAAGCGGGGGGCCCCTGTATACCCCACCACCACCACACCTCTCCCACCCCTTGATCCCCAAGACGCACACACCTCTCACCACTCCTGTTAAGTCCACGCTGCCCCGCCCCAGACAGGGTGGGCACAGCCCCCAGGACCCACCTGGATAACCGTCTCTAGTGTCAGCTCCACCTCCTGTGCCCCCGCCAGCCCCAAGCTCATGGGGGGGAGGCTGTGGGCATGCCTCCAGCCCCCTTCTCCAGGACCCCAAGACTAGCTCAGTCAGCACGCGCCACAGCCAGGATGCTGTGCTGAGCACCAGGCAGATTAAGCTTAAATCCGGCGGCGCCCCCATGTGACCACCGCGGTGGGAGGAGCAGGATGTGGGCTGAGGAGGGAGGGGATGGGAAAGGACAGGAGAGGAGGGAAGCAGAGGCAGGGAGCCAAAGGAAGAGGAAGGATGAAGAGAGGGGAGGAGAAGGGAGAGAAAAGGAGGGAGGAGAGAGAAGAGGGAATGGGAGGAGGAAACAGGGGAGACACCTGGAGGTCAGGACCTCACACACTCTTCACCCTGCGCAGGTTGCTGGGTCCTAGAGCCCTCCAAGCCCAGGGGGTGGGGTCAGTAGCCATGCGGCGGGAAAGGCCAGAGTCCTAAGTATTTGTGACCATCTTTCTGGCCCAGAACGGGAGTCACATGGTTAGCTAAGAATGAGAGGATTTACAGCATGCTGGGAGTATGTTTTCCCACAACAGGTGTAGGGCAAAGAATGCAGGCTGTGAGATCACCCAGGCCAGGCTTGGCACTTAGTTGGGCATGAGCGGTCCAGCCTGGACTGATGAGCATTTATGCAACACCTGCGGCATTCCTAGGTCTGACCTAGACACAGTGGTAGAGCCTCGAACTACAAATGCCCTAGCCTTGCCCTTCAGGCACTTATTGGGAAGCTTCTGGCCCCTTCACACCCACCCCAGCCCCCACTAGCTGGGTGCACCAGGGACACTGACTTTGCCTCTCTGAGACTCAGTGTCCTCTTACGTAAGATGTGATAATATTGGTACTCATCTCTCGGAGCCGTCCGGGGATGAAACAGTATCGTGTGTGCATACCCAGCACATGACATGGTGCTGGGGGGTCACGTGGTCAACACTCAAGAAATACTCATTTCATTCATTTGAAAATCCAGAAGGTACAGTCCCAGCCAGGCGCAGGCACTCATGCCTGTAATCTCGGCATTTTGGGAGGACAAAGCGGGTGGATCACCTGAGGTCAGGAGTTCAAGATCAGCCTGACCAATATGGTGAAACCCCGTCTCTACCAAAAATACAAAAATTAGCCGGGTGTGGTGGTGCACACCTGTAATCCCAGCTACTTGGGAGGCTGAGGCAGGAGAATCGATTGAACTCAGGAGGCAGAGGTTGCAGTGAGCCAAGATCGCGCCATTGCACTCCAGCCTGGGCAACAAGAGTGGAACTTTGTCTCAAAAAAAAAAAAAAAAAGGCACAGTCCCTATATCCCAGGGCCCTGAGACCCAGAGGTCACCCACCACCTCCCATTGTTCTTTCCCTGGGGCAAGGAGGCTATGTGCTCTAGTGCTTAGGCGCACAGCTCTGGAGTCAGTATCAGGTCTGAGGTTGCATGTGAGACTCAGCTCTGTCACTTGCAACTATGGTGTTCAAGACAGTAAGACCTTGAACAGGTTACCTCCCTGAGCCTCAGTTTTCTCATCTCTAAAAGGAGACTAAACCAGGCCAGGTGCAGTGGCTCAAGCCTCTAATTCCAGCACTTTGGGAGGCTGAGGCGGGCAGATCACTTGAGGTCAGGAGTTTGAGACCAGCCTGGCCAACATAGTGAAACCCCATCTCTACTAAAAATACAAGAATTGGCCTGTAATCCCAGCACTTTGGGATGCTGAGGCAGGCGGATCAGGAGGTCAAGAGATTAAGACCATCCTGGCCTACATGGTGAAACCCCGTCTCTATTAAAAATACAAAAATTAGCTAGGCATGGTGGTGCACACCTGTAGTCCCAGCTACCTGGGAGGCTGAGTCAGGAGAATCGCTTGAACCTGGGAGGCAGAGGTTGCAGTGAGCCGAGATCATGCCACTGCACTCCAGCCTGGCGACACAGTAAGACTCCGTCTCAAAAATATAAATAAATAAATAAATAAATATAAAAAAAATTAGCTGGGGCGTGGTGGCATGTGCATATAATCCTAGCTACTCAGGAGGCTGAGGCAGGGGAATCACTTGAACCCAGGAGGAGGAGGTTGCAGTGAGCCGAGATTGTGCCACAGCACTCCAGCCTGGGTGACAGGGCAAGAGTCTGTCTCAAAAAAATAAAATAAAATAAAATGAGACTAGACCGAGTGTGGTGATTCAGGTCTATAATCCCAGCACTTTGGGAGGCCAAAATGGGAGAATCGCTTGAGCCCAGGAGTTTGAGACCAGCCTGGGCAACATAGCGAGACTCTGTCCTACCAAAAACAACAAAAAAATGCGACTGATAGTACCTACCACACCTGGCAGGTGGTGAGCTATTAGCCAATGGGGGCCACTGTTCCTATTGTCATTAGCATCATGTGTCTGGGCTCCTGCCCTTAGAGTTGTAAGCCCTAAAAAAGGACAGGAATTGCTCACTCGAGGAGCTCGGCTTTTAAGACACAAGTCTCCTGAAGTTCCCAGCCGAATAAAGTTCCTTCCTTCTTTAACCTGGTGACTGAAGAGTTTTGCCTGCGGCTTGTCCTGCTACACTGCTATGCCTCAGCCCTCCGTCCCTGGGTGCCCTCTGCTCCATGCTGTGCCCCAAAGGGGGCATATTCACATTATCTCATTAAATCCTTACTTCAACCTATTTCCAGATGAGAAAACTGAGGCTCAGAGACATTGGGCTCTCACCTATTCAAGGCGACATGCTTCAGGGAAGTGGTGAGCCCAAAGCTCATTCCACTTAGACCAGCAGCCTCCCAATGAGTGACTGAAGGGCAAGGCCGAGGCATTTGCGCTTTGAGGCTCTACTTCTGTATCCAGGTCAGACCCAGAATGCCACGGTGCTGTATAAATGCTCATCAGTCCAGGCTGGACCGCTCACGCCCAACTAAGGAAACTGCCCTGCAAATGGAAAACCAAGAAACAGGTCTGAAAAGATAAATGTTGCCAAGTTGCAATGGCAAGCAAGCCAGATTTGGGCAAAACTAAACCAGCTACTGGCCAGGTGCAGTGGCTCGTGCCTGTAATCCCAACACTGGGATGCCGAGGCAGGTCGATCACTTGAGGTCAGGAATTCTAGACCAGCCTGGCCAACGTGGTGAAACCCCGTCTCTACTAAAAATACAGAAATTAGCTGGGCATGGTGGTGGGTGCCTGTAGTCCCAGCTACTCGGGAGGCTGAGGCACAAGAATCACTTGAAACTGGGAGGCAGAGGTTGCAGTGAGCTGAGATCGCACCACTGTACTCCAGCCTGGGTGACAGAGAGAGACTCTGTCTCAAAAAAAAAAAAAACAAAAAACTAAACCGGCCAGCAGATAGAGCTGCCACTACAAACCCCAGGGACGCCCACTCTTCTACCTCTAGGCAGCCTCCAAAAAATCCCCTCTACAGGCTGCACACCTGCCCACCAGAACAGGGGGGAAGCCACAAATACCCCTGGACCAGCATGTCCAGCCCTGCATGCCCAGCTCAGCAGAGGGGGCCCCAGATGTCCTTGAGGGACTGAACTGGATTATTCTGTGCCTTCTCCTGACCACGGCCCTAAGGGTTGGAGGAAGGGGACAGGATGTCAGCCCCTGGCACCAGGTGACACTCACCCTTGGCTCCATCCCCAAAGTTCTCCCCCAGAGTCCTGCTGGGTTCTGTGGGTCCCAGGAAGTCATATCTGAACCTCGTGTATGTGTCCACTGCTTCCACCCAATTCTCCAAAAAAAAAAAAGACTGAATTCCTCTTAGAAATCTGGATGCTAACAGCTTCAGCATCTGGCCACCTGGACTCCAATCTTGGCTCACCAGCCCCTCACCAGCTGTGTGACCCTGCACCAGTGTCTTCACTTCTCTGAGCTTCAGTTTCCTCATCTGCAAAATGGGATAATAATGGTGCCTGTTTCTAGCATGAGCATTAAATAAAATACTCCGTGCTAAGCTATATGCCTGGATATGGTGTGGCAGAAACTGCAATGTGCTCACCACAAAGCATTTCCGATTCCTCTTAGGAATATGGCTAAAAGCCATTTCCCAGACTCCCTTGCAGTCAGATACGGCCATGTGGTCAAGTTCTGGTCCATAGAATTAAGACAGAAAAACAGCGTGCCACTTTAGGCTTGGTCCATAAAATTATTTCTCTCCTTCCTGGTCCATCAGCTAGAAGGAAATAACTCCAAGGTCCTAGGGGATGCCGCAACCACAAGACAGAAGGGATCTCGGTCCCTGGGTCGCCACATAGAAAGCCACCTGCCAAACACCCAACAGGGCTTTTCATGAATGAGAAATAAACTTCTATTGCGCTAAGCCTCTGAGAATTCAGGGTTTCACTATCACATTAGCTAGTGTTACCTTAATTACTACCTGCAGTTCAACAGCGGGTAAGTGTTGGCTATTACTACTGTTATCATTACTATCATGAGTATTATTGGCTCTTTCTAGTCCCCAAGCTAGAACCCTGTGCCTTGTTCTAGATGCTGAGACATTATTTGGTGACCAAATACAGAGGAGACACCCTTTGTACCCTTCCCTCCCCACTACCACCCTCCAAACTTGCCTTTTGCCAGGGCTAGCGGCAGGAACTAGCCAAAAAGCCCCTCAAAGATTACTCGTTTCAAACATAGCAGCTGCTCTTATCCGCTTACCCCTTCGTTATCCTCCTGCTGCTGACTAGAAATTATGACAAAAATATTGAACCAACCACGAGCCAGGCCCTGTGCCCAAAACGTTACATCTGTCCCTTACCTGCTTTAACACTCCTGGCACCACCCTACTCACTTTACAGATGACAGCGTGAAGTCTCAGCGAAGTTAAATAATTGGCTCCAATGCACCCAGCCACAAAAAGCTCAAGTCACAGCCGCGACCTAGGTGTGCCTGATTCCAAAGGGTTTTTGTTTTTTGTTTTGTTTTGTTTTTGAGATGGAGTCTGGCTCTGTCACCCAGTCTGGAGTGCAATGGCACGATCTCGGCTCACTGCAACCTCCGCCTCCTGGGCTCAAGCAATTCTCCTGCCTCAGCCTCCTGAGTAGCTGGGATTACAGGTATGCGCCACCGCGCCCAGCTTATTTTTGTATTTTTAGTAGAGACAGGGTTTCACCATGTTGGCCAGGCTGGTCTCAAACTCCTGACCTCAAGTGATCTACCCGCCTCGGCCTCTCAAAGTGCTGGGATTATAGGCATGAGCCACTGCACCCAGCCCAGAGTTTTAAATAATAACAGCAAGCCGGGTGCACTGACTCACACCTGTGATCCCAACACTTTGGGAGGCCAAGGTAGGAGGACTGCCTGAGCCCAGGCGTTTGAGACCAGCCCTGGCAACACAGTGAGACTCCATCTCTGCCAAAAAAATAAAAAAAATTGGCCTGGCATGGTGGCATGCACCTCCTGTAGTCCCAGTTCCTTGAGAGGCTGAGGCAGGAGGATTGCTTGAGCCTGGAAGGTTGAGGCTGCAACGAGCCGTGGTTGTGTCACTGCACTGTAGCCTGGGTGACAGAGCAAGACCCTGTCTCAAATAAACAAAAACAGTAACAGCAATGACTTCCATCCTGCAGCGCCTGCTGTGTACCTGGCACCACCCCAGGACGCCGATGTGTATTATATAAGCCACTGCCTGGACTGCTGAGATGGCTCCCCGAGGGTCTCTATGCTTCCCTGCTCATCCCCTCACCCACTCAAGTTTCACACAGTAAAGGTCATACCCCTCCCCTACCCAAGGCCCTCTACTAGCCCTTACCACACCTAAAATGAAGTTCAAAGTCCTTCCATGGCCCACAGGGCCCACCAGATCTGGCCCCACTGCACTTTTCCCACCTCATCTCCTCTCTCCCCTTCTCTCATGGCCTTTTTTTTTTTTTTTTTTTTTTTTTTTTTTTTTTTTTTGAGGCAGAGTCTTGATCTGTTGCCCAGGCCTGAGCTGGAGTGCAGTGGTGCACAATCTCAGCTCACTGCAACCTCCACCTCCTGGGTTCAAGCAATTCTCCTACCTCAGCCTCCCGAGTAGCTGGGATTACAGGCATGCACCACCACGCCCAGCTAATTTTTGTATTAGTAGAGATGAGGTTTCACTGTATTGGCCAGGCTGGTCTTAAACTCCTGACCTCAAGTGATCCACCCACCTTAGCCTCCCAAAGTGCTGGAATTACAGGCATGAGCCACCACACCTGGCTGCTCATGGCCTTCTTGATTCCTCAAACACCAGGCAGGCACCCACCTCTGGGCCTTTGCACTGCCACTTTCTCTGCCTGGGACGCACTTCCCCCTTCTTTTGCACAGCTGACTCCCGCTTGTCGGCCAGATTTTGGCTCAAAAATATCACTTTCTGAGGGAGCTACCCCGACTCTCAGCTAAAGAGGTCCCTCCAGTGGCTGTTCCATTTTCTCCAACATGTATGTTGTCTGTCTCCTTTTTTTTTTTTTCTTTGAGACAAGGTCTTGCTCTGTTTTCCAGGCTGGAGTGCAGTGGCAAAATCATGGCTCACTGCAGCGTTGACCTCCTGGGCTTAAGGGATCCTCCCACCTCAGCCTCCTGAGTAGCTGGGACCACAGGTGCGTGCCACCACGTCTGGCTGATTTTTTACTTGTTGTAGAGATGAGATGTTGCCCAGGCTAGTCTCCAACTCCTGGGCTCAAGCGGTCCTCCCACCTCAGCCTCCCAAAGTGCCAGGTTGGCTTAGCTCACTGTCACTTCCACAGTGCATGGGCTAAGGCCAAAGCTCCATGAAGAGCTGCTGAATGAATTAATGAATGCTAAGAGCCAAGTAATAACATAGGATGTTAAATGGAAAAAGAAATGATTCCCCTTGGCTCTGGCTGGGGTCATGTTGGGCCACAGATGGTGTCAGCCACAGACGGGGATCACGGAAGGACACCAGCGAACACATATCCAGCCAGCATCTGCCGCATCCCAGAAGATCAGGGTGAAAACCAGGCAGTGACCCCCACAGGGGCCACTTGGGTGGAAAGGGCTGAAAGACTGGGGAGGGGAGGGTTAAGTCAGGGAAATGTGCGCGGGTGGGGAGCCTCCGAGATCCAGGGGTTGACTCCTGGAGTCTTGCCTGAACCTCGCTGTCGTCTGCTCCCGCCACAAGATCTGTTTATTAAGCACCTGCTGTGAGCCCAGCGAAAGAAAACAGAAATCTCTGTTTTCTGGCGTAAACAGACAGATGGCACCCTGAAGTCCTCCTCCCCAGGGTCCCCATTCCCCAGTCAATCGTCTTCCCGAGGGAGCTGTGACCTGGTCACCAGAGGGGCAGACATCCGCCCCAGCATGGTCGTTAGGCTTAAGTCTGTGCAAAAATCAGGAGGGAGCTCGTTAAAAAGCCCACTCCAGAGACGCTGCCGGGCACAGAGGCCTGAGGCCGCATGGTGAGAGGCGCAAGGGGTGCAGGGCCCCATCCCCGCACAGCATCCGGCGGCCCTGCCTCCGTGGCCAGCCCAACTATGCGCTCTGGGCCTCAGTTTCCCCATCCGCACAATGGAGATGCTTCCGACTCGGCAGGGCTGCAATGAAGACGAAACCGGATCCCACACGAGGAGGGCAGTGCAGGGCGGGGCCCGCACGCAGGAGCTGCAGAGGGCATCTGCGGGGGGCAGAGGCCGTCGCGAGGGCCTCCCACGGCCGCCCGCGGAGCGAGGGGACCCCGGCCGGCGGAGGGACGGCTGCGCCCTGCAGGCCCCAGTCTCCTGTCGTGCCCCTGGCCCGCGACAATCCGGGCAGGATGGGCGGCAGGACGCGGCGGGGCATCCGTGGAGCCTGTTGGGAACGCTCTCCTGGCCTCCGGTGCCGGGCCGCGGCAGTCGCGGAACACACAGCGCCCCCAGCCCCGGTACGTGGCTCCAGCCCGCCCCCAGGCGCGCGGCCTCCTCCGCCGGGAGCGCGTCCGTCCCGCCCCCGCGCACGCGCGCGCCCCCGGCCACCTACCTTCGCGCGCCTTCGCCGCAGCCGCTGCTGCCGAGGCCGAGCGGGCCGGACCGGGCGCGGCGTCCCCGCCACGGGGCGGGGAAAACTGGGGGCGGAGCCTGCGCTGCGCGGTAGTGGGGCGGAGGCTGGGGCGGGGCCGGGCGCCGGGAGCAGCGCTTCTGCAGCGCTTACAGGGGCCGCCCTGGGCGGACACGCTCCGTGCGCCCTCCCTCTTGCCGCCTGGCACCGCCCGGCCAGCCAGGCGCCTCCTACACGCACGAACGAGGATACCAGGCGAACGAAGCACGACCCCCAAGTCCTCGCAGTTGCAAGGCCGCAGCGCAGGATCGAAACCCCGACCCGGCTGCAGAGTCCCCCTGCGGTCTGGCCGGGCCTTAAAGGCCTGAAACTCCTGAGCACTGACCCATCGCCCAGCCAGACAGAGGGACGTTTCATGCCAGCCCCGTCACAGCCCCCAGCGACGATCCCGAGGCTTCGGTGATTTGACCTGTCGGAGAGAATGCTTTTTTTTTTCCTGACTGACGTGCAGCCCTGGGGAAGGCACTCTGGCCTCAGTTTGTTCGCGAGACTCAACCCGGTGGCGCGCCTGTCTCGTGTCCTTTCCACTGTGACAGTATGTTCGTTCCACCCTCTCACTGGACTTGGACCTCCTTCTGTTACTGAAGGCATTGGATGAAATCATGCTTTTTTTTTTTTTTGAGGGAGTCTTGCTCTATTGCCCAGGCTGGAGTGCAGTGGCATGATCTTGGCTAAACGCAACCTCTGCCTCAGCCTCCTGAGTAGCTTGGACTACAGGCGCCCGCCGCCACGCTCGGCTAATTTTTGTATTTTCAGTAGAGACGGGGTTTCACCATATTGGCCAGGCTGGTCTCAAACTGCTGACCTCGCGATCCACCCGCCTCAGCTTCCCAAAGTACTGGGAGTACAGGCGTGAGCCACTGCACCCGGGCGAGATCATTCATTTTCAAAGGGAGAGGCAGCTCTGAATCTCCAGGGCTAAGAGAGGGATGTGTTTGGTTTGAAAAAGCATGTTTAAGTTAATGATTTTGTGCTTTTTCCAAACACAGTACCCAGAGAGAACGGCCAGCAGGCCCTCGGCTGATGGTTGCTTCTGTGTTTCCTGCGTGGTAGGAGGGAAGCAGTGGAAGTTCCATCTTCGTCAAAGAGGAACCTGTCTGTGACATCTGAAACACTGCACTAAAGGCTGCCAGTGTGCCCTTCGGGCTCTGAAACCCGGCCCGGTGCAAGCAAGACTGTGGCCTGGACCAGGGCTGAGAGCTGTTTGTCAGGAGAGATTCGGGCCATTCCCTGGGATTTGGGGTGGAAGGGTGATGTTACCAAGACTGGAAGGAAGGTCACAGTTTCCCTGAGGTGTCCCTGGCCCAACTGCAGGAGGGCTGACTGACATCTGCCAGTATGCACAGCCAGTCCCTGGATGCCCAGCATGGCCCAGGTCTGTGTGACCCTGTCTGGAGTCCCCAGACTTGCTATGTCCCTACCCAGGCCCTGGTGGGCTCATGACCTCACTAGTCCAGTTCTGATGCTGCCTGTCCCTGTGAAGCCCACTCCAGTGTTCATATCACCAGGGCTGGGCTCAGGCCTGTGTCCTTGCCACTCCCTCCAGGGCACCTTGGGTCTCCCTTGGTGACAGTACCTGCACCCTGCAGGCAGCCTGCGCTGGCTGTGAACCACACTGCCGCCTACTTCCTCTTCTATGTTCCCGCTCTGTCTACAGTCCCCTCTGAACACTCCCGTGAAGCAGGTTCTAGGATCATCTCCATTTTATAGAAGGGGAGATTGAGGATCAGAGACATGTAGTCACTTGCCCAAGGACACACAGCAGGAAGTTCAATGGCTTCCAATCCCATGCTCTTTCCTCTCTACCATGCTGCTTCACTTGAGGTTTTTAACAGGGGGTGGCAAACACAGCTCCTCTCCTCTTGACCCTCTCACTCCCAAAGCCCACAGGACCCTGCCGCAGGGTGGCACATACTCATCTCCTTGGGGGGTCCTCCAGCTCCCTTCTCTGTGAAGAGCCTAGGTTCCTTGCTGTGCTGAGTCCTTGGCTCTGCTCAGCTCAGCCTGACCGGGCTGCGGTCATTTGAATCCCCAGTGCTGCCACCCACCGGTCACCCTGTCCTGTCACCAGGTGGTGACTGGCCCAGTGACCCCCAGGACCACTCACCAGAAAAGAATCATGCCAGGTGCTCACCTGCTCACTGCAGAGGGCTCTAAATCTGCAACTCAGGTAACAGGGAAACAAGTAACTGATTGGAGTTACCACCCTCAGGTTGCTAAGGCCAAGTGCCTGCCAAATCCAGCGGCTCGGCTGGGGTGGACTCTGCCCACCATCAGCAAAACCACATTCACCAGGAGGCTTAGAGGACAGTGCTCTGGTTAACTGGATTTGCTGGGCATCTGAAGGCTAACTTGCAGAGTCTATCATGCCAGACTTTAATAGCAAAAAGTTAGAAAGACCTAAACGTTCAGCAGTAGGGGACTTGTATAATAAACCATGGGTTATTCATATAATGGGATACTATGATATCATTCCAAATGTTATAGAAGAACATTCAATGACTAGAGAGATGGTTACGATATATTAAGTGAAAAGTTCAGAAGAGTAATACAGGGATAAGCCCATATTGTAAAAATAATAATGATTTCTTTCTTTTTTTTTTTTTTTTTTTTTTTGCTCTTGTCACCCAGGCTGGAGTACAATGGCACGATCTCGGCTCACTGCAACCTCTGCCTCCTGGGTTCAAGCAATTCTCTTGTCTCAGCCTCCCAAGTAGCTGGGATTACAGGCGCCCGCCACCACGCCTAGCTAATTTTTGTATTTTTAGTAGAGATGGGGTTTCACCATGTTGGCCAGGCTGGTCTGGAACTCCTGACTTCAAGTGATCCACCCATCTCGGCCTCCTGAAGTGCTGGGATTACAGGCATGAGCCACCAGCCCAATAATTCACTCCCAACACAATAATTTTTTAAAAAACATTTTGTAGGCCGGGTGCGGTGGCTCACAGAATACTACATTTGTAGACATTTTGGTGCCTTAATGTCAGCAAGGGTTGCACAAGTTTTGATAAGCATGTATTCCAGAGATGTATAGAAATTCTAGTTACTGGCCGGGCACGGTGGCTCACGCCTGTAATCCCAGCACTTTGGGAGGGCGAGTTGGGTGGATCACGAGGTCAGGAGTTCAGGACCAGCCTGGCCAAGATGGTGAAACCCCGTTTCTACTAAAAATACAAAAATTAGCCGGGTGTGGTGGCGGGCACCTGTAATTCCAGCTACTCGGGAGGCTGAGGCAGAGAATTGCTTGAACCCGGGAGATGGAGGTAGCAGTGAGCCGAGATTGCGCCACTGCACTCCAGCCTGGGCAACAGAGTGAGACTCCGTCTCAAACAAACAAACAAACAAACAACAACAAAAAAAAACCCCAGAAATTCTAGTTAGTTATAAATTTTTGGGAAAGAAGCCTGGAACTAGATTCTTGCTTTAAATAATAAGGAAGTCTAATTGCCTCTAAATTCCCCAGATAAAGACTTTTGCCTCTCGATGGTCTGCTTTGCAGCCACCAGGTGATTTTTGCTTGCCTCCGTGACCTTTTAAGTGTACGATTTTTTTTTTTTTTTGAGATGAGTCTCGCTCTGTTGCCCAGGCTGGAGTGCAGTGGCATGACCTCAGCTCACTGCAACCTCCCCTCCTAGGGTTCTAGCAATTCTCCTACGTCAGCCTCCTGAGTACTTGGGATTACAGGCACCCACCACCATGCCTGGCTAATTGTTTTGTATTTTTAGTAGAGACGGGGTTTCACCATGTTGGCCAGGCTGGTCTTGAACTCCTGACCTCAGGTGATCAACCCGCCTTGGCCTCCCCAAGTGGTAGGACTACAGGCGTGAGCCACCATGCCCAGCCCTAGGGGTGGGCTTTTTTTTTGAGACAGGGTTTCACTGTCGCCCAGGCTGGAGTGCATGGAGAGCAGTTGTTCCAGCATAATGATTACATGGTTTTTATATCATTCCATTTTCTTTCCTTTGTTGGCTTATTAGCTATAACTCTTTCTTTCTTCTGGTCTACCGCTCCCCGACTTCTTTCCCTGCTTTTGCCTTTTCAGTGAGGGCTTCAGGGTTTCCTGAATACACCTTTATCAGTGCCATCTAGTGGCATTATACCTCCTCTTCTGGCCATTATGCTAGTGTTGTCATGTAACTTGATTTCAGACATGTTATAAATCCCAGAATCCATTATTATTGCTTTTTTAATTATTAAAAAAAGATTTAAATCATAAATAATTTAAAATAAATAAATTATTAAAAAAGATTTAAATAATAAGAACATATATATTTAACTATGTACATACCGATTTGCAGTAGTCTCCATTTCTTTGTGTAGATCCAGATTTCTGTCTGGTATCCTTATCTTTAGGCCTGGAGGACTCCTTTTGCATTTCTTGTAGTGTGGGTTGCTGAATTCTTTCATTTTTTATATGTCTTTAAATGTCCTTATTTCAGTCATATTCTTGAAAGATTTTTCACTTTGACATAGAATTCTAGGAAAACTTTATTTCTTTCAGTACTTTAGGATGTTGCCACTTTGTTTTTGTAAAACTGGCTGAAAGTGGGCTTCCTGTACTTGTTATATAATTTTGGGAATGTGTATTTAAATTAAAAACATTAAAATGGGCTGGATGAGGTGGTGCATGCCTGTAGTCCCAGCACTTTGGGATGGGGAGATAGGAGGATCGCTTGAGGCCCAGAGTTGGAGACCAATATGGGCAAGATTGCAAGACTCTGTCTCTCATATATATATGAGAGACATATATATATGTGTATATATATATATGTGTGTGTGTATATATATGTATATATATATGTATATGTATACACACACACACACACATACATACATACATCGTGAATGTCTTAGATTCATCTTAAGTTCCACCGACAGTGAACTTAAAGTAAAATGTGCCCAACCTGAGGGTCAAACCTACCTGCTGACATGTAATTTGTGTTTATGAGACATTCTCAACAGCATTTGCTTTCCCTAGCATAGTGGTTTTCATGTTTTCCTCACACCTGAGTGTCTTAAGTGCAAAACCTGTCAGAAATCATTTCCTTTGCCAAAAGATACTTTTTTTTTTTTGATATCAGTTCACTGCAACTTCCCCTTCCCATGTTCACAGGTTTCTCTTGCCTCAGCCTCTCGAGTAGCTGGGACTACAGGCCGGTGCCAACATACCTGGCTAATTTTTGTATTTTTCGTAGAGACAGAGTTTCGCCATGTTGGCCAGGCTGGTCTCGAACTCCTGACCTCAAGTAAAATGCCCACCTCTGCCTCCCAAACTGTTGGGATTACAGGTGTAAGCCACCGTGCCCGGCCTGAAATACTCTTACTTTAAGGAAAAGTGCATTAAAAACAAACTTCTCAGTTGCATCTCTGGAATCCATAGAAAGCCAGGGAGAGACAATCAAGTGCTACAGGATCAAGTGCTAAATAGGGGAGGACAAAGCATGGCTTCCTAACTAGGAGTCAGGGCAAAGTTACCTGCTTTGGTTTCCAATGGAGACCGGAACCCGGTTCACCTGCAACAGGAGGACGCGGCCCAGAGGAGGCGGACTTTCTCTTCATGGTGCCTTCAGATAGGAAATCTCCTAGGATTTCTTTCTTTCCCTTTGATCTACTTCCAACGCTCCCTTTCTGTTTCTTCAGATGTTTTTTGGATCCCTAATGCGCAGGACCTAAGGGGCTGGTGCCTTTCCCTACCCTCCCTGCCTGGGTGTCTTCAGCACCCAAGCTCACCCAGAACATTACTGCCTGCCAGAGACAGTGAGGGGACCAAGGAGAGTGGCAGGTGCAGTGGGAACCACAGAGTCACCGTGTACCTGTGCTTTGTAGGCTCCTAGCAAATTGAATAAACGCCCCCTGAAGCTTCTCTGCAGGTCACAGGGAAGGGGAGGGTTGTTGCCCACCCAGTGGGAGAAGCGTCAAGAAGCATCAGGAGTATCTGGCCCTACCCCTGTGCCTGGAAGACAGACCTGGCTAGGCTGATTTTAATGGTTAGGCCCAAGGAAAAGTCCCAAGGGCGCCCCAAACCCCGACCCTGAGATTAAGGCTTTCAAATGTCTGATCGTTTTGATGTTGGTCAGTAGAATCCATCCCACCTTTATCAGGAGACTCCTTTGCCAAAATTCAGAGATCTGGGATTCCTGCTGGTTGCCACAGAGAAAGCCAATCACCGAGATGATTATTGCCAAGGAAGGCGCTTTAATAGGGTGCTGCAGTGGGGGAGATGAGAACTCAGTCTCAAATCCATCTCCCTGACCAACAAAACCAGAGGTTTATATGGCAGGGAAGAAATGTAACAATGTGTAAGAAAACAGGAACTAGGGAGGAGCAAGGAAGCAATCATGATGAATGAGGGGTCCCAGCATCTCATTGTCTGGATGAATTTCAGTTCTTTGTTGGCTTTTTTGAGAGGCCTGAAGGTTGTTTCCTGAGGAAGGAACTCAGACGAAACAAATATTAAGTTTCAAGCTTTAAGACCAGCAGGGTCAATTTCTAGGTTTATCCAAAAAAGCTACATATGGGACTACTGGGTGGTTTTCAGACCAAGAAAGAAAAAGACTGTGCAGACCAAAGTCTGCAGTTAACCAAAGAAAAAACATAATTTTCTGACCAATAGGATGTATGGGGCCAGAGAATGACCAGCCTATAGAAGAACTGTTTTTTGTCCTGAGCATAGGGGAAGGATGAAGTTGCACCAACTAAGGTGGAATTAAGCTGCAGATGGGGAAAAATCTGGATTTTGGTTCAGAGCCCTGGGGTCTTCCTCAAAAGTCTCTTTCCTTGAAAGAGGAACCCTGTCTCGGTTTCTGCATCTCTCTGAGTCCTTTTGGAGGTTGAGGATGCTGAGGTCTTGGTGCTTGGCCCCCTCTAACCCTGAGTACTTCCCCTCCTGCGGGGCAACCTGGCCCAGTACCCAGGCCCCAGCTCTGGCGACCATTTCCCCCTACTTTGCTCCTAGCAAAGGCCATTTCTAGGTCAGTCGTGAGGTACAGGAAGAACGGGGCAACTTCTTCTGAGATTTTTGGCCCTGGAAGGCCTTGAGCCCTGTGGTCCTGCAGAACTGCTGTCTCCCTCTTTTGGAGAAAGCAGGGAGGAAATGACCTGTGTGGGGGGAATTGTGAGCTGCACCTGCACAGAGGAGCTGAGGCAAGCAGGGCAGTTCTGGTCTGTCAATGTAAAGGACATTTGTCATTCAAGAGGTTGGGCTGTTATTATTAATTTTGAATTTTGTCAATACAAACTGAAGGGAAATTTGTCTTCTTACTTGTAGGAACCTCACAAGACCACCCATCTTATATTCCAGGGAGAATTGCTGCGTATTACACAAACTCATAGGTGAGACTGCCGTTCTGACCTGCAGGCCTGGATGCCCTGCACAGGGGCACAGAGCACTGGCAAAGCCCTTCCCATACAAACAGCAAGCATGTTATGTCTACAACCCAACGACACCAGTTCCAAGTACAATTTCTACTTGGCTGTATGAGCTGAGTACACGTTCCCCCCAGCACAGAAATCCTGCAAACTCCCATGAATGCTATAGTGAAAAGCAGGGGCTGGCCAGGTGTGATGGATCACACCTGTAATCCCAGGACTTTAGAAGGCCAAGGCAGGGCGGATTATTTGAGTCCAGGAGTTGGAGACCAACCTGGGCAACATGGTGAAACTTCAACTCTTAAAAAACAAAACAACCACCACCACAACAAAACCAAGAACAGAAATTAGCTGGCTGTGGTGACTCGTGCCTCTGCTACTCCAGAGGCTGAGGTGGGAGGATCGCTTAAACCAAGATGCTACCAGATAGAGTGAGACTCTGTCTCGGGGAAAAAGACAAACAAAATAAGTCTGTGTAAGAGGTGACTCTGGGGACAGTGGAAAAACACTAAGGTTTTCAAGTGGTGGTAAAAGCCAGTAGGCCTTGGGGACCATTGAGCAGTCTACAAAGCAGGGAAGCCTAGATCCCTGAGCTCCGCCTGCCAAGTACCACCACAGCTAACATGAGAGACCTCCGCCACAGAGACTGAAATTTGCCTCCCAAGGAAACAAGTGACTACAGACATCTGTCCCAGGACAGTAAACAAGGTCTCACAAAAACAGCTGACCACACCATAAAATCACTGAGACCGAGCCTGCGACTATAGGCGAAAAAAAAAAAGGCTATTATTCATACCGTGAAAGACCAGGGGAAAGTGCAGACACAGTCCCCTACTACTGTTGT
This sequence comes from Homo sapiens, assembly GCF_000001405.40. NCBI lineage: Eukaryota > Metazoa > Chordata > Mammalia > Primates > Hominidae > Homo > Homo sapiens. The sequence continues at coordinate 482,306 of NW_025791756.1, forward strand.
GGGAATCAGGAGAACAGAGAGACCAATGGGTGGAACAGGAGGATTTATTGAGTGCACTCAGGCCCGGAGGATTAAAATCCAAAGGCTGAGCCCCGAACAAAGACAGGGTTTGACTTTTATACACACTTCAAAAAGGGGGTTGGCTAGTTTGAATGGCATGGTGGGACTATGATGGCACCAAACTCGCGGGGCAGGCAAGAGGGCTTACAGAAGCAGAACAAAGGCAGCTAGTCAAACTGTGACAGGTCTCACGAGGCAAGAATAACTGGTGACCTTGCAGCTGCACTGAAGGGAAATCAAGAACTTAACAAAACTTGAATAGTGAGAAATGGTAAAGGGAAAAGAGAAGGTAATAAAAGCATTTGCTGTTTCTTGCTCTTATCCTTCCTAGGGACAACAGACTGTTAAGAGAGTCTCCAGAACTCATTTCTCAGCGATGTGGTTTTTCAGATAGCGTTACCAAGGATCCGCTAAGGAACTATCTGTTCCTGACCTTGCAGCCAAGCAAGTACAGGAAAATACTTTTTCTTTTTAATTTCTACCTTATTACTACAAGTTACAAAACAGATTTCCACGTTAGAAAAAATAAGAGACAACAGCATAGCTGCCGAATGCATGGTCCTCAGCCTTACAGTAAACCACTTCGATAACCATAACATGTGCTCTACATACCACATATGTAAACTTCCGCCCCGCCACAGCTCCATACGCCTCACCCTTTACACGCACGGTCACTTGCCCCGAGCACCACCCCAGCCAATCCCCAATCACCCTGAGCCCTCCTAGCCCTAACACACAGCTAGGACGCTCACGTCCAGCCAGCGGTCCCGGACTTGCTCCTACAGCACGGGAAATCCTTCATGGCGAAGCAGCAGCCCCTGCGCTGCCTCATCTACATAGAAACGCCCTATCGGTGATGTCACCAACAGTGCCTTTCCCAGTCCCCTTCTGTTCTTCCGCCCCACCCTCCTCCACTCAGCCCACCAACCCGGTGCCGCAGCCGGCGAGGGAAGTGACGTCCGCCTGTCCCTCCTTTCTGTCTCGCCCTTGTCTTTTGGGGAGGTGCGCCGAGACCCTGCATCTAGTCTCCCCCGAAGAAGTGATTACTTAACCTGTGTCCTGCGGAGGACCCTTCTGGCGGGCAGCTGGAAGCCTGTGCACCCGTCTTCAAATAATGGCTTTTAATAGCAGACTGGAACGTTTCGGATTACAAAGCAAACCGGACCCTTTCAAACCTGGTTATCTTTGTGAAGTAGCATTCCACTTAAAATTGGGAGCCCTTTAATAACAGAGAGAAATCATGTCTATGAAACTAGAGAAGCTGCTCAGATAACTGCAAACCAGCCATCCTTACTGGTTTTACGAGTAGTAGTGTTATAAAGAAAGTTGTCCAGTTTTATGAGTCTTGTAGGTTTGTTTTTTTGTTTTTCAAATACAGTAGTGTACAAAAAGGAAGCAGAATGTGGTTGCTGTCTCAATGTAATGCCTCGCTGGGCCTGAGAATTTGAAAATAAAAAAGTTCTCTTCTTTCCTCATTCTCCCTTTAGATGAAAAGTCTTTCTTGGCCGGGCGCGGTGGCTGACGCTTGTAAGCCCAGCACTTTGGGAGGCTGAGGCGGGCCGATCACGAGGTCAGGAGATCGAGACCACGGTGAAACCCCGTCTCTACTAAAAATAAAAAAAAAAAATTAGCCTGGCGTGGTGGCGGGCGCCTGTAGTCTCAGCTACTCGCAGAGGCTGAGGCAGGAGAATGGCGTGAACCCGGGAGGCGGAGCTTGCAGTGAGCTGAGATCGCCCACTGCACTCCAGCCTGGGCGACAGAGCGAGACTCCGCTTAAAAAAAAAAAAAGTATTTCTTGAAAGCATTGTCGATCAAAAGCTGTGTCCCTCTTTGCCAGAATGGCTCATTCCCAGATAGTCCTGTCCCACACGGGGGTCAGGGGAGGAAAGGAGACCTCTCACTGAGGAATTTTTAACAGCGTCCAAAAGCTGAACTGGTGTGGCATCACAACATGGAAAAAAAAAAAGAGAGAGAGAGAGAGAGAGATATCTCGGCCAATTCTATAGTTGCTGTCACTTGTTGAATCATCTGTAGTTTTCAGAGTACCATGAATTTAGTTTCTCAAAAGAAGTAAAACAAAGAGAAATACATAACATTAATAATTTGAGTAGTAGAAATACAATGCATACAAGAATGATCATCACAAAGAGAATCTGTATCCTGGAACAGTAAGGGAACCAGGGAACTGGGATTTGATGTTTCAGCCAACTGAAAACATCAGGGAAAACATCAAACCCCATTTCTTCTTTAGTGATTTCTTGCAGCCAAGTGGCTTCTTTTCTGATTTTTTCTAGAGAAGGTTCTACTACATGGGAAATATATATGCATATGCAACAAAAGGTATTTGCCACCACACATCTCCCTGCTCAGCTAAATGTATCACCTAAAGTGATGTGATTATCTAGTACAACCTTAGCCAGTGACTAAATACCTTTTTATAGAGCTGCAAAAGAGGCCGCAGTTTCATCAGCAATATTTTTCTTTCTTTTTCTTTTTCTTTCAGAGACAGTGTCTGGCTCTGTGGCTCAGGCTGGAGTGCAGTGGAGCCATCGTAGCTCACTGCAGCCTCAAACTCTTTGGCTTAAGTGATTCTCCTGCCTCAGCCCCTGAGTCACTGGGATTACAGGCCAGAGCCACCATGCCTGGTTTTCATCAGCAATGTTTCCTGAGGTTACAAAAAGATTTGTAATCCTGGGAGGAAACACTCCCTTGAAGCAAGTGTTCTCCCCAAAAAAATGCAAGGAGCTATCTTCTTGATAGCCAGGCAGATAATTCTCAGGTTTTGCCCCACAGAATCTCTATCTAAAATAGAGCAGTGGTCATGCCTAGTGAAAAGTTTGAGGGAACTCGCCCACTGTTGGGTTTCTTCAGAGCCATATATATAGATATAACCAAATATCCTAAAAGACACTGCCCTTCATCATTCCATGCCGTTAGACATTTACAGGACCATGGATGGTGATCTCCTCCAGACAAAAATAAATGCTGGTGCAGAACAGGTAAGTGTATTATAATTTGAGTACATCAGCTTTTGGGCATTTTAAACCATGGGTCAGACATGTTAGAGCAAGAGGGCAGGTTGATAGCAAGAGGGAGTGTTTTTCTTTTAATTTTCCAATAGCAAAGTGATGTTTGCCACTGTCATTTCAGAGTGAGGTGACAATTTGTTGTTGTTTGGTTTTGTGGGTTTTTTGTTTGTTTGTTTTTGAGACAAGGTCTCACTGTCACCCAGGCTGGAGTGCAGTGGCATGATCAGGGTTTACTTCTGCTTTGACCTCATGAATTCAAGCAAACCTCCTTACTAATCCTCCCGAGTAGCTGGGACTACAGGCACGTGCCCCCACACCCTGGGGTGTGAACTGGGATTTGATGTTTTCAGTTGGCTCTCTAATGGAATAGGTTCCCTTACTCTTCTAGAATCAGATTGTCTTCATGATTATCATTCTTGTGTGCATTATACTTCTACTACGCTGCTCATTTTTTCTTTTTTTTTTTTAATTTTTATTTTTGAGACAGTCTTGCTCTGTCACCCAGGCTGTATTGCACTGGCAGGATCTTAGCTCACTGCAACCTCTGCCTCCTGGGTTCAAGCGATTCTTTTCCTTCAGCCTCCTGAGTAGCCACCTGGCTGATTTTTGTATTTTTAGTAGAGACAGGGTTTCACCATGTTGGCAGGCTGGTCTCGAACTCCTGACCTCGAGTGATCCACCCGCCTTGGCCTCCCATAGTGCTGGGATTAAAGACATGAGCTACCACACCTGGCTCTCAAACCATTTTAATTAAGCAAAGACAGATTTGTCTGGCTTTTTAGTACAATGCTGAATTATCCTCCAATCTATATTTTTAGGAAGGACCTGGGGAGTGGCAACATGGAGATATTTGGTGAAAATGTGAACCTTTCATGTTCTGCTTCAGTCCCTTTTTGAAAATCCTTCCAATTTGCCTTTGCAACCAGTTAGTGGCCTTGCCTTCTTCACCAGCATGTGAATTGATTGATAAAGGTCAGAATATTTGGGCTCAAAGGTTTCAACAGTTAAGTCAAATTTTCTGCCAAAGCCTATAGAATCTCGGAGCCTGCTTTAGAAACAGAAGAGTGAAATGTATTTAAGTTTAGATCAGGGAAGTCCTTTATAATATTCTTAATTCACATTTTGGTGAAGTGGTATACACAACGGTAGGTTCCCCTCTTCCTGTGGGTTTGGGTTTTACCTTTAAAGGGGCTGTCAGAACAGAAGTTTTGGGGAAGTGGCCAGAGCCCTGGGGACTTTCCCCAGGTGGTGGTGATGGAAGAAGAGGCAAGGCAGGACAGGAAGGCTCAGGTAAGAAAGACTATGCAGGTGCAGGGGCAGGAGGAGAAGGAGCAGCTGGAGGTGAAAGAGACAAAGCCTCCTCAATATTTCTCAATTCAGAAAACATGACAGTTTACCTCCTTCAGCTTACTTCCTCAATGGAGGCAATTTTCTCAGTTTTTTTAGAAATTTTAGAAATTTAGAAATTTCTAGGTCTCACTGGAAGTAATCTCCCATTTAATTTGTCTGGTTCTAAAACCAAATTTCTCTGTTTTTATTTTTATTTTTTTGAGACAAGGTCTCACTATGTCACCCAGACTGGAGTGCAGTGGTGTGATCTCGGCTTACTGCACTCACCGCTTGCTGCATGACAGCCAATAAGTCCAGGGATAAGGTGTAGGGGCAGGGAAGGTGACTTTATTCCAGAGAGCCACCAAACTGAACAGATGGTGAACTAACATCCTAAAGAACCATCTTAAATTAATATGATTTTCAGGCTCCTTGTACGTTAGGGAAGGGAGGAAGAAGGAGGCGGTTGAGGTGAAGAGGTCTGACAATGACAGACATGGGCTGCAGGGGGAGCCCAAGGGGATGGTGAAAATTCTTTGTCCTTTGTCAGGTCACACTGCTCTTATAAATCTTCAACAACCTGCCTATCTTCTCAGGAGTTAGTTTGGGGAAGGGATTATTATCATCTGTGCTTTAAAGTTAAACTGTAAGCTAAATCCCTCCCATAGATAGCTTGGCCTATGCGCAGAAAGAAGAAAAAGCAGTTAGCCTGAAAGACGTCAACACAGGGTAGGAAGGGTTAGGAGCAAAATGCAGTCAGTCATGCTAGGCCTCCTTTTCATTGCCATATATTTAATTTACTTGAACACATAATTTTAATTTTTTATACTTTATTTTTATTTATTTATTTATTTTTTGAGACAGAATCTCACTTTGTTGCCCCCCCAGGCTGGAGTGCAATGTCGCGATCTTGGCTCAGTGAAACCTCTGCTTCCCGGGTTCAAGCAATTCTCCTGACTCAGCCTTCTGAGTAGCTGGGATTACAGGAGCCCCCCACCATACCCGGCTAATTTTTGTATTTTTAGTAGAGACAGGGTTTCACCTTGTTTGCCAGGCTGGTCTTGAACTCCTGACCTCAGGCTCCCAAAGTGCTGGGATTACAGGTGTGAGCCACCATGCCCAGCCTAACCAAGATTATTAAACCATTCTAATTTGTCAAAAGAGAGACACTGACTTTTAAAAAATAACATAATAGACCAGGTGCAGCGGCTCACGCCTGTAACCCCAGCACTTTGGGAAGCCGTAGCAGGTGAATCACGAGGTCAGGAGTTCGAGACCAGCCTGACCAACATGGTGAAACCCCGTGTCTACTAAAAATACAAAAATTAGCTGGGTGGGGTGGCGCACGTCTGTAATTCCAGCTACTCAGGAGGCTGAGGCAGGAGAATTGCTTGAACCCGGGAGGCAGAGGTTGCAGTGAGCCGAGATTGTACCACTGCACTCTAGCTTAGGCAACAGAGTGAGACTATGTCTCAAAATAAATAAATAAATAAATAAGTAAATAAATATAATAATGTAATGAACTTTTTCATGTCTTTATATATTAAATATTACATTATTTAAATTGTCCAAAAGCATCAAAAATTCCTCTCTGCTATCAACTTCATTTCATTTATTTTATTGTACCAAACTATCAAGACCATTAATTTAATCTACAGCTAAATCTATTATTTTTTCATGTTAGAAATTCAACCAGAAAATTTTTCCCTAATGAAACCTCACATTTCAAGCATAAGGAGCCTGGGCGAGGTGGCTCACACCTGTAATCCCAGCACTTTGGGAGTCCGAGACAGGTGCATCACTTGAGGTCAGGAGTTTGAGACTAGCCTGGCAAACATGATGAAACCCTGTCTCTACTAAAAACATAAAAATTAGCTGGATGTGGTGGCGTGTGCCTGTAATCCCAGCTACTCTGGAGGCTGAGGCAGGGAAATAGCTTCAACCTGGAAGGCAGAGCTTGCAGTGAGCTGAGATGGCACCACTGCACTCTAGCCTGGGCTACAGAGCAAGACTCTGTCTCAAAAATAAATAAATAAATAAGCATAAGTAGTAAAAATAAAATAAAAAATAAGACACAGGGTCTTGCTGTGTTATCCAGGCTAGAGTGCAGCAGGGCAATCATAGCTGACTAACTTGGAACTTCTGGGCTCAGGCAATCCTCCTGGCTCAGCTTGCCTTGTATTTTTTTTAGAGATGAGGTCTTGCCCTGTTGCCCAGGCTGGTCTCCAACCGCTGGCCTAAAGCAATCTTTCCACCTCAGCCTGTCGAGTTGCTGGGAGTACAGGTGCAAGACATGCAGCCTAGCATTGTAGTAAAACAATTTTCAACAAATTCTATATTTTCTTTTCTTTTTTTTTTTTGAGTTGGGAGTCTCACTCTGTCACCCAGGCTGGAGGGCAGTGGCACAATCATAGTTCACTGGAGCCTGCCTCAGTCTCCCTAGTAGCTGAGATTACAGTCATGCATTATCATGCCCTGCCAACTTTAAAAAATTAGCTAATACTTAAAAATTTGTAGAGACAGGAGTTTCACTATGTTGCCCAGGCTGGTCTCCAACTCTTTAAGTGCTGGGATTGTAGATATGAGCCACCATTCCTGGCTTAATTTTCTTATTTTAATTTTATATAAGTGATTATTATTGTTCCTAAGATAATTGAGGCAGTGACTCCTTTAACATTTTAGAGACCTAATCTGTCTAGTCCCTTCACTGAAAGAGTACGCCAACTTGTTTCATGAGAAAATATCCTATATTTATAAAGCAGGAAAATTCCTTTCACTAAACTAGGGGGCATTCTAAAGAAATGAATTGTGCTAAGTAACATCACTTAAAGTGAAAACAGAGGCAATGGTATCTATTAACAATGTTTATCAGTGAAGGAAATAAACTGAAAATATGAGTATCATTAGATCCTTGGAGGGCCTTCATTGCTGAAAATCTGAGTAATATTGTGGTACCCTTTTGAGTCCTGCAGGGCATTCTCTTTCCAGGGCATGTAACAGTGGGTGAATAATTTCTTTTCATTCATTTCCATTAAGGGCTGAACTTCCTTAATGTTCTGGAGATTACTAAATTTGATTTATATAGTTGTGAAAAGTGCTCATATTGCTGATTCCATTGCTTATATGTGATCATATAAATCTTTTCTCTTCTTTCTGTAGTGTAGTTTAAACTTAATCCTTAAAGGACATGTATTTGAATTTTTCAGCTGGTTAGAAACCTGAATATACCAATCAAAGAAAACTGCTCCTTACATGCTACAGATTTAGTTTTCTTCCTGTACTAAGATGTCTTTTAGATACAGTAAATTTGTTAAAGCCAAGAGCCCCTAGGAAACGAAGTTGGGTGGGAGGGGGGACATTGAGTAGTAAGATCACTCTTGTAATAGAGATGCCACTCTTGCAGATATTGACAACAATTGGGCCTATAAATTTTTTACCAAACATTGGAAAGACAAGATCTGAACAACTTATCATTGCTGCAGTCTCAAATTTCAGGAAATACCATTATTCTCAGGACAATAAATAGACAATAAAGAAGACTCACAGACCAGATTAGCTGTCATGTATCACCAAACAGGGACTGGATCCTTGTCAACACGACCCAACAGAGATTGTCCCCAGAAATTCACTTCATAACCTCAAAACCAAAAACCCACACTGATGGCAAAAAATAATGATGCAAATAATGAGAAAGAGAGAGAGACCTGTCCTATAGCCATACTCAGTGGGTAAAAGCCAAAGAGCTCAATTTCTGCTCATGATACTTAATAGAACATAGGGAACATGAGCCAATAGCTCAATGGGTTCAGATCTGCACCAAGTGCCTGTTGGACGCAGGATTCTACTGTCTCCAACATCAATGTCTCAGATGGACTAATTTTTTTTTTTCTTTGAGACAGAGTCTCACTCTATTGCCCAGGCTGGGGTGCAATGGCACGATCTCGGCTCACTGTAACCTCCGCCTGCCGGGTTCAAGCGATTCTCCTGCCTCAGACTCCCGAGTAGTTGGGATTACAGACCCACACCACCATGCCCGGCAATTTATTTTTATTTTTATTTTTAGTAGAGACGGAGTTTCGCCATGTTGGTCAGGGTGGTCTCGAACTCCTGACCTCAGTTGATCAAAAGTAGGTGAGGTCAGAAAACATACCCTGGGAGAGGCTGGCACAATGCCCAGAACCGCCATCGCTAGGCCTGGGGTTTTCCTCTGTAGTGGAATACTAGTATTCATGTAGTTCAGGGACAAAACCAATTAGATACTTCTGGGAGTTAAAAAGAAATGCATTTTCAGTGCCATTTGAGAAGGGGTATTAAGGAATTTGTCAGGGTACTGACGCGTGTCAGGTATAAACCGCAGGTTGAGAGAGAACTAAGTATTTTCTGTCCATGAAGGTGATAAGCGAGGGCCTGAAGAAAGAGGGACTGGGGAGGACACTGGCACCAGAAATAGGAAAGGGCTGCTTGGGGGTGGGAAGGATGGGTCACGGTGCTATCTAGAAAGTTGCCTGGCAATGGATGTAGGATGTGGGAGTGAGACATCAAACATGAAGCAGTCGCTTAAATAAAGTCTGAAGAAAGACTAGATATATGAACTGCAGGAGATAGTAGGGAAACTGTACCTGGCTCCTCATAAAACTTCCCGCCTTCTATCTCCGGGAGGATCGCAGGGCATTTCCGCCAAGACAGGTGAGACTGCGGTTCTGACCTGCGGGCCTCCATGAATATGCGCGAGGGCACCTGGGGGCCGGCAGAGCCGTTCCCCTACGCAAAGTAAGCGTGTTATGTCTACAACCCAACGGGGACACTGAGAGCCCCAAAGGCCCTTCTTTCTTCCCGGAGAACAGCACCCATCTGCGTAGTTTCTACCTGGCTCTATGAGGTGAGAACACACTCCCCGCTAGCACAGAAATCCTACAAACTCCTGTGGGGGCTGCGCTTGGAAGCAGAGGCTGTGTAAGAGGTGACTGGGGGCTAGGGAAAAACACGAAGATTTTCACACAGGGTGAGAAGGGTGAGAACCCAAGAGACTGGAGACCATGGACCAATCCCTGCAAAAAGCAGCCAGGGTAGAAAGGGAAGAGCTGAGCGGACTTCACGATAGTTAACTTGTGTTACAAAGCCGATACGGCTGATGCTCGCTTTTTCTGCTATGGCGTGCAGGCGACATGTTACTTCCTATTCCCCAGCCCTCCACTGTAGGATTAACATTTAAGACGCCAACCAAAACACAAACCAAAACAAAGAAAGACATGACCCTTAGCGTACAGTCTGTTTTTGAAACTCCAGAAAGTCAGGGGAAAGCGCGAACGCAGTCCCCCACTACCACAAATTATGCAGTCGAGTTTCCCACATTTGGGGAAATCGCAGGGGTCAGCACATCCGGAGTGCAATGGATAAGCCTCGCCCTGGGAAAACCACCTTCGTGATCATGGCATCTCCCCTGCCAGGTAAGTATGAGATCTTCGGGCTCTGCCCCGACACAGCCTCATACACCTCACTCTTTACACACACGGTCACTTGCCCCGCGCACTCCCGAGCCCTTTCCAGCCCTGACACACAGCTGGGATTCTCACTTCCGATCCGCGGTCCTGAACCCGCTCCCAGGGCAGGGGAACTCCTTCGTGGCGAAGCAGCAAGTGGCGAAGCAGCAGCCTCTGCGCTGCCTCATCTACATAGAAGTCGCCCTGTCTGTGATGTCACCGACAGTGCCTTGCCCAGTCCCCGTCTGCCTTTCTGCCACTCAACCGACCAATCTGCTGCCAGAGCCGCCAAGGGGAAGTGACGTCTGCCTCTCCCTTTTTCCCTCCCGCCCCTGCGTCTGTTCTCTCCCAAAGAAGCTGGTCCTTAGCCTGTGTTAAGGAGCAACCTTTCGGTGGCCAGATGGAGCCGGGGCATCCTTCTTCAAATAATGGCTTTTAATTCGCAGACTAGAATGTTTCGGATTACAAAAGAAACCGGTTCTCTTCACATCCTTATCCTTGTGATGCAGCATTCCGCTTGCAATTGGAAGCCGAGAGAAACCATATTTATGAAAGTAAAGAGGCTGCTCAATGACTGCAAACCAGCCTTCCTTACTGGTTTTATCACTGGTAATGTTATAAAGACAGTTGTCCAGTTTCATGAATCTTGTAGGTGTTTTTTTTTTTTTGATTTTTTTTCCAAAATCAGTATTGTAGAAAACTATGCTGCCCCAGAAGAGATGATTGGACACTCTCAAGCGTGGTGCTGGACTTTGTCATCTCTTGCACAGCCATCTCCACACCTTAGTGCTTACCTCATGTTAGTTTTTTATATTCTGTGAAGACGAAATCAAAATAATCCAAATTTGACACAAATACCTGGGATACATCTTATTTGAGATGTTTAACAATGTCTGGATCATCTTTTCTTATATATTACCCAGGAAACACTGTGAAGTAAGCAAAGTTGGAATGCCCAAGTCAAAGACCATTTGAATATTTACAAGTAGATTTCAGACAGGAATACTACAGGGTGGTCACAGGATAACAAATTCTAGGCAGCAGATTTACATGACTTGAGGCTGTGGGCTGTTAAGATGCTGAAAAACCAGGGTGTGGACCAAGCTGGCTAAGACTGAGTGGACCCAATGTGGTGCTGGATTTGACGGAGGTTTTACCTAGGCCCTCATTATATGCTCATTGACATACTAAATCACACACCCGCCAGTGCCGTGACAGTTCTGAGACCAATATTTGATGTAAAAATGGATGGCACCACAGTTCCGAGAAATCTCCACCTTTACCCAGGAATTTTTATGAACATTCCACTCCTTGGTTAAAGAAACCCATCAAGATGAAACCCCAGAACCCATTGTTCTCTCTTGGGTATGCCTGAACTCCCCTTTCTTGAGTGTGTACTTTTTGCTTTGCAATAAATCTCTTCTTTCACTATCTGCTGACTCATCTTTGACTTTGTTCTCGCGATGGTGTCAAGAGCCTGGACACCACGGCTGGGGTCGAGATCCCACCAGTGTCCAGGGACCTCCCCCAGCCCACCAGTATCAGATTCTATTCCATTGCTCAAATCACAAAACATCAAGTAGAGAGTTCTCCTTGGAGACCATAAAGATTCTGTGGCATGGTGGCCAGTTAGGCCACTGGAAGGCATGGCAAGATATTGAAAATGAGGGATTAGGTGACAGTGTAGTGACTGCTGAATACTAAATACTTGATCCAGGCCCCATTCCCTGGAGATTGACAGGGAGACACATTGTCCAGGTAGTAGTGGAGAAATGTTTTCTAGGTATCTGACCAGCCTTTGTGGAAAGAACTGGCACCATCCTGCAGATGTAACTACCTGATGGGTTCTTCCTGCCCAATGTACACACAAAATCAATTCATGGAGACCATGGCACTGCAGGAAAGAGTTTCATTGACACAGGCCAGCCACGACATGTGGGAGACAAGAGTTATTACTCAAACCAATCTCACTGAAGGCTTGGAGGTAAGGGGTTTTTCAAAGATAGTTTGGTGGGGAGGGGGCTAGGGCTTGCGTGGTGCTGATCGTTGGGGATGAAATCACAGGGGCATGGAAAATGGCCCTCCTGCATGGAGTCAGCTTCTGGGTGGGGGCTAAGGGACTGGTTGATTTTCGGGCCAAATGGTGCCATCCAGCAGTCAGAAATGCCAAAGCCTGAAAAGACATCTCAAGAGGCCAATCTTAGGTTCTACAATAGTGATGTTCTTCACAGCAGTAACTGGGGAAGCTGCCAATCTTGTGACTTCTGGAATAATGGCTGGTAATTATTTAACGAGGCATACATCTTAGTAGAAATCAGGCCCCTTTCATCCTTCTAACTTGGTGGCCTTTCATTCATTTTACAGGGGTAATTTAGTTTTGGGGAAGGTTATCATTTAAACCAGATTTTTGGCTGTGCCCAACCTTTTTGTCACCAGGGACTGGTTTCATGGAAGACAATTTTTCCATGGAAGGGGGTGGTGGATGGTTTCCAGATGAAACTGTTCCACCTCAGGTCAGCAGGCATCAGTTACAGTCTCATAAGGAGTGCGCAATCTGGATCACTCACATGAGCAGTTCCCAATAGGGTCCGAGCTCCGATGAGCAGCTAATGCTCATGCTGATCTGACAAGAGGCAGAGCTCAGGCGGTAATGCTCGACAGCCTGCAGCTCACCTCCTGCTGTTCAGCTGGATTCCTAACAGGCCATGGACCAGTACCTGTCTTATGGCCCTGGGGATTGGGGAGCCCTGATTTAAACTATAAACTCAATTTTTCCCAAAGATAGCTTGGGAGAAATTGCACAGGAATGAGCAAAGACAGCAAGCCTGTGAGGCTAGAACCAAGATGGAGTCAGCCATGTCAGCTTTCTCTGATTGTCATAATTTTGCAAAGGTAGTTTCTGAGGGGCTGCACTGGACACGTGTATTTGAGGTTGAGCCCAGAGAACTGGGCTCAACCTCAAATACAGCAGGAGGAGTTGAGGATTATAGCCAATTGGCAAGATAAGAAAGTCAGTGGATGGAAAATTACTAAGAGGAACTTGATTAGCTATCAAAGGTGGTTGCGAGGACTCTTGCTAAACTAGACTCAACAGGATTCTTTCCTAAAGCTGGACTTGGCAGGCCAAGAAGTAACAGAGAAAAGGGCTCAGAGGAAACTACTAAGGTTTGGTCAAAGATTGGAGTCCTTGTCAACTCTACATTGAAGCTTCTGCAAATAAACAAAGACCAACCAAATGAAAAACAGCAAAGGCTATTTACTGTGAGCTTGGTATAGCAGGGAGTCAGTCACTGTTACTTGTGTTTTGGCAGAGACTTGAAGGCAGTCATAAAGGTGGGAAAGCTTTTTAAAAAGAAAGGTTTCAGGGGCCGGGCGTGGTGGCTCACTTTGGGAGGCCCAGGTGGGTGGTCACAAGGTCAGGAGATCAAGACCACCCTAACTAACATGGTGAAACCCCATCTCTACTAAAAAATATACAAACAATTAGTCTGGTGCGGTGGCAGGCACCTGTAGTACCAGCTACTCCAGAGGCTGAGGCAGGAGAATGGCGTGAACCTGGGAGGCGAAGCTTGCAGTGAGCCGAGATAATGCCACTGCACTCCAGCCTGGGTGACAGAGCGAGACTCTGTCTCAAACCAAAAAAAAAAAAAAAAAAAAAAGAAGGTTTCAGGTATGCTTGGATTGGAGGCTGCCAGCATGGTGAAGCTGTAGATAGATGAAGAGAATCAAAATATTTTACCCCAGAATGTATTTCTTTGGCATATTTTAAGATGGCTGTCAGAGAACCAGCAAACAGAAGGAACTCTGCAAAACTGTCTTCTGTAGGGGAAATTTACACCTGCAGAGAATCTGCGTTAATCCAGCCTTACCTTGTCAGGATTGAGAAATGAAAATAAGCCCTAGTCCCTACAGTCAACTGAACGGACTCCCTCTTGGCTGACAGGACCACAGAGAAACCTTGAAAGCAGTTTCTGGATGTGGCAGGCTAGGAGGTTGGACATGCCACCTCAAAACCCCCCCCTCACTAACTGCCATTATGAGGCAGGAGAACAGCAGAGGGAATTGGAAGTTGGATAAAAGGCAGAACGAGTAAAAGCAGAAACAGAAGCAAGGTGATGGGGTGGGAGAGCAAGAAGCAAGATAAAAGGCAGAAGTTGAGCAGCCAAAACAAAAAGTAAGATTTAAAAAAGCAAGCAAGGCCGGGCACGGTGGCTCATGCCTGTAATCCCAGCACTTTGGGAGGCCAAGGCAGGCAGATCACCTGAGGTCAGGAGTTTCAGACCAGCCTGGCCAACATGGTGAAACCCCATCTCTACTAAAAATACAAAAAATTAGCTGGGCGTGGTGGTGCACTCCTGTACTCCCAGCTACTTGGGAGGCTGAGACAGGTGCATCGCTTGAACCCGGGAGGCGGAGGTTGCAGTGAGCCGAGATTGCACCACTGCACTCCAGACTGTGCAACAGAGCGAGACTCTGTCTCAAAAAAAAAAAAAAAAAAAAAAAAGAAAAGCAAGCAAGGACCCCATGGCCAGCGAGATCCAAACCAGTAAAGGGGCAGCTCCTCAGAGATAGGCATGTGCATGAGAGAAAAAAAGTATCCTTAACATGACTCCGTATGATAATCAGCTCATTAAAACTCATGCATATGGACTGCACATCATGCATGTACTTAAAATTATGGGATGGAGGCAATGTGCAAGCACACAAGGGCCAAAGTAACTAAGCAACCCACCTATCAATCAAAAGGCAAACACTGGCTAACGATTAGGCATCCTTGTGAAGAGAAGAAAAAAAAACACACATAAAAAGACCCAAAGTACACCAAACTAATACTTATCTTACATCCCAGAGGTCAGCCCACTCTCCCCACTCTGAGAGTGTTACTATGCTTAATAAACTTTTGCTTTGCTTTGCTGCTTTGTGTGTGTCATGTACAGTTCTTTGTTTGGGACACCAAGAGCCTGGAAATGCATGGCACCATCTGGCAAGAATTAGGATTTTTTTCCTAAGGGTTAACAAACCAAGCCTTTGGAGAGACTTGCTTCACTACTGTTATCAACCAACAGCCTGATGCTTTCCCTCCCTTTTGTGGTTTTGACAAAAAAAGCAAGCAGCATTCCCTCCTGATAAGAGACCACCGACCCAGGAATGATTCTGGCCAGACTACGGAGGATGTACAGCGAGGGTTTTCATGTCCATTGCCTCAGATTTTGACGTCAGAGGGCCACAAACTCCACTCTCAGATGATTGCTAACGCCACCATTTTATGAACATGGGCCCCATGGAGAGGCATGCAGCTCAACTGCACATCTGCACATTTTCATTTTATAAATATTCATATTGGAATATTATTTGGTACTGCTCCCGTGAAAGACACATTTGCAGAATGGACTCAAATTAGAAGCATTATATAAGCACTATAATGTAGCAATGGCGCATCCAGCTCTCTACACTATAGAAATGTCTGCAGTGTAGACATTTCCACAATGACCAAAGATATCTGTACAAGAATGGTGACTGCAGCATTCTTTGTAATCCTAAAACCATGAAACCAACATCATCTCAAAAACATTTTTTTTTTTTTGAGATGGGAGTCTCACTCTGATACCCAGGCTGGAGTGTAGTGGTGCAATCTCAGCTCACTGCAGCCTCCACCTCCCAAGTTCAAACGATTCTCCTGCCTCAGCCTCCTGAGTAGCTGGGATTACAGGTGTGTGCCACCATGCCTGGCTAACAAAAACATTTTGAAAAGGGTTAAATAAATCATGCACAGACTGAGGAAAAATACTGTTTTCAAAAATGATGGAGAGGATCACTATCATGATGAAAGATTCCACTGGTCACATTATTGATAGAGCAATCAGGAAACCCAGGCACATCCTGGAGGTAATACTGGACTCCTATTACTAAAATATGAAAAAATGGAGGCACGTGAATTACTTGTTTAAGCGTATAAGGGACTGAATTAGAATTTTATCACACCAGAAGTGGGTTCCTAGGTCTCTGTTTCAGGATTCCTAAGTTACACAGGTGTAAACCCGGCATTTCAGGAGATAGCCGGTTAAGAATCTGGTCGGGGAGGTGGGCGGCCCTTGACATGGATCAGTCATAAATGAGTGGCTTGGGACTTCGGGAAGATAAAATCTTCCCCATTTACCTAGTGATTGACAATGCATGAATGCTTCAAAAGTTCCAATAAGCGTCCCTGGGTGGGCTCGAACCACCAATCTTTCGGTTAACAGCCGAACGCGCTAACCGATTGCGCCACAGAGACAAGCGCTTCCGCTTCTACTGGTGATATGGGAAGGGCCCACTCACTGAACTAACTCCCTTCCCTCTACTCCCAGAGCCCGCCCGGCAGGACCACCGAGCAAGGCCTTGGAAAACCAGAGAGATTAGAGCGGTGAGTCGCGCCGGTCACGTTGGACGCCTGCGCGTTAGGAGATTCTGGAGCCAGAACAGCTGAATTGCCTTCGCCCGCCCTGCCCCTCGCCTGCTTCAGAAGCTTCCAGGAACTCCCGGGTCGGCGACCCAGCCCGAGCCGCCTGGGGCCCCAAGGGAAGCTGAACGCCCTGTGGGCTCCTGGGATGGTTCTTCCCGTTCTTTGCGCCGCCTTCACCCATTGAAGAGCCTGTGCCCACCCTGCCCAGTCGCTCTCGGGGCCGCGGAGGAGCTTCCGCTGCCATCTTCGGATCCTGTGTTCCGCACGGGGGCTCCACCAGGGCAGGGATGGTGGTGAGGGTCGCTCGTGGGTCCCCTCGGGGGGAGCAGGGTCTGGCACTCACCAGGGCGCACGACTAGGACTTGTCGAATGAATTCATTGTCGCCTTTAGCTTTTAGTCCTTTGAAGAGCCCTGAGAGCGGAAATCAACAGATTTTTTTCCATGGGGAAGTTCTTTTTACAAATCGTTGATTTCTCAGTACCCTGCAGGGCGGGAAACTGGCAGGGCCTCCGGCGCACCTTCTGCGCGGTGGAGCCGCGGGGCTCAGCTGGGCCGTGGTCCGGCCCTGGGGCCGTAGGGCGAGAGCAGGTAAAGGGAAAAGCAAAAGCTGGGAAAGAAGCCCGGGAGCGGTGGACCAGACATCCAGACCTCCTGAAAGGCGCATGCAGAGGCACAGGCGGGATCTTCTGGAAGTGAGAATTGTTTTTGTTTGTTTATTGTAGCAGAATGGGGAAATGGAGAGAGAACCTGAAAGAGCCCCAAACTCGAGGACCTATTGCTCCCCAAGAATAACATCTTCCAGAAGAACTAGACAGAAAACTAGGCGTCTGGGAACTCTGAAATCCTTGGAGGAGTAGCATCATCATGACCCTCTGTGTTCCTTTTGGCAAAGGACTTGCTCCCATTGTTTGCTTGTTCCATTGTCTGTCTGTTAAATAAATAAAACCCTTTTCATATATCTTTAAACTTACGTTGGTTTTATTATTTCATGATTACAAATAATGCTGCAGTCATCATTCTTGTACACTCTCATTGGCCACTGGTGTATTTCTATAGGGTGGAGGCCTGGAGAGTAGTTGTTCCAGCATAGTGTTTACATAGCTTTTATTTCATTCCGTTTTCTTTCCTTTGTTGCTTTATTAGCTATAACCCTTTTCTTATTTAAGAGGCTGCTTTAGGGTTTCCGGGATACATCTTTAATTTATCATAGTCTGCTTTCTAGTGTCATTATGCCTCCCTTTCTGGCCTTTATCCTAGTGTTATGTAGTTTTACTTTATGCACTATAAGCTTTGTGATTCATTATTACTTTTATTTATTACGTCAAATATTTTTTGAAAGATTTAAATTATAAGAAAACGTGTAGTACATGTTTTCTAAATGCCATTTCCAATATTCGTTTCTTTGTGTAGGCCCACATTTTTATCTGGTATCCTTTTGCTTCTGCCTGGAGGACTCTTAAGATTTCTTGCAGCATGGGTTGGTGAATTCTTTTAGCTTTTGTATTTTTTCAATGTCCTTATTTCACTCACAGTTATGAAATTTTATTTTTGCATAGAATTCTAGATTAACTTTTTTTCTCTAGGTACTTTAAAAATGTTGCCATTTATGAAGCATTGTCATTTAAAATATCACCTTTCTTTCCTATGTTTGTAAATATGGCGTAAAGCCGGTTTCTTGTGCTGGTTATACAATTTTCAGAATGTGTATTTAAATTTAAAATATTAAATTGTACTAAAAAACTAAAAATATTAATCATGAATGTCCTAGATTCATCTTAAGTTCCAACAGTACACTTAAAGTGTGCCCAACCTGAGGGTCAAACCTACTTGCTGACATGGAATTTGTGTTTGTGAGAGCCTAGTGATTTTCCTTACATCTGAATGTCTTCATTGCAAAAGGAAACGTTTTTCTTTGCCAAAATACTTTAAAATATTCTTACTTCAATTAAGTGCATTAAAAACAAATTTCTCAGTTGCATCCCTGAAATCCATCAAAAGCCCGGGAGAGACAATCAAGTGCTTCAGGATCAAGAGCTAAACAGGGGAGGACAAAGCGGGGCTCCTTCACTAGGAGTCAAGCCAAAGTCAACTGATTTGGTCTCCAATGGAGAACAGAACTCGGTTCACCAGCGACGTGAGGACGCGGCCCAGAGGAGGCGGACTTTCTCTTCATGGTGCCTTCAGATAGGAAATCTAGGATTTTCTTTCTTTCCCTTTGATCTACTTCCAACTCTCCCTTTCTATTTCTTCAAGAACTTTTTCGGATCCCTAGCTGGGAAGGACCTAAGGGGCCAGTGCCCTTCCCTACTGGTCCCTCCTTGACTGGGTGTCTTCGGAGCCCAAGCTCACCCTGAACATTACTGCCCGCTTCAGACAGTGAGAGGACCAAGGAGGGCGGTGGGTGCGGTGGGAACCACAGAGTCACCGCGCACCTGCATCCGTGAGCTCCTAGCAAATTGAATAAATGCCCCCTGAAGCTTCTCTGCAGGTCAGAGGGAAGGGGAGGGTGGCTGCTGACCCGGCAGGAGAAGCTTCAAGAAGCATCGGGAGGACCTGGCCCTGCCCCTGGGCCTTGAAGACAGGCCTGGCCAGACTGATTTTGATGGGGAGGCCCAAAGAAAAGGTTCGAGGGCGGCCCAAACCCCTACCCCGAGATTAAGGCTCTTAAGTGTCTGACGGTTTTGAGAATCGTCAGTAGAATCTATCCTGCCTGTATCAGGAGACTCCTTTGCCAAAATTCAGAGACCAAGAAAGAGAAAGATTGGGCAGATCAAAATCTGTAATTAACCAAACAGGAAACATAAGTTTTCTGACAAATTGGATGTGTGCTGTGAGAAAAAGACTAGCCTCAAGGAGAACCTGTTTTTTTGGCTTGAGTATAGGGAAGAATGGAGTTGCCACCAACAATGGTGCATTGAAACGGCCGATGCATCAGGCTGTAGATGTGAAGGAATTAAAAATATTTGACCCCAAACTACATTTCTTTGACATATTTTGAGATGTCTGTTCAGAAAGCCAGCTGCAGAAGTAGCCCTGCAAAGTTGTCTTTTGTTGGGGAGATTTGCATCTGTAGGGAATCTGCATTGATACAGCCAAGTCTTTCCTTGCCCAGATCTAGGAAAGATTAACTGAGAGTCTGACACATGTAAAGGTCTGAAAGAAATTTTTAGGGTTTATTCTCTCTGAGAGCTGCTAACTGTAGGGTTTCATTTACATATTAAGACCACCTTTGCTAGCCAAGCCTCCTCTTCTCTCCCTACCATCACTTATCTTGTCCACAATAATTGGATATACCTCTGACTCTGATTGCACCTGGTTTTGGCCATGCTTTGAGCCCTCATTCATTCTGTTACCTCAAGATGGTATATAAGCTTCTGCATCCCATTGTGGGTAGGGGAGGGTAATCACTCTGTGACTCTCCCCATGCACATGTTAGTACATTTTATGCCTTTTTTCCAATTAATCTGCCTTTTGTGACTTGATTTTTGAGTGAAACTTCAGAGGGTTAAGAGGGAGGGTTTCCATTGGCCCCTACAGTTTTGGAGCTGTAAGCAGGATAGGAAAGCTCTGCTCTTCTGGAAGCTGCAGTGAAGAACCCAGGATCTGATCAGCTGTCATAAGGGTAAGAATTTTTTTACCAGCCAGGCTCCTGGCCTCCTTCTCTGTGTGGAATCTCATCAAGTGGACAGTAAAAATCACTGTTTCTTTCTTTTCCCTCTCCAAAATCTTGATTAATTGGAGAAAAGGATTTGTGTGACTAGTCTTGGGTATAGTGACTCTGGTGTGCTTTTTGGTACTTTGTGGTACCAATTCCTATTGTTTAATCCCTTTGTTCCCAGAAATTGTCTGTTCCTTTGTCTTTGTCTCTATGTGTTATTCTGTCATAAAAGGGGGTACCGGTTGAGGTTCCTTCTCATCTTATTTTATGTCCTTGAGAGCTTGACTTGTGAGCAAGTGGGAGCGCTTTCTCTTGGTTTCCACTATCTGGAAAGAGGCAGTAACTATCAGGTCATACTAGGTGGCCTGTCTGAAAATGGCTGGGAACCCCAGCACACTTTTTGTTCTGACCATGACAAGCTCTTGGGGTTTGTCTTAAGAAGTCCCATCCCTTTGAGGCTTTTGTCATCTCAATTCTTGTTGCCTGGTTAGTCCTAGGAAAGCTCAATCCCAAGAGGGCCTACCTGGTATTATAGATTCAGAGGTCTGTGACTGGAAGCCCCCATAAATATCTGGGTTACTGGAGGCCAACATCATCCTTACCCATCTGTGGTCTACTCCTTGCATTGAACTTTTTTCTTGCAGGGGAATCTTTGGGATTGCTTCTTCTTTGCCCTTCCCAGGAGGTTAACCTGGAAAATGACATCCTGGGCTTTCCACAAAGGGGCTATTTGGTTGAATTGCTATTGCAATAATTACACCATTGGAAATTCTACTTGCCAATGGCCTGAAGATGGATCCCTTAAATTAGACACCTGAATTAAAAAAAAAAAAAGATTTTAGAGATCTCTTATTTTAACAGTTCATAGGAAGATCAAATTAAAACAAACACACATAATAGTGTCATGGCTACCCTTAAAAATTCTCTTGACAATATTATGTGTGTTGTGTAGGGAAAAAAAATTCTCTTAACTAAATTAAAGAGCAAAATTTGACCCGAAACAAAGTTAAAATTCTTCATAAGCTCAAACTGCCTGCTCTGGATCCCTTCCAGGATGCACAATAAAGTCTGCTCTACCTTGCAGTTCAGTGCTTAAAGTTCTGTGTTTTGCTGCCATAGCCTGGGTTCGATTTCCAGTCAGGAAACCAGTTTATTTTGGCTTGATATTTGTGTGACTTTTGACTTTTTGGAATACCCATTTATTGATCCTTTTCCCTTTCACGGGCAGCTTTTGTTTGTTTGTTTGTTTATTAATACAGAGTCTCACCCTATCACCCAGGCTGGAGTGCAGTGGCGAGATCTTGGCTTACTGCAACCTCCGCCTCCCAGGTTCAAGTGATTCTCCCACCTTGGTCTCTCAAGTCGCTGGGATTACAGTCACCCACCACCACGCCTGGCTAATTTTTGTATTTTTAATAGAGACAGGGTTTTGTCATGTTGGCCAGGCTGGTCTTGAGCTCCTGACCTCAAGTGATCTGCCTGCCTCAGCCACCCAAAGTGTTGGGATTATAGATATGAGCCACCCCTCCTGGTTGTTGGCAGCTTTTGATTTCCTGTCCTTCCAGCTTCCAGAGTTTCTGATGAGAAATCTGTTGATAATCTTATTAAAGATTTCTTGCATGTGACCAGTTGCTTTTCTCTTACCAATTTAAAGATTCTCTTTGACTTTTGAAAGTTTGATTATAATGCGTTTTGGTGTAGGTCTCTTTAGGTTTATCTTACTTGGAGTTTGTTAGGCTACTGTGTTTGTATTCATGTCTTTCATCAAATTTGGGAAGTTTTCAGCCATGATTTCTTCAAATATTCTCTATTGCCCTTCTCTCCCTCTTCTTTAGAAATTCCACAATGCAAGGCTGGGAGCAGTAGCTCATGCCTGTAATCCCAGCATTTTGGGAGGCCGAGGCGGGAGGATCACCTGAGGTCAGGAGTTTGAGACCAGCGTGACCAACATGGAGAAATGCCGTCTCTACTAAAAATACAAAATTAGCCAGGCATGGTGGTGCATGCCTGCAATCCCAGCTACTTGGGAGGCTGAGGTGGGAGAATTGCTTGAAACCAGGAGGCAGAGGTTGCGGTGAGCTGAGATAGCGCCATTGCATTCCAGTCTGGGCAGCAAAAATGAAACTCCTTCCCCCCTCCCACCCCCCAAAACAACAACAACAAAAAAGAACTTCCACAATGTACATGGTGGTCCACTTGATGGTCACTTAGGCTCTGTTCACTTTTCTTCAATCTTTTTTTATTTCTGTTCCTCAAACTGGATGATTTCCATTGCCTTATCTTCAGGTTCACTGATTGTTTCTTCTGCCTGCTCAGCTTTCTTCAAATTTGACTTTGAATCCATCTAGTTAATTTTTTACCAAAGCAGCAACTATTTCGGAAAAGCCTCCTTCATATTGCAGCCATTGGACATGATAATACATGGGATATGCTGCCATTTGTTGAGAATCATGTGAAAATTAAGCTTCTGCCCCATCACACTAAAGTTCCAGCCCTGAGTCCCCACGGTTTTCTCCCTAGGCTAAGATAGAAAGGAAGAACATGAAATGTGCAGAAAGCATTCTCTTAAGCAAACATGTATAACTTGCCTAAATTGTAATTATTTCCTGGAACAGGATGCACCTCTAACCTCTACAGGCAGATCATAGATTCCATTGTCCAGCTGTATAATGAATTCTTCTTCTCAGAGAAGAATACCAGACACTCTCCCTGGCTTGCCTGAATCAAATTTCCAGAAGTAATCGGTGAAAGGCCACAATATGAAGTCTCTCTCAGATGAGTTCCTTCTCTTGTCACATCCCACAGTAGAAACAAAAGAGGACGGGGAGGCCAGAGCTGCTCAAAGCCTTATAACCCACAATTCTCATAGTTATTCTCAACTTAGAGAGGGCTGCTTTCTAGATGCTCCCCCTCCAGGCCTGCAGACTGCCAGGCTCCAGGAATAAGTAGCTCTGAGAAGTCTACTATTTAGCTGCGAGCCACACTCCCCTATTGCAAATTGGAGAAAGGAAGGACAAACTTAAAAGGTGAAAAGATTTAAGAGAACAACATGGTGAAACCCCATCTCTACTAAAAATACAAAAATTAGCCGGGCGTGATGGCATGCGCCTATAGGCCCAGCTACTCGGGAGGCCGAGGCAGGAGAGTCATTTGAACCCAGGAGGCGGAGGTTGCAGTGAGCCAAGATTGTGCCACTGCACACTAGCCTGGGTGACAGAGCAAGACTCCATCTCCAAAAAAAGAAAAAAGAAAGAAAGAAAGAAAGAAAGAAAGAAAGATTTAAGAGAACAATTATTTTAACTGAATACATTTTGTCAAGATTAAATCAACTTTCCCCTAGAGTACTGAAAGAATAAGCAATCATAATTTAGATTCTAAGTTACTGGTCTTTGAGAAAGTGTGAAAACCAAAAAGGTGCCACAAGCCAAAAAAGGAGCAAAAGTCCTAATTTTCAAACTGATGAAAATAAAGTACTAAAAAATGGAAATCATCATAGTTCATCTTGATCCTTGGCAAAATACAAATGTATCGATTCAAATTATAATATCTTAGCTACCCTATTGTGCGTAGCTCTTACCAATGAGGAGAAAAACCAAACCCAAACAAAAGTGTGTTCAAGTTGGCAAAAATGTTTACAAACCTGCAAAATCTCTTCAGCCTATCCCTTAAACTCCAGACTTGGTATTTATTAAGTTCTGCTCTGTACAATACCCACCTTAATATCCATTCTTGCACAAGTTCTGTTAGGTATAAGCCAAGATGACATGAGATTTTTTTTTTTTTTTTTTTTTTTTTTTTTAACCCTCTCATGCCTATGTTTGCTTTTGCTTCCACAGACCCTTCTGAGTAAGGACTATCCTCAGACTACTGGAGTCATTTAGTCACAAGCTTGCCTGAGGCTCAGAGCTGGCAATACCTGGGAGTTTACGTCAATCCCACAGCACCCAGCAACCCTGCCTGCAAAATATTTACCCATGATTGACAGGTGCAGGTGTATGAAAGCCCAGCTCCTTGACTTGAGGGGCACCTTTGTGGTGAATTAGGTTTGGGAAAAGGGAATCCAGAGGCCAACTTTGTAAAAATGCAGATAGATAAATAGAAAGAAATCTTTGCCTTGGAAGTCCAGTTGAGAAAGAGAGTGATTTACTTGAGACTCTGAAAACAGAGACTAAAATCTTTACTTTCTCATGGGAAAGAAGCCTATGGTGAAAGAGAAACAAAGAGAAAGGTAGGAAATAGGGTGGGTCTACTCCGTAGCTTTAAACCACTCTGTCATATTATAAAGCCTGGTGAGGTTTTAACTAACACAAGTGCCTGGACTCTACACATAGAGATTCTGATTTAAATGCTTCCAGGTGGGTGGAAGCCACTAGTAGTCTTAAAAAGCTCCCAAGTAATTTTACCATGTGGCTAGAGATGAAAAGGACAATCTGTCTACTAGAATCTCAAGTAACCAGTATTGAAGTGCCCCAAATGTGCAGCTACCTCATAGAAAAGGCTTAACAGCACCCATTGATGGAATTTGCCTTCCTCTCTCCGTGGTCTTGTCTGCATAGCGTGGAAATAGAGAAGAGATAAAGAGGTAGATGGAGAGATTGGACCTGTAATTTGCCTATGTAGAGTAGTTTCTCAAACTTTTCTGACCACAAGATGCAGTGAGAAATATACAATTCTTTGTGATCAGTTTTTTTTTTCTTTTTTTGAGATGGAGTCTTGCTCTGTTGCCCAGGTTGGAGTGCATTGGTGTGACCTTGGCTTACTGCAAGCTCCGCCCTCCCAGGTTTACACCATTCTCCTGCCTTAGCGTCCTGAGTAGCTGGGACTACAGGCACCCACCACCATGCCCAGCTAATTTTTTTTTTTTTTTTTATTTTTAGTAGAGACGGGGTTTCACCGTGTTAGCCAGGATGGTCTCAATCTCCTGACCGCGTGATCCACCTGCCTCAGCCTCCCAAAGTGCTGGGATTACAGGCATGAGCCACCGCGCCTGTCCTGTGATCAGTTTTTAAAAAATCTTTTACTATGTGTAATCCACCCTACCTAGAATTTAAATAAAGCCTGTAGTAATAAGCAGTCCACTATATTGATTTCACAACCCCTAAGTGGTTCAGAATTGCAATTAGAAAATTTTTACTTTTGGCCGGGTGTGGTGGCTAGAGCCTGTAATCCCAGCACTTTGGGAGGATCACTTGAGGTTGGGAGTTTGAGACCAGCCTGACCAACATGGAGGAACCCTGTCTCTACTAAAAAAAAAAAAAAAAAAAAAAAAAAATTAGCTGGGCGTGGTGGTGCATGCCTGTAATCACACCTACTTGGGAGGCTGAGGCAGGAGAATTGCTTGAACCCCAGGGGGTGGAGGTTGTGGTGAGCTGAGTTTGCACCATTGCACTCCAGCCTGGGAAACAAGAGTGAAACTGTCTAAACAAAAAAAAAAAAAAAAGAAAAAAGAAAAGAAATACATTTTTACTTTTGCTCAGCCTTTTTATCAAGCAAAATCCCAAAAGAACATTTACTATAAACATCTTTCTGTGAATCCTTATTTCTGTCCCAGCCACCATGACCCAATAATCTCTAGAGCCTGTTAGTGTTCTCCAGATTGAAGCCTTCCCTCTAACTGCTCCTAAACTCTGTGATGTAGTGGAAAAGGTTTGAGGACTTGATTCCCATCCCAGATTTTTCACCTACAGATCATACGGCCTTAGCCTCTTGACACCATTGTCTCCTTATGGCCAAAGATGGAACTGTACTTGGGTGGTATCTGAGCACCCTGTTGGCTTTGACATTCTAGGGCTCTTCCCTTGTCACCACTCTCTTATTTAAAAGGAATAGGATGTGGACTTAGGAGGGTTATTTCTCTGCAAACTATCCTCTCTTTCTTACGACAAGCTATTCCTGAATGTGCATATTTGAGGCTAAGCAAATCCCTTCCTGGGAGGTTGAAAGACCCTTATTTCTCTCCAGAAGAGTATTATGGAGAGTCAATTGATGCTGAGGAGGTGGTAGAGACCTAGCGAACTCAACTGCAGTGGCTTTGAGCAAGGCTCTTAGAATCATAAGGTGGGTGGGGTCCTGTGTCCTACACCACACGCCAGCTGGTTCACCTCAGGAGACTTTTTTTTAATCTATTATTACTATCTTCTTCTAGACTGTAGTTCACTACTGGAGATTATCCACTTAGTTGCACTCAGTTTGCACCTGGCCTGTATCACCAGTCAGCTCTCACTCCAGCCTCAGGTATCAGCAAGACCTCACCAAAGATTATTGTTTAATTGTATGTGTGTGTGTTTTTGTTTGTTTCGGGTAACAACTAATGTTGGAACTATGAAAAACTCTTCTCTACTTTTAACAAAGCTTAGTCACAAACAGTTCCCCAGTTGATGAGAAAAACTAAAACAACAGAACAATTGAAAGTCTGAATCTGCAAGTTCATCTCTGAGAACCGAATTTTACAGCCACTCCAGATTTGTACTCCAAATGGATAGTTTGACTGTAGAAATCACATCCCTTCAGTCTGCCAATGTGATAACTGCCCAAGAGAGAGTGATGCCTACATTCATAGATAATCCCCTTTCCCCCATCCTATATATAAGTGGAGTCAACAGCAGCTGGAGGAAAATGGCAAGAACTTGGAATCAAGATTAGCTTAGAATAACACTGCTGTAGACAGTTTATCAGCTCTTCAGCATATGTCCGTTTTCCTTGAAGGATGAGCCTTTAGAAACCTCTGACAATAAAGTTTATTTTACACCCATTCCCTTGCCTATGATTTTTTCATACAAATCACAATTATTAAACTTTCTTGCTCCAGCTAAAAGCAGGAAACTCAATCAGAATGTGTTCACTAAATATATACCACAGAATGATAACAACCAGTCTGAATGCATCACTTGATTCCAAAATTAAATGTTAGCCCTCAGGGGTGCAACTACATGTATCTCCAACTCTGGAAGCCACAGGCAACATATTCCTGTTTCCTTGCAGGGAAACAGATCTATAAGCAGGGCGGCAGTCTGACACATGTACATTCCTGGGAAACCCAAGGAAACAATGATAGTGACGCAGGGCAGGCAAGCCCCCAAACTGAAAGAGTTTTGCTAATGTCGCGATTGGCTTTCTATGTTATTTGAAGACTGAGATCTCCATGAGGAGTGAAGATAGGTAATGCCTAAGGCTGAGGCATGACCTCACTGGGTCACCTTAGCTGTGAAGTGAGGTCAGTTGTCACCTTGCAAACCTTTTGGTAATCCAAATCTTGGAATGATTTCTTTAAGAATTTAGACACTTCCAGTACTTTTCCTGTCCTTGTGGGGAAAGCTTCTATCCACCTGGTGAAAGTGTCTATAAATACTAGCAAATCTTGTAGTTCCCTGTAAGGTGGCATCTGGCTTAAGTCTGTCTGCCAGTCTTCACCATGGTATGTTCCTTGGTGTTGTACAGGTTTAAGCAGGGATCGGGGTATGGGGTGGCTTCCTGAGTGGTAACCCTTTTTATAGTTTGGAACAGTCCCTTCCGCAAGAATATTTAGGAAACTAATTTAAATGGAAAATCCTGTCCCAAATGTGAGGAATCATGAAAATGTTTAATTATTTCCCATTTGTCAGCCTCAGGAATAGAGTTTGTTCTTTTCTAGCAACCATCCAGAGGGGTCTCCCTGGAAGCCTTTTACTCAGTCCCTTTAATTTCCTTAGGGGTATAGTATGGTGTCACTGACACGGATGCAGTACCTGGTAGTAGCGCAGCAGCCTGAAATACCAGGGTTTCCTTAGCTGTGGCCTTAGCTGCTCTTTCCACCAGGGAATTTCCTCTAATAATAAAAGTGTCTCCCTTCTGGTGTCCCCTGCGGTGAGTAATTGTTATTTCTTTGGGAGTTGGACAGCATCTAAAAGTTCCAAGATCTGAGTAAAGTTGTGTGGGGGATCCCTTGGCTCTTGATAGTCCCCTTTCCTTCCCTATGGCTGCATGAGCATGGAGCACCAGGAACCCACATTTAGAGTCAGTCAACACATTGACTCTTGAGGTTTTGGTTTTCTTCTTCTTTTTTTGAAACGGAGTCTTGCTGTGTCGCCCAGGCTGGAGTGCAGTGGCATGATCTCAGCTCACTGCAATCTCAGCTCACTGCAAACTCAGGGATTCTCATGCCCCAGCCTCCCAAGTAGCTGGGATTACAGGCGCCCCCCACCACACCGGGCTAATTTTTGTATTTTTAGTAGACACGGGGTTTCGCCATGTTGGCTAGGCCGGTATAGAACTCCCAACCTCAGGTGATCCACCCACCTTGGCCTCCCAAAGTGCTGGGATTACAGGCGTGAGCCACCGTGTCCAGCTTAAGTCTTTTCATGGTTGGAAGGCCCTAATTAGAGCAGCTAATTCTGCTTTTTGAACAGAAGTCTGAGAAGGTAAACCCTTGGCCTCAATGACTTCTTGTTGGCTAAGCTTCCTTTCTTACTCCCTCATGAATATAGCTATTTCCATCTCTAAACCACTCAACATTTGGGTTAGACAAGAGCTTGTCTTCAAGGTTGGGCCTTCTAGAGTAGAGCTCTTCCGTGGTTTCCACACAGGAGTCAATGAGTTTGGGATCTGTTTCTTGAGATGTGAGGTGCAGCAACAGAGTAGCAGGGTTTCAAAATCAGGATACTTTCAGGGTAACATCTGGGGTGTCAAGCAGAAGGGTCTGATATTTAAGTAACTGGCTCCCTGTTAGCCATTGGTGTACTTTTGCCTCTAGGACCCTCTGTACTGTACTTCATGGGGTGGCAGGGGGTGGGGGTGGGGTGGTATGGCATGTAATTGTTGTCCCAAGGTAAACTTACTGGTTTCTTCTAACAATAAAGTGATGGTAGCCACAGATCTCAAGCTTCCTAGTCACCTAGCTGCCACCTGGTCTAGCTGTTTAGAGAAATAAGCCACTGGTCCAAAGCAATTCCTCAGCCTTTGAATTAGAACATTTGAAGCTGTCCCTTGTTATTCATCCACATAGAGGGTGAAAGGTTTTTCTAAGTTCGAGAGTCCTGAGGCAAGGGATGTCCCTGGCTTTTCTTTTAAGGCTAAGAATGCCTTTTGACAGGTTCCAAGCTCCGCCTCCTGGGTTCACACCATTCTCCCACCTCAGCCTCCTGAGTAGCTGGGACTACAGGCGCCCGCCACCACAGCCAGCTAATTTTTTTGTATTTTTAGTAGAGACGGGGTTTCACCGTGTTAGCCAGGATGGTCTCGATCTCCTGACCTCCTGATCTACCACCTCGGCCTCGCAAAGTGCTGGCATTACAGGCGTGAGCCACCGCACCCGGCCAACAAGTTTTTTTTTAAATGAACAGAGCATCAGTGAATGACAGTGCAAGTTTAAGACACCTAATAGACAAGTTAAAGGAGTCCTCCAGGCAGAAGGAAACTGACACCAGATGAAAATCTGGATGAAAAAAAAAAGACACTAGAAATGACATGTACATAGGCAAATATATAATTTTAACATCTGACTGTTTAGCCGGGCACGATGGCTCACGCCTGGAATCCCAGCACTTTGGGATTCAAGGAAGGTGGATCACTTGAGGTCAGGAGTTTGAGACCATCCTGGCCAATATGGTGAACCTTCCTCTCTACTAAAAATTCAGAAATTAGTCCGATATGGTGGCCCAAGCCTGTAGTCTCTGCTACTCAGGAGTCTGAGTCAGGAGAATCGCTTGAACCCGGAAAGCAGAGGTTGCAGTGAGCCAAGACTGTGCCACTGCACTCCAGCCTGTCCGATAGAGTGAGACTCGTCTTAAAAACACCACCACCAGCAACAAAAAAACAAAAATAAACAAACAAACAAAAACACATCTGACTCTTGAAACAAAAGTAATAGAGATGGATTGTAAGGTTTATAACAGGTGTAAAGTAAAATGCATGACAATAGCATAAAGGCAGGGGGAGGAGTCATGGGAAGAGGTATGATGCCACTAGAAGGCAGACTGTGATGGGTTAATTTTTGTGGAAAGCAAGGCAGAATTTTTGAAGTTTGTTTCTTCAAATACTTTCCGTTTCCCGTACATACAAGCTAGTTTGTTCTGCAGAGATCTCATTTTCTAGGAGGCTTGGAGGGGGACCTTCTGCTGTCTGTCCTCATGGGATGCACAAGACACAAGGGAACAGTCTTTCACTTTTAAATACATTGAAGGGTCTGAGGAGATAGATACAACTGCATTTTTTTTTTTTTAAATGAGGTGGATTCTCATTGGTCTTGAACTTCTGAGCTCCGTGGAGGCTTCCCCTACTTCAGCCTATCAAAGCGTTGGGATTAATAGACGTGAGGCACTGCGCCTGGTCACAACCAACATTTAAAATCACGTCCCTGGGTGGTCTCTAACCACCAACCTTATGGTTAACAGCCGAACGCGCTAACCGATTGCACCACAGAGACAACCTCAATCGCTTGCTTTCATCTCTATATAGATTAAGCAATCACTAAACCCTAGGAGTTGCCATTCGCTTTCTGCGGGACAACTGTGCAGACTACAAAGCTTCAGAAAACCGGAGAGGCTGAGTCGACTAATCGTCTTGCTGCACGTTAGAAACGCGTGCATTGCGTGACTCTGAAGCCAGAAGGGCGGCCGAATGGCCTTCACCCTGCGTTCACCCTCGCCTGCTTCAGAAGCCAGTGCCTCTGGAAATGCCTGGATCTGCGACCCCAGCCTGAGCCAAGTGGGGCCCAAGGGAAGCTGAACTCCCCGACGGCTCTCACGGTAGCTCTTTCTGTTTTTTTGCGCCGCCTTCAGGCAGTCATCTGCTCCGCTTGCTCTCCCTTCACTCAACTCGGCTTCAGTAGATGGGGTCGGTGGGGCGGGAGCGGGAAAGAGGCAGGGGAGTCAAAAGGGAAAACGTGAAAAGGAGGAGGGAGAAGCAGGGGAGACCAGGACTAGACAATGGGACAGCCCAGGATGCCCGTGCAGAGGGCACCGGCTGGATGCAGAGAAGATGGGACATGTATCAGAATGGAGAGGGGGAAATGGGGAGAAGATGTGAGAGAAAATCACAAGAACCTGTAGCTGCCCAAGAATAAAGAAGTAAAAATCGCATAATGTTTTTGCATTAATAAAAAAAATCGGGGGACCAGGGGCAGTGGCTCACGCCTGTAATCCCAGCACTTTGGGAGGCCGAGGTGGGTGGATCACTCACTTGAAGTCAGGAGTTCGAGACCAGCCGGGCCAACATGGTGAAAGCTCGTCTCTACCACAAATACAAAAATTAGCTGGGCGTGGTGGTGCACGTTTGTAGTCTCAGCTACTTAGGAGGCTGAGGCAGGAGAATCACTTGAACCTAAGAGGCGGAGGTAGCAGTGAGCCGAGATCGTGCCGCTGCCCTCCAGCCTGGGCGACAAAGCGAAATTCTGTCTCTCAAAAAAATATATAAATAAATAATAGAGGGGTGGGGAAGCAAAACGACGGGCAGTAGGTGTGGGGCGCCTTGGGATTCTCTAGTGGTTAGTAGTCTGCGTTGTGCCTGCAGCAACCTCTGTTCTAATCCGAATCCTGGTACAGTCAGACTCTATCTTGGACCCACTGGGGCGAACCCACGTGTCTTTTGGTTTGCTTTTGATTCCTGCACCAGCTGAGGCCTTTATCTGCAGCCAGAAAGCCGGAAAGCAGGGTTTACCCCTGGCCCCACAGCGCCATACTGTCTGGGGAAAAGAAGGAAACCCAAGAGTACACAAACAGTGGCCCAAAGAGAAACCTTCCAAGTGCTCTATGCCTCACCGTTTAGCAGAAAATATCAAGCAACTCTCAATCTAGCTGGTCTGTACCTTCCACGAATGAAATAATGTATTTATTGCAGTCTTTCTGGTTGAGATATTTCAAATATTTGGTGGAGCTTTTACTGAGAGAGAGAGACACTCTCGAGTGTGGAAGAAAAAAAAGAGGGGATGTGAAGATGAGGCGACTTTAGGACAGAAAAAAAAAGAGACAAGGAAGCCATGTAAACGTTTTCGGGTGGGCGTGAGGCGTTGTCAGTCTTGAACCCCGTTATGTCAGGTAAAGAGCGCAGCCTCTTCTAGCACAAACACCGTTTCCCACATGGAGGAAATCACAGGGATCAGCAACTCTAGAGTGCGATGAAGAAGCTTCACTCTGGGAGAACCCCCTTCGTGACCACGGTCTCTCCCCTGCCAGGTAAGTGGAAATGAGCACATGGCCTGCAGGGACAGCACAGCCTCCTCGCCCTGGCCGGTCGCTCAGGGTCACCACCCTCCCCACTGCCGCCCCTCGCCATTCTTCCAAACCACTCTCCACCAAAGATTCCACCGACAGTCACCCCACAAGACAACCCAGGCCGCCTCTCAGCAGCGGCTCCCGCCCCGCAGCCACCGCGCCCTCTCACCCCCCCGCGGTTCTGCCCGCCGCCTCTGCCGAGTCTGCGCACTTCACCTCCCTGGCTCCCGCTCTCCCCTGAGCTTACAGTGGACTCGGGGTTCTTCCGAACCCCTCTTGGGAGTACTGAATGGAAAAGGGGGAGCGTGCGCAAGTGCTTGGTAGAGTGTAGACGTCGTGGGATTTGACTGTGGTACCATCGCTTCGACGTCCTAGTGCTGATTTTTCCACCTGCCTTCTGCTTAGGGCACCGGCAGCAGTTTTCCATCTGTGCCTACTCCACCTGCTGTCCTTGTTGGGTCAGCGAACATCGCCTCCCTCTACCGCTCAATCAGCAAACGGGACCGCCCTCGAGGACCTCACCCGCCGCTTACCCCCCTAACAAATTCGCGGGCATCGCCTCCGGTCGCCTCTTCCCAAGGCCTAACGAGCGCCTTCGCTGGCAACGGAGGTGAGGAGGCTCCGCTGACTGGCTGGTGCCCGTGTCCGGGGTTGCCACAAACGCCACGACTTGGCTTGGCCTCTCTCTTAGTTATTCGCAGCTCAGCCCGATGGGCGTCTCCGGGGTGGCGACGGGAAAGAAGGTGGGCTTATTGGGTGCAGCTCCACGGGGGCTGGCATCTCTGCCGGGCTGTGTACACCGGAGCGAGACGCTCAGTCGCTCTCTAAAGCTGCTTCGGCGGATGACGGACACGGAGATAAACAGGAACGGTGTGTCGTGAGAGGTGGTCCACCAGCGCTTGCCCTCCTTCGCCCGGCTTTAACCCCGCTGCGGAGACTGTTCTGCTTCTGGCCCTTGGAGCAGGCCGGCTGACAGCGTAGTGAAGGAAGATTCCTGCGGGAGGGCGGCCAGTGTAAAACAATTCCCTGGCCGGGAATCGAACCCGGGCCGCGGCGGTGAAAGCGCCGAATCCTAGCCACTAGACCACCAGGGACACACAGGAGGGAGCTTTGTCTCCCTTCTTCTGTCAGAAGCGACAGCTTCCCTGAGCTCTGGGAGGACTTGGGCCTTGTGAGGGTCGCTCTTTGCTCCTGGAGTCTCTCACAAGGCCATTCCCTCCCTGCTTTCTTCAAAAAAAGAGCCTGCAAGCGACACACCGAGGGCTCCGCGAGGGACACCGAGGCCACGAATCCGGAGGCCTGGAGCGAGTTGCAGCGACCGGGCCGCAGCTCACCACTGAACTAGAGATGCGCCTTTGCGAGGTGGCAGCAAGTGACCAGCCGGTCGTGGGTCGCCAGGTCCGGAGCCGCGCACCAGGTTGCCAGGAGGAGGCGGGAGCGCGGAGGCGCCCGGGGTGAGACGGGGGCACCCTCTGCATCATAAAGGACCCAGACGCCAGCACCCTCAACATCATAAGGAATCAGACGGATGCGGAAACCGAGACGGGCTGGATGGGAAACTCTTTCCAGGAAGGCTCCGGGGCCCTCAGCTGGTCTCCGACCTTCCCCTGCAACCTGTGACACCTGCCATTTTCCCATCTTAGGCGATGGCAACGCCACCCTTCCGTTTGCTCCGGGCAAAACTTCGAGAGTTCCCTCTGACTCTGGAGTTTTTTCCTCAGATCCAAGAGCCAACTGGTCATCAATTCGTAATTTCCCATCGGCTAAGTGCGTGGGCATTGAGCTACACGCGAGTCTCTCCACCTCTGCGGAATG
Organism: Homo sapiens; assembly: GCF_000001405.40. Classification (NCBI taxonomy): domain Eukaryota; kingdom Metazoa; phylum Chordata; class Mammalia; order Primates; family Hominidae; genus Homo; species Homo sapiens. The sequence goes on from NW_025791756.1 coordinate 516,305, forward strand.
GCTACTTCGGGGTAGGGGAGGGGCCCTCCCGTGGATTGTAAGGTGTTTAGCAGCAGCCGTCGCCTCTGCTGACTAGATACATGCCAGGGGGTTAGCATTCTCCCTCCCCGCTTCCCCCATTCGTGACCTAGTGTCCCAGCGGGGATGGGAGAGGCGTGTAAGGGCAAAGTTGCCCCCTCTTGAGAACCACTGATGCGCGTTGTCCTGCTGTCTGAGCTTGTGCAGAGGACTCTCCAGATGAAGGCTCAGGGGTCCATCCAGCTTGAGACCCCCTCGCTCCCCCGCACAGTCAGACCTTAGGATTGGAGGCTTTTAACATCTCTACATCATGAGATTCGAAACCTTTAGGTCTTTTCTTCCGTTCTGTCCTCCAAATCAGCCTCTTCCGAGCCTGTTGACCAGGGCCAGCCAGGCAGAGGGCTGGGTTCGCTCAACGAGGCTCCTCTCGGCCCTCCTGGAGCTTCAGGCCTCTTTCGGTTGCAGAGAAGCTTTATGGGCCACTTCCTTCGGCATCCCCGGGGGCAGGTGCGCGGTGCCCGGGGAAGAAGAGGGTTTCACTGCGGTTCTCGACCCCCGGCGACCAACCTCCACCCCGGTGGGCGCGCTCTTCCAGGCTCCTGCTGGTCCCACTGCCCGGGAGTCAGGTCTCGGGTCAGCCTGAGCTCCAGAGATGCCCAGGCCCGGAAGGACACGTAGGGGAAACCAGCTGCTCACTTTGGTCTTGTCCGCAACGGACCTCTTGCTGCCAGGAAAGAAAGGCGTCGAGTCCTGTCCTGTTGGGTAGGCGGAAGAGAGATCAAAGGGAAGACAAGAAATATCCTGGGAGGTTTCAGGATCTAAAGTTACCATGAAGTCAACCTAACCTCCTCTGGAGGTCCTCCCAGTCCTCCCGTGGCTGGCGATGGTGAATCGAGTTTCCGTCTCCAGTTTGCCAAGGCAGACAAAGCCGACACAATGGGCCTGTCCACTATCTTCTTTCATATACACAAAATGTCAGCTTTTCCTGTTTCTAACTGGCAACATCCCGCCTGATGACCAGCTTAGGAAATTAGAGACTCTCCATGGGATTCCATCTGTGTCTTAGTTCGGGCTTCTCTAACACTGTACCATACATAAACTGGGTGGCTGATTCACAACAGAAATTGATTTCTCACAGTTCCGGAGGTTGGAAGTCCGAGATCAAGGTGCCGACATGGTAGGTTTATGGTGAGGGCCTTTTGTTCTGGTTGTAGACTGCCACCTCCTCATTGTATCCTCAGGGGGCAGAAAGAGGGCGAGAGAGCTCCCCGAGGTCCCTTTTATAAGGGCATTAGTCCCATTCAGACTAATGGGACTAAATCCAGACTCTGTGCTGAGTGTTGTGGATTTTTTGCATGTTCATCCTCCCCGCAGGCAACTGGAGATGTATTGTCCCCAGAGGGTACAATAGAGAATCTTCCGTCACAAGTCAGCAACCAGCATATGTGAGTGACAGCATGTGTCCCACTCAGAAATGAGAGTGTATTAGTCCGTTTTCACGCTGCTGACAAATACATAACATAGTCCGGGATGAAAAAGAGGTTTAATTGGACTTACATTTCCATATGACTGGGGAGGCCTCAGAATCATGGCGGGAGGCAAAAGGCACTTCTTACAAGGCAGCAGCAAGAGAAAATGAGGAAGAAGCCAAAGCAGAAACCCCTGAGAAACCCAGCAGATAGTGAGACTTATTCACTATCAGGAGAATAGCACAGGAAAGACCCACCCCCATGATTCAATTACCTCCTCCTAGGTCCCTCCCACAACACATGGGAATTCTGGGAGATACAATTCAAGTTGAGATTTGGGTGAGGGCACGGCCAAACTATATCAGAAAGGGATGAAGTGACAGCATATCCTGATGTGTGTGATGGTTTTATGAGTTATTACCTATTTCAAAAATTATTGCAATGTGTAAAAAAGAACAAGGACTTGTACTATCTGACTTTAAGGCTTACTATAAGCTATTACAGACAAGGCATCAGGAGTGACAAATAGATAAACAGACTGAGTTAAGAGACTTGAAACTGATCCACAGCTATACGGTCAATAAATGGGTTTTCAATAAAAGCGGTTCAATAAAAGAAAATAAATCATTTCAATTAATGGACTTTTATATGAATGTGGGGAGACCAACAATGTTATTCTCCCTCACACTACACACAAAAGTAATTTCAGGTGCATTACACACCAAAACTTAAAAGTTAAAGATATAAAGCATTTCAAGGATAGTTTGTGACTTGTTGGTAGGCAAAGATCACCCTACAAACAAGCAGGACACAAAAAATACATATATAAGAAAGACATGATAAATGAGACTTCATCAACATTAGCCACACCTTCTCATCAAAAGATACCACTAAGAAAGTGAAAAGGCAAGCAAGTCACAGACAGAGAGAAAATAGCCACAAAACGTGTCTGACCTCCACACCCTGCAGTTATAATTATAGTGGTCTGGTACACTGCACGCAGTTTCTGCTGAATGGAGTATTTTCTGGGTGTCTCTAATGAGTAAGAGAGGGCCCCATGGGATATTCCTTCAGTTCCCAGGTGAACAGTGGGAAAGACTCCACGTTGACCAACCTCGGGGGCCTAAAAATCCAGGTCCTATAGGAGGGTGGAGTATACCTGGACCCTGACCCAGACCCCTGGATGGGCTGTGCCAAGAGACCCAGCAAGGGAAGGGATTTCCTCCTGCCTCAAGTTCTCTGTCCTTCTGTGGTTAGACGACCTGAACCCAACTCCCTCCCCAAGCACTAGAGATGGGCTTTTCCAAGGGCTGGGGATCTTGCTGTCCTGAGAACAGCTGAGCAAGGGGGTCCAGGAGGAGCTTGGGTGGTGGAGGAGAGGAAACCGGGTAAGATGCATGAAGCCGTTGGCTATACCAGGCACAGAGAGGACCCACTGGGACCCAACGGCCTGCATGTGAAGCCAGGCCTTGGGCCACCTCGTTCCTCAAAGGGGTGCTGACTTCCATGGGGTGTTCAAAGGGACTGTGGAAAGAGAGGCCTTCAGCCCACACCTCTGAATGCTTTTCGACCACAGCATGCCCTGTGGCCTTTATCCTGCTGGTGTGGAACAGTCAGAGCCCTGCAGGGCTGCAGAGCTTCTGTACTGGGCGGCATCCCAGCCTGAGTGTCAGAGCTCAGAGAGCAGGCACCGGAGCAAGTAGAGAGGAGGGCACCTTTGGACACAATGTGTGGGACAAGAGCGACGGCTCATCCATTCAGGTTCCTCAGAAAATGAGAGTCAGGAAGATGAGGGCGCAGACCTGATTCCCTACACAGGGCTGAAAGCAGACAACCGGAGGAAGAGCAGCACCTGGGCCAATGAGGTAGAAGACAGAAGACCACAGTGTACTCCTGCCCTCAATCTCACCCCTTCCCACCCACATCCTCCACGCCCCCTGATCACCTTCCTCAGAAGTGTAATAGGAATCCAGATTCCCCCTGGCCTGGTTGCTGCGGGAGGCACAGTGGCCTGATGGAGCCTGAGGCAGGTGTGGGAAGATGTGGATTGTCTAACTGGAGGTTGGGAGTTCAGGGTGAGGAAGGAGAAGCTTGGAGTGCAGGATTTGGTGGTATGTATGTGGCTGTAGGCAAAAGAAAGAGACAACTATGCCACTTGAAATACCATGAGAATTCAAATTTAGAAAATTCCCAGGGAAGTATGCATGCAGGCACTCATGAGATCCAAAAAACAGCTGCTGCTTAACTGCGTGTTGCAAGCAAGCCCTAAATTGCTGATTTTGAAACAGCCTGATGGGTTCACAAAGACAATTTCTGAATAGTCTTAAGAGCAGAGGTGCACTAAAGCCACTGTGCCCCGCAGCTCAGGATCCCAGAAAGTTCTTTAAGGAGTAAGTCTTACTTCCATTTATGGAAGATTTTTGGAGTTGTCCTTAGTCACCCCCAAAAATGTTTTGGTTAGGAGTAGAATTTTAGATGTCATCAATTTAAAAATTAAAACTGAAACTCTGGAACTCATAGAGAGATAAAATTAAGAGAATACATTCACATCCTGAGTAGAAAGATTTTTATAGAACATGACGGGCTTTAAAAATAAAGAAAAAATATGGCAAAATTTCATCAAATTAAATGCTTTCAGAACTAAAATTAAAATCTGAAGCCACCCAACTAGCTGGACAGATGGCTTCTTTGCCAAGGAGACCCCAGAGAAGTCTTAAATACTGAGTTCCTGGCCAGTACTTGGAAGCTCAGACACCTCTCCTTATACTCTCTCCCTTTGTGGTTTAGACACAACTGACCAGCATTATTGTTAAAATAGAGAACCTAAGACTGACAGAACAGAGTCCTTACAGTAGTAAGATACCATATTATAAACAAGACCTAAGGCCATGTCAGGCAAGGTTAAGTCATGCACCCCTCAACTTAAAGAATAAACTATGTTCTAATTGCCACAGGTTTTTTTCTTCTTCCCTTTTTTCTCTAGCTAAACAAGCACTGGCCTTGAGATAAGCAATGCTGAAGCACTTGCAGCTCACCCATTACCATAAACTGACTGAGCCCTCCCTACACAAGCCATAACTACAGCTTTGATTGGACAAGGGACTGATTTCAGTAACTTCCCCTTGATAAGAGAGCACTGGCTGTGGACGGGTTCTGGACGGTTTACAGAGGCTGTGCACTTGACTGCCTTTGTGTCCCTGCTTCCCCTTTTGAAGCATAGGGCCTAATTATAATGTATTTAAATGTTGTCTCCACCCCAAAGTGAACATGGGTTGCATGTAACAGGCATGTTTACTCAGCATGCATGCAGCAGGATCCCTTCATGAATATTCAGAGCTCCTCCTATTCCCTGTTGAATATGTATATGTGGCCCACCACATCAACATAAATCCCTGTTCCCCCCTCCCCTCCCTGGAAACGTACTTTTCAGGTTTCAGCAGGAGGGTATGCCTCCCTGTCTGTCGGAATGGCCACCTTGCAGGCTGTAACCATTTATAAAAAATAAAATCTCCCTTCTAAATTTATAAATTGTGTGATTTTTCAGTTGACAGCTTTCAGTCAGACTTTTCACTGACTGGGAAAATTCATTTGCAATATATTTATTTTAAAAATGACTCCTCAGCATACAAAATTCTTGTGCAAAGATCACAAGCATTCTTATACACCAATAACAGACAAACAGAGAGCCAAATCATGAGGGAACTCCCATTCACAATTGCTTCAAAGAGAATAAAATACCTAGGAATCCAACTTACAAGGGATGTGAAGGACCTCTTCAAGGAGAACTACAAAACACTGCTCAACAAAATAAAAGAGGATACAAACAAATGGAAGAACATTCCACGCTCATGGGTAGGAAGAATCACTATCAGGAAAATGGTCATACTGCCCAAGGTAATTTATAGATTCCCTGCCATCCCCATCAAGCTACCAATGACTTTCTTCACAGAATTGGAAAAAACTACTTTAAAGTTCATATGGAATCAAAAGAGAGCCCGCATTGCCATGTCAATCCTAAGCCAAAAGAACAAAGCTGGAGGCATCACGCTACCTGACTTCAAACTATACTACAAGGCTACAGTAACCAAAACAGCATGGTACTGGTACCAAAACAGAGATATAGACCAATGGAGGAGAACAGAGCCCTCAGAAATAATGCCACACATCTACAACTATCTGATCTTTGACAAACCTGACAAAAACAAGAAATGGGGAAAGGATTCCCTATTTAATAAATGGTGCTGGGAAAACTGGCTAGCCATATGTTGAAAGCTGAAACTGGATCCTTTCCTTACACCTTATACAAAAATTAATTCAAGATGGATTAAAGACTTAAATGTCAGACCTAAAACCATAAAAAGCCTAGAAGAAAACCTAGGCAATACCATTCAGGACATAGGCATGGGCAAGGACTTCATGTCTAAAACAGCAAAAGCAATGGCAACAAAAGCCAAAATTGACAAATGGGATCTAATTAAACTTAAGAGCTTCTGTGCAGCAAAAGAAACTATCATCACAGTGAACAGGCAACCTACAGAATGGGAGAAAATTTTTGCAATCTACTCATCTGTAGATTCATCAGAATCTACAAAGAACACAAACAAATTTGCAAGAAAACAACAAAGAACCCCATCAACAAGTGGGCGAAGGATATGAACAGACACTTCTCAGAAGACATTTATGCAGCCAAAAGACACATGAAAAAATCCTCATCATCAGCGGCCATCAGGGAAATGCAAATCAAAACCACAATGAGATACCATCTCACACCAGTTAGAATGGCGATCATCAAAAAGTCAGGAAGCAACAGGTGCTGGAGAGGATGTGGAGAAATAGGAACACTTTTACACTGTTGGTGGGACTGTAAACTAGTTCAACCGTTGTGGAAGTCAGTATGGTGATTCCTCAGGGATCTAGAACTAGAAATACCATTTGACCCAGCCATCCCATTACTGGGTATATAAATCATGCTGCTAAAAGACAAATGATTATAAATAAATTATATATTTATTTGATTTATATGATTATAAATAAATGATTATTATAAATGATTATAAATGCCAAAGGATTATAAATCATGCTGCTATAAAGACACATGCACACGTATGTTTATTGCGGCACTATTCACAATAGCATAGACTTGGAACCAACCCAAATGTCCAACAATGATAGACTAGATGAAGAAAATGTGGCACATATACACCATGGAATACTATGCAGCCATAAAAATTGATGAGTTCATGTCCTTTGTAGGGACATGGATGAAGCTGGAAACCATCGTTCTCAGCAAACTATCGCAAGGACAAAAAACCAAGAACTGCATGTTCTCACTCATAGGTGGGAATTGAACAATGAGAACACTTGGACACAGGAAGGGGAACATCACACACCAGGGCCTGTTGTGGGGTGGGGGGAGGGGGGAGGGATAGCATTAGGAGATATACCTAATGTAAGTGACGAGTTAATGGGTGCAGCACATCAACATGGCACATGTATACATATGTAACAAACCTGCACGTTGTGCACATGTACCCTAAAACTTAAAGTATAATAAAAAAAGTCAAAAAAAAGACTCAATTCTTGAATATACAAGAGAGCTTTTGTAAATCAGTAATATAGAGCTAAGCCAAATAAAATAGGGCAAAATATTCGAATAGGCCTTTGCAAAGGAGAGTTTCTTATATGCTGGAAGCCACAAGAAAGTATGCTTCATAGGATTGCTCATTAGGCAAATACAAATTAATTCCACACTGAGATAGCACTAACCACTCACCAGTGTATGGCTACTTTTTTTTTTTTTTTCTGAGACAGGGTCTCATTCTGTCACCCAAGCTGGAGTGCAATGGTGCGATCTTGACTCACTGCAACATCCCCCTCCGGAGTAGCTGGGACTACAGGTGCATGCCACCATGCCCGGCTAATTTTTGTATTTTGAGTAGAGACAGGGTTTCGCCATGTTGGCCAGATTGGTCTGAGAGCATAGCTACATTTAACAAAGTTAGTACACCAAATGCTGACAAGAATTTGGTGCCACTTCAACTGTCATCGCTGGTGAAAAAACATTCTAGAAGACTGGCAATTTATACTGATGTTAAACTTATACTCAGGTCATGACCCAGCAATTGAAGGACTTCCATGAATCTCAAGTGCACACAAAGACTGTTATAAGAATATTCAGCACAAGAATTCAATAACCCCAAAATTGAGAAGTGATCTATGAAACTACATGGATATATCTCATGAGTATAATGAATGTAACTGCAGAAAAAAGGCCAGACACAAAACATATGTACATTCATTCATGTGAACTTTAAGAACAGGCAATTGTAACCTGTGGGAATAGACATCAGAATAGTGATAACTAAGAGGACACAGGGTGGGAATCACCTGGACAGGGGCTCTAACAGGCCTTTCTCAGATGATGGCAATTTTCTATAACTTGAGCTGGGTGGTGATAACATTGATCAAAACTAAACAAATTGCACTAAAGATTTGTGCACTTTATGTGAACTGTAGCTTCTTTACTGTTCTCATTGCTTGAACCTGGGAGACAGAGGTTGCAGTGAGCCGAGATTGAGCCACGGCACTCCAGCCTGGGTGACAGAACAAGACTACGTCTCAAAAACAATAATAATAGTAATAATTTACTGTTCTCATAAAAAATTAGCGGATGGGGAATGGAGGTAAGCCTGTGCAGACCATGACAACTAGTTTAGATTTTATTGTCAGCTCATTAAAAACTCGTTCTCGTTTTGTGTTTTTAAAAAATTCCACTGATACAGCCGTTTTCTCTACCAGAAAAGACTATAACCGCATTATTTCATCAGTGGAAGCTACAGACAAAGGGCCCTTGAGAGGCAGCATCTTCACCTACGGGAATTTTTCCTGCTCAATTGTGAGACAAAGAGCATGTCCAAGTTTTCCTATCGGCCAGGCCGCCCCCTAGTTTCTGCGCTGTGGGCTAAACTCCAGAAGCTGGCGCCCTTCGGGGCCAGAGGTTTACTCTGCTCTCTGGAGGCTGCTAGGATTAAAGGCAAAGCAAACGACAGGTCTATTAGCCACAGTTGCAGGCTAGAAAACACTACTGTGACTCAGATTAGAACCCAGGTTGTGGCAACCACAACTACAAGTATTAACTACTACACGACCACAAAGCCTGCTGACAAGCATTGCACTTCTTCTATTTTTTGAATGTAAAAACACTCACACTATTTTATCTGCTTTATTGTTGGACGTCCGCAGATTTTCGTGCTTTTCTGTCTTTCATGCGCTTCTCCCTTTCTCTCCCCATTCTGCTACATAATTAAAAAAAAATCTCATCTCTCAGGATCCGACCACTGCCTCTACAACAAGCCTCCTGGGAGGTCTCTTTGTCCCATTGACATCTCTGCCTTCTTTCGCTGCTTTTTTTTCTTTCTTTCTTTTTTGACGGAGTCTCGCTCTGTCGCCCAGGCTGGACTGCAGTAGCGCGATCTTGGCTCACTGCAACCTCCGCCTCCTGAGTTCAAGCGATTCTCCTGCCTCAGCCTCCCAAGTAGCCGGAATAGCAGGTGCATGCCACCACATTCGGCTAATTTTTGTATTTTTAGTAGAGACGGGATTTTTCCATGTTAGCCAGGCTGGTCTTGAACTCTTGACCTCAAGCGATCCATCCGCCTCGGCCTCACACAGTGCTGGGATTACAGGCGTGAGCCAACGTGCCCGGCCAAATTTCAGGCCAACACCTGTTGACAGACATTGCCAGACACACGGAATCCCTCGCAGAACACCGATGGGCCCACAAAGCACGCGGAGGCCGCGGCCGCTGACGATGTGAGCAAATTCGGTTCACGGTGTCTGGGGTACAGCCCTGAGGGTCCACTGGCCACCTCTGCGCAAGGACCAGTCCCCGCCGCTCCCCTCATCTCCACGCAGATTCTTCCCCACACAGCTTCCCTTTCTTTGGGCCGCTGAAGCCTCTTGGACCTCTGACGTGACTGTCCTGCCCGCAGCTTCTCTCCTTCCAAGAGCGTCATTTCTTGATCCTCTCTACAGCGGCTCAGCAGTAAGCCCAAGGTCCAGCACGCGAATCAGGAACCTGATGATTCTTCGGGTTTGCAGGGATCCGCCCCGTGAATAGATGAAAGTAACAGGTACCAATATCAAAACTGCAGTGACTCACCGGAAAGACTTCGTGCTTGCCACTTTGCTAAGCTGTTTGAGTCCAACAATTGCATGGGTCCTGGGTTAGTGTCCTGAATGTCTCTTGCCGCTACTCTCGTGAGTAATGTTGTCACTTTACCTTGTGGTGGCCAAGCCCCTAAATGCACTATTAGGTTATGCAGTATAATTTTGCAGCGTAAAAGATGGGTAAAGGGCCATAATGAAATGAAGAAGTACCTGCTGCATTGGCCGGGAATTGAACCCGAGTCTCCCACGTGGGAGGCGAGAATTCTACCACTGCACCACCAATGCCTCTACACACCCATGTCCTGGAGGATAAGAGAAAAGAGTATCCAAAAAGACTTAGAAACTTCCAACCGCCTTTTTCAAGTGTCGACTAAAAGCTAACAAACACATCCAAACCAAATGTTTTTATAGGAAACTTTTACTAGACAAAGTTATAAATATCAAAATAGCTCATTTGGTGGATCAAACTCTTAACTCTGAAAAAGGTCTTTCTACCTGCATTATAAACCCCTATAATAAAACATCAGAAATTCATTCATGTTTCTTTTTTCTAATCTTAAATCTTCCATTGTCAATCTCAAACTGCTGCCTTAGAGGTTCTGAGAAGGTAACCTAACTGGTAGTTTAGGTAAATAAAGTTCAAATCCAGGGAGGAAATAAGAAGCAGAAGCAGAATTAGAAGAAAGACGAAATAAAAGGACAGAATCAATGTACAGATAATGAAGAAACAAAGGTTGGTCCACTAAGTTAGTCTTTTGTCGCTGGTTTTTTTGGCAAAAGAGTAATGATCGGTCTCGTAATCATTATAATACTATTATTTGTCTGCTTGAAGATGTATAAAGCATTTGAAGGAAATGTGATGTGAAAAGATTAAGAACCCTTGCCGTCAATGTTTCCTTGTTTGGGAGAATCCCATTTCCTAAGTTAATATGCTTTGATGTATTAGCTATGAAAGGAGTAGACTAGTTTAAGGAAATATTGACGGTCAAAATATTAACATATTAGTCTTTTGATGAAGTTCAAATAGTAGAGAGATTTCTTTCCTCAATTTTCAACGGAGACATTCAACTGAAGAGACAAATCCAGAGTTTTCCCCACATGTTGGGTCTGGGAGTCATTATGACTTTTTCAAAGACAGGAGCTGTGACATGGAATCATGCTTCTTCTCTAGCTGAGAAGCCAAGCTAGGTCCAGGCTGCGTCATAAACTTGAGCCCACCAAGGAAATCACCCTTCACATTGACCTCGCAGAGCTTTGGCTGTTCTCTGTTCTTTGCCCAACACCCAAGACACACACCAGCTCTGGCCAACAAACCTTAACATATGATCTATATCCACCAGAGCTATATTTATTCCCAAATCTCCTTCTAAAATACAAACCTGTACTTTCTACTCTCAACTTCTAAATTTACAAAGGCCTCATATGCATCTCAGAGTCATAGATGCTAAAACTTAACCGGTTTTCTGAGGATTATTTGGGGAAGGGGTATGCATTCAAAATCTTTTGTATGTAGATAATTCGTGTGGTTTCAGATTATTGACTCTACGAGTTCCAGATGCAGATTTAGAACCTTTTAAAAAAATATTTTGTTTTTGTCTCGCAAATCAGCCAGATCTGCAACTTATCAGAGTAAAGCGAAGCCCAGCGGGACACTTAGGAAATGCATTAAGATGTCATCCACTTTCAGTGTCAGCCTATGAAAATTCAGGCGACAGAAGAGAATGAAGAGAATCTTAAGGAATTTCTGGAACCAAAGCTAACATTAAGCAGGCCTCTTGCTGGCAGACCAGTGGAAACTGTAGCCTGGTCAACAATCTGTCTAGATTGAGGAGGTCTAAAGTGTAGCCACAGGTTCAACTACTTTTCTGTTTGTTTCCCAACCTCGATTAAACTCACTAAATTTAGGGACAAAAAGAAAAACCAAAAAACCATGTTTCCCTCCAGTCTGCAGCCAAGGGTCTTTCACATGTGAGGCAAACATGATAACCACTATACTACAGAAACTGCACATACACTGGAAAAGGCAAAACATAATCATGAAAATCTGAGGTCAGCCATTTCTATTATCGTTTCCAAAGTAAGAAATTCAACTGCATTTTGAAATTCGATTGAAAAAAGCCCAATAAGCACCAGCCATCAAGAAGACTATGGCTCCCAGTAGGCCCAGGCTTAGCGTTCCGCACCTACCCCCAACACGAAGACCACGGGGACCCACACCCGGGCTTCGGGATCCCGCATCCTCCCCCGGGTATCCAGTTCCAGAACTAAGCGCCGTGTGCGGGATCCTTCCGGCTGACACTCTTGGCTCCCAGAAGCTCCAGAAGCTGCAGAAGCCGGCGGGCTTTGAGCTTCCGAGCCCCGGGCGCCCCGTGCCTCGCAGGAGTGTGGACGCCGCCCTTCCAGGGATGCGGACCCCGCCTCGGGGCCTTTTCCCCGGCGCCAGCTGTCAGAGCTCTTGGCTCTTCGCGTCCTCCCAGGAACCGTAGGACCCTCCTTGCCCTCCCTTCCGCAGGCCGAGGGGCGCGAGCTGCGGGCTCTTTCCTCACGGACCCTTTGGCCTCAGCGCCTCGACGTCTTTCTCCCAAAGGGCATCCTTCACTGCTGCTGTCTCTTAGTCTGCCCCACTCAATTTAAGTAATAGTTAATCACACTTCCAGATTTCAGCAGGTACCGTAGCAAAGGCTGTGTCTCAGGGCACTTGGCTGTTTGAAAATATGGGCACATCAACTCAGGCCAAGCCACCGAGTACAAAACCCTGGAAGACCCGGGGGCAGCCCACTTAGATTTCACGATCGCTCCTCTCTCCCTCGTCGGTCTTCTGATTCTTCTTGAAGGGCAGTTTCATTTTACCCTTTACAAAACTGAAACGTCTTATATGTGCTTTTTGTAATTTTTCTGTTCAATAAGGTTTTGGAGTGCGGATTTTAACCTAAGAGGGACAAAGAGATAAAGGCGGTTTTCACAGAAAGCGTCTCGATGGATTTTCACGTTCACCTGGCAGCAGATGGCCAACAGGCAGAAAGAGTCTCTTTTTGCTTGAAGACATTAAAATCAATCTCTCTCCCCCCCCCTTCCCCTCTCTCTCTCTCAATGCCAAAAATTAGCTTCTTGGGAGGCCGAGGCAGGAGAATCGCTTGAACCCAGGAGGCAGAGGTCGCAGTGAGCCGAGATCGTGCCACTGCACTCCAGCCTGGACGACAGAGCAAGAGTGTCTCAAAAGTTTGGAGAAGAAGGTGCCATTTTCCCTAGTTGCTTTTCTTATTGCAGTGGTGACCGCATTGCCTTCAAACCTGAAGTCCGAGTGCTTCCGCCCTGGGGAATATACAGACCGCTGGGTCACTGGACGCCAGGCCGCGGTGCTGGCCTAGTTCTGCTTTTGGCTTTCAATGCAGTCGGCGGAGGCGACTGGACCTCACCAGAGACTGGTGGGATGTTACCCTCACCAGCGACTGGAGGGCCGAGCTCCCAAAGAGGCCTACTTCATGATAGCCTTGAATCAGGAAATTTCATGAAATCCCACCCCTCTACTGCCCCATTCCCATATTCTATCTCCTCCCCATATTCTGTCTCCTCCCCTGCCCACTCTGAGAGGATTCGCCGCCTTTCTGTCGCGTCTGGACCCTTTGGAGTCCCACATGGACAAGACAAAAGGGGCACTGCCTTTTCCTACAGGAGCGGGAGGAGCCCTCACGGCGGAGGAAACACAGGCTCACAGAGCGCATCCCCACACACCTGAGCCCTGCCGGGTTCCAGAAAACCCAACAAAGCATTCTCTGAAGCTTCTCTTGGATATGTACCCAGAAATAGGGTTCCTGGATCATAGGGTAGATTCTATTTTTAGTTTTTTGAGGAAACTCCATACTGTTTTCCACACCAGCTGTACTAATTTACATACCTATTCACAATGTGTGTGTTCCCTTTTCTCTGCATTATGTCTAACACATCATTCACCTTTTTGATAAATGCCACTCTAACAGGTGTGAGATGATATTCATTATGGTTTTAATTTGCATTTCCCTAATGATTAATGATGCTGAGCATTTGAGAAAAGCTAATTTTTAATGCCTTAATGTTGAGAACTGACAACATTGTTGTGAAAGATAGGAAGCAATAAGGTAAAAACAAAACAATGTCATTCAAACAGGATATCAGATTTGCACATAGGCCTTTGTGGGGCAAATGGGAACCCAGCGCACAAAAAGTTGAATTATATGGAAGCAATATCACAAATGAGTTAGGAAATGTGAAAAAAATAACCAATAAGAGAGATATAATTAAAAATAGACCTAATGGATTCACACTATCACTACAAATACTGGAAGCCCTGGGGTTTCATTTGGGGGAAAGAAATATTTGCTTTCATACACGATCAAAACTAATGAAAAAGCTAGATCCTGAGTTACTTTTCAGGCCTTTACGTTTAAAACTTAAAGTTAGCCAAAGAAAGTCCACTTTGAGATGGAAATATGAAAACCCGAATTAGCCTGGGGAAAAATCAGACCCCTAGGCACTGTTTGATTTTCTCACTTTAAAGTGGGAAATTAGATCAGATGCACCTTAAGGTTTTTCTGGTGTTAACACTCATGGTTCATCATTTTTTTCTTTTTAAAGAAAATAGGTATATTGAAACCAATAGAACAAGATAATATATATTCAGAAGGCACTTTAATCATGGGTAAACTTCATGAAAGTTAGACATTATTTTTAAGCAGAAGGAACCCTTAAGGCCTAGAAAAGAATAATGCTGTGCCCACACTCAAGACTAATGGCAAAGTGTGTTTTAGTTAAGTTACTTGGAAAGAGTTTATATAGAATGACAACATCACATAGTTTAAATGAGGGGTGGGATCATAAGCTTTCAGAAGTAGCTTTATTGGGTCCCCCTTCCTTTATTTTGTCACAAATGCTAGGGGGGCACATATGGAGATGGCCACCAGCCTGATTAAGCCTGCCAACAGAGTCTTAGAGACAGACATTCCCAAGAGCCTGTCAAATCTCAGGTTCACAAAGCCCAAGGAAGATTGGGTGCCTGGGAATTGAGCGGCTTTGTCTAAGGATCTTTCTTCTTTGACCTGGGTGCACATGTCTTCACAACCTCAACTGCTATGCTACTGAACGCCATTGCACATGTATACTGTGAATCGACCCTACCACAAACCTGTGACCTAGATTTGAACATACTTTGTTATGGGGAACAGCAAAAGTCAGTGGCTTTGCAGCAACCCCGAGAGCTCTGTCAATCGTTGATCCATATAAGCTGTTCAGGGCCCTGCTCTGCTTAATGTATTGGTGACCTGAAGACCTAAATGGAGATCTAAAGCATATAATTAATTCTACAAATCATCCCCAATCAGCGGGCCACTACATGATTTGTGGAAATGCACATCGAATATTTGGATGACTTGGATAATTGGGGAATGATTCAGTATAGCCAGAATGAATTTATAAGTGACAATTACAAGTCACAATATTTATAGAGATAAAAGAAAACAGCATGACCCAGCAACAGCTGTGGGGGAGGGGTGGAAAATTCAGAGGTCGAAATTGACCCTAAGTTAAGTAAAAGCTCCAAATGCTGCCACCGAGAAGGAAAAGAAGCCAATGTGACATTGGGACGTAGTAAGATTCATATTGGACAGACAGGCAGGAACTCCTTGTACTGAAGTAATTAGTCATATGATAAGTGGATTATCATACTCAGATTTTGATTTGCACCCTTTTAAGAGCACAGGAAAAGACCAAAGATAAGCCCAAAATGAACAATAACAAAGTCTAAAAGTGAACAAGTTCCCATTTGAGGAAAAGCGATAAGATCTGCTTTAATTAAAACATTGATGAATAACTTCAAGAGTGTCCTCGAGAAATAGAAAGGTGCTGGGCAATTGTTCCTGCCTCTGTTTCTTCCACATGCTGAGATTTGTAGAGAGAGTTTGTCCGGCAGCATCGGCACAAGGATAATAACCAAAAAGTGAGGTTGGCTGCTCGGCAGGGTGGCTTCACCTCCACCTCTCAGTAGCTGCAGAGTGTGATTCTTCTACTGCCAATGAAATAGTTGGTGTTGGCAGGGCACGGTGGCTCACGCCTGTGATCTCAGCACTTTGGGAGGCTGAGGTGGGCAGATCATGAGGTCAGGAGATCGAGACCATCCTGGCTAACATGGTGAAACCCCGTCTCTACTAAAAATACAAAAATAAAAAAATTATCCAGGCGCGGTGGCAGGTGCCTGTAGTCCCAGCCACTCGGGAGGCTGAGGCAGGAGAAAGGCGTGAACCCAGGAGGTGGAGCTTGCAGTGAGCCGAGATCGCACCACTTCACTCCAGCCTGGGCGACAGAGCGAGACTCCGTCTCAAAAAAAATAAATAAATAAAATAAAATAAAATAAGAAAAAGGAAATAGTTGGTGTTGTCTTCCCTGCGTAGCTCCACCTTATTCTAATTCTGTGACTGGGTCTGCTGACTTTCCCCAGTGCCCTGAGTCCTCCCTCTCAGCTGCCCTTGAGGGAGTCGGAGTTACAGGCAGGGCCTCAGGCTTTGCGCCCAGATATCTTAAGCCATCATCTCCCGCCATCCAGGACTCAGGTGTTGCAGAGCTGATGGAGCTTCCTGACTTGTGACAAAACTCGCAGGACCCTGTCTCCTCAGGAAGAGAAGAATCACCACATTCACACCCTCCAGCCCTGTTTCAACCTCGTTTGTTTGCATTTGTTTTTAATTTCTTATGTGCTTTTCTCCCTCACCATCTCTGGATTCTCTTCGCCTCTATGGGGAAATTCCTCCTGCTCATTTGGTGTGTCCTTCCTACCCAAACCAGTCCCCAGGGCCCTTATTGCCTGACTAAGGCACTGAGGTTGGGTTGCTGGAGGCGCACCAAGGTGGAGGTCTCTGTTCCCACGTGACACCTAGGAAGGGTGGAGAGAGAGGGGGCAAGTGTTGGATGCAGGGGCTGCCCCCCAATCCTGATGCTAGCTTGGTACAGCCCCACAGCCCCCCTTCCTGGCCCTGCTCAGCCCAGTAACCCTGTGTCACTCCTTCAGGCATTCCCTGAGCCCCTGGGAGTCAGGGCTGTGGCCCTGGGCCTGGAGCCAGTCTCCTGCCATGACAACCAGGTGCCTGTCGTGTAGGCAGCTCGCAGTCAGGACCTGCAGCCTCTGAAAACCCTGCACGGTGCTGCCTATTGGCTACGTACGGTTCAGAGAGGGCCAATTAGTTGCCCAAGGACAGAAGCAGGATTCAAACCCAGGATCCGCTTGACCCAAAAAAACCATTGCTGAGTGAGGCCTGGCCAATTCTTCCAGGGAAGACAGAGAGCACAGAGCTACCTTCCAGGCCTGTGGGAGTCTGGGAGCGGCCCAAGCCAGGGGCGGGGCAGCAACAGGCTTTAGGACTTGAACCCGCTCTCCTCCCACAGGACAAAGACAATTCTGGTCCCACAGTCTTGCATCTGACTGCCCGCTTTGGCCACCCCAAGGTGGTGAACTGGCTCTTGCATCATGGCGGTGGGGATCCCACCGTGGCCACAGACATGGGCGCCCTGCCTATCCACTACGCTGCAGCCAAAGGAGACTTCCCCTCCCTGAGGCTTCTCGTCAGGCACTACCCTGAGTAAGATCACTCCTCTTAAGGGGTCCTCTGGGTGGGCCGGGCCAGGGCTTTGGGGGATGCCTGGGATTTTCCACACTTCTC
Source organism: Homo sapiens (assembly GCF_000001405.40). NCBI lineage: Eukaryota > Metazoa > Chordata > Mammalia > Primates > Hominidae > Homo > Homo sapiens. Next base: position 533,643 of record NW_025791756.1, read on the forward strand.
TGGCACTCCAGGGCAATGATCCCTCCAGTAGCCATCCTGGGGCCAGAGGGCCAGGCCAGAGAAATGGCTCCCACTCAACATGAAATCTTCCCCTCCTGGAAAACCCCTTCTGGGGCTGCCCCCAGAGCCCTGCAAGCAGGTGCTCCCAACATCCTCAGCTGCCCGGCCGCACGCAGCTGGACCTGGGAGGCTGGGCACACAGGCCAAGGTCACCTGTTCCCCTTGGGCTGCTTCTGCCGCAGGGGCTCTCTCTGGCTCAGGCTGTGCTCATTTGCAAGACTGTTCAGAATGGAGTTGGGGGCAGCAAGGGCAGGAGCGCCTCCTAGGCCCTAGTCAAACAGGCAGAAAGGGAACCCCATTAGTTACCAAGCAGTTAAGGGAGAAAGGCCCCTCCCCAACCCCCACCCCACCTCCTGACCCCAGAGCCCCTGGCTGGAGGCCATCCAGAAAGCAACTTGTTATCTCCTGTGGCCCCTCAGCCCGTTCCCACTATCAAGGGAAGCATGGGGATCCCAAACCTCCTGGGGAGTGGTCTGGGAGCTCCCCCGGGTGGGGTGGGGGGTCGAACAGAGCAGGTGGCATGTGTGAGTCTTGGGGAGGGAGGAAGAGACTCAGGTCTTAGGTGCGCCTGGGGAGGCAGGGATCCTGGGAAAAGCTGCCCAGGCCCTGTCTGAGAGGGTAGGGTGCCAGATGCCACAGGGGTCTGAGCGGGGAGTGGGTTACTCTGATGGGTGACCCTCGTTAGTCTAAGTGGGAGCCTGAGATGGAAATGTGAATGTGGACCCAGCCTCAGGACGAGAGCAGCTACGAGGTGAGAGGGTCTGGCCTGTCCCCACCACTGGTCAGTTTCTGGGTGTGCCTGCAGGGCCCCTGGCCACCAGGGAGCAAGCTGGAGGCCAGTTCTGGCCATATGGCCATGTGGCAAGGTAGCCACAGCTGCAGCCTCTTGGGCCCAGGCACACTGGCGTGGATGTAGGGTGGCCCTAGGACCCACCAGGCCGGGCTCCAGTGGTCCCCTCAGCCCAGGACAAGGGAGCTGGGCCTGGTTCCATCCTTGCTAAGAAGGGGCTCCCTGGTTTGGTTAGTGGGAGACCCAACAGGCAGCACCCGGAGGAAGGGGTGCTTCACAACCAGCCCTGCCAGGCCTTCTTGGTGGCTGCTTTGGTATGAATTCACTGCTTCCAAACAAACTAGGGTTTGGATCATGTCAAAGTCAGTGGGATTTAGACTAGGAGGGACCCAGGGACCCTTGAGTAGAGGGTTCCAACTGGCTCCTGTCAACACCTCTTGGAGGCTGTCCCAGATTCCTGAGTTAGACTCTCCAGGTTGGGGCCTGGGAGCCACACCTGGGACATGTCCCCACCCTCATGGCGGTGATTCTGATGCACCTGTCCCACCCCCTCACTTCAAGCAGAGGAGAAGGACAGGTCTTGAGAGGGGCAGGTGCCCCTGATGGCGGGACCAATATGGCCCAAGTGTGAACTGGAAGACGCTGAGCCCGCCTTATGCAAGTGCTGGTGGGGACCGCCGGCCCCTAAGCCTTCCTCACTGAGAAGCCACGATCCCTCCGTGGGCTGGATCCCAGGTGTTAGGAAGACTGGCTGTGCTGTGGAACGCCCTCCAGGGCTCCGGGGCTGGGGAACCCTGACCCCCTCCCAGGCCATGCCAGGTGCTGTGTGTGATTGGGCGCTGGTGCCGACCCAGTGGCCAGATGGCCTGGACTGATGAGCTGCCAGCCCCCCAGGAGTCACCATGAATCTCAGGGAGGTGGACAGAGGGCTTGGGCTCTGTTCCCCACAGCAGCATGTGACTCGACTGATAAGAAGGTGTCTTTCTGTGGTTGCCAGGCTGGGCTTATGCAGGAAGAGCAGCTGGGAATTGGGGTTGGGGGCTGGGGTACCCACTTAACCTCCTATCTTGGGGGTAGGGATTCCTGCTCACCGAGGCTGTGGATATGAAGGCTGGGAGCTGGGTAGGGCAGAGGCTTGAGCTGCCCCAGGCCACAGGGCCCAATCAGGGCACCCAGGTGGCCCAGCTTCATGCTCTTGCGAGCCTCTGGGGCCTGCTGTGAATTGCTGTGAATTATTCACAAGGCTCAGCTCTCTCGCTGGCGCGTGGGTGAGTGCTGAGGGAGGAAGGGCTCCCGGACCTGCTGGTGGGAAACTCGATCCTGCCCAGGGAGGGGCTGTGGGTGGCCATGAGACATGGAAGTGACACGCTGCAGAGGAGCTGGAAGGCTGGACAGCCTCGGGGAGGCTCAGCTAATTCCAGGGCTACACCTTGGGGTGTTATAATAGAAAGTGCTTGAGATTGCAGGAATGTCCTGCACATCCCCCACACCTCCCCGTCTATCCCGTTCATGGGGCCAAGTCTTCCCAGAAGCAGAGGACTTGTCACAGTGACCTCGGGGCTGCTGCCACGTGGGACCCTCCCTCTGAGCCCTTGTAGAAAAGGGATCTCTCATACAAAATTAGCCGGGTGTGGTGGCGCGTGCCTGTAATCCCAGCCACTCAGGAGGCTGAGGCAGGAGAATCGCTTGAACCCGGCAGACGGAGGTTGCAGTGAGCCAAGATCGCGCCATTGCACTACAACCTGGGCAACAAGAGTGAAACTCCATCTCCAGGTGGGGAAAAAAAAGAAAAAGAAAAAGGACCTCTCAGTTGGGAGGTACGGGGCTGGCAGGAGCTGGGCTGGGCAAGTCCCAGGCTCTGGGTCTCAGGGAGATTGAGTTGGGAGGGTTGGCCCTCCCAGCAGGAGCTCCAGTGGCTGATGGAGGGGAACAAGGGGTCCAGACCCCCATTCAGGGCAGAGTGAGGAGGGGCGAAGAGCAGGTGGCCCCAAGGCCAGTGGCCACCCTCCCAGGAGGGTCCTGGGGCCCAGGAGCTCACTCTGCCCCCCTCACACCTGCTTCTGGCTGTCCCAGGGCCTGAGCAGCTGGACAGGGCTGTGTGGGTCGGGGAGCTGGGGATCAGCTGGGACCCTGAGGCTTGAGCTTCCAGGCTGGGGAGTGAGGAGGCTCCAGTCTCTTCCCCTGGGCTCGTGGGTGCTGCCAGTCACAGCAAGCTGGAAAACCAGTTAGCCCAGAGATGTTATCAACTTCAGCAGGTGCCTCCTTCCCCCAAAGCCTCCCCTACCCCTGACCAGACTAGACTGGAATGGGATTGGAAAATACCTGGGGCTGGGTATGGTGGCTCACGCCTGTAATCCCAGCACTTTGGGAGGCTGAGGCAGGTGGATCACCTGAGGTCAAGAGTTCAAGACCAGCCTGACCAACATGGTGAAACCCCGTCTCTACCAAAAATACAAAAATTAGCTGGGTGTGTGGCTGGGCTATGCCTGTACAGGTGGCACATGCTTGTAATCCCAGCTACTAGGGAGGCTGAGGCAGGAGAATCGCTTGAACCAGGGAGGCGGAGGTTGCAGTGAGCCCAGATCATGCTATTGCATTCCAGCCTGGGCAACAGAGCAAGACTCTGTCCAAAAAAAAAAAAAAAAAAAAAAGGAACGAATGAAAGAAAGGAAGGAAAGAAAAGAAAGGAAAGAAAAAAAGAACCTGGTGCTGAGTATCTTCTAGGGGTCTGGCACCACCCAGTGTCATCTGAGTCACACAACCACCCCGAGCAGTAGCTATGTAATCAGCCCATTTTACAGATGGACTCATTCAACTAATGTTTATTGAGCATCTTCTATGTGCCAGGCAATATTCTAAATGCCAGTGATATGCTGGTGAACCAGACAAGCGTCCCTGCCTGGTGGAGCTGACAGGTACAGAAATGGTGTTTTAGAGAGGCTGATTCACCAGCTGTGGTCATCACTGGCTTGCTGTGTGGCCTTGAGCAGGCTGTACCTCCTCTCTGGGTCTCTCTCCCACTCCTGGTCCAGGTCCTAATCACTCAGGGCCTTTCAAGTCCACTGCAGACTTCCCCTTTTCCCTTCCTTTGTGCAAAGCTTCACGGAGTCTGGCTGCTCCCACGGCCCAGGGGTTCAGGCAGCCCCCACCTGGGACAGAAAGGGAGTTTGTTGGGAAGCCCCTAGCAACTCTCAGCTTAGAGAGCCCCAGGGCCCAGGGCTCAACTCTCCCCCTTAGAAGGCTGGAGGCTCTGCCTGGGGTGGTCCCTGATTCTGCCACAGGCCGTGGGGGCTCATTCCTTTTTATCAGCAGCCCCAGATCTACCCCTGGTGTCTGTCAGTTCACCTGGCTGCAGGGCGTGGGGGCGGGGCCTGTGTCCACACTGAGGAGGTGGCTGCCGTCCTTGACTCCCTGACCCACGTGGAGGCTCTGGGAAAGGAAGGGCCTGGTGGAGTCCGGGGAAGCCCCTCACAGCAGGAGACCATCTCGTGTCTCCACCAGCAGCTCCTGGTCCCAGCTGTCATCTAACCGGGGCTAGTGCTCCTGCCCTACCCTTCTAAGGGGGAGAGCTGAGCCTTGGACCCTGGGGCTCTGTAAGCAGCACGCTGCTGGGGCATCCCAGGGCTTCTGAGAAACCCCCTTTCTGCCTCACGTGGGGGCTACCTGAACCCCTTGGGCTCAGCTGGGCCCAAGGCTCTGTGAGGCTGTGCACTACAGAACGGAAAAGGGGAAGTCCTCAGTAAGCCTGAAAGGCCCTGGTCTTCACCCGTCCATGTCCACCCGCAGCCTTTGAAAACACAAGTCCTGCTGGGTGTGGTGGCTCACACCTGTAATCCCAGCACTTTGGGAGGCTGAGGCGGGCGGAACACGAGGTCAGGAGTTCGAGACCAGCCTGGCCAACATGGAGAAACCCCGTCTCTACTAAAAAATACAAAAATTAGCCGGGTGTGGTGGCACGTGCCTGTAGTCCCAGCAACTCGGGAGGCTGAGGCAGGAGAATTGCTGGAACCCAGGAGGCGGAGCTTGCAGTGAGCCAAGATCGAGCCACTGTACTCCAGCCTGGGCGACAGAGCAAGACTCCGTCTCAAAAAAGAAAAAGAAAAGAAAAGAAAAGACAATGCAAGTCCTGGTCTGGTGCAGTGGTTCATGCCTGTAATCCCAGCACTTTGGGAAGCTGAGGCGGGCGGATCACAAGGTCAGGAACTTGAGACCAGCTTGGCCAATACGGTGAAACCCCGTCTCTACTAAAAAATACAAAAATTAGCTGGGCATGGTGGTGGGTGTCTGTAATCCCAGCTACTCAGGAGGCTGAGGCAGGAGAATTGCTTGAACCCGGAAGGCGGAGGTTGCAGTGAACCAAGATTGCGCCACTGCACTCAAGCCTGGGCGACAGAGCAAGACTCCATCTCAGGGGGAAAAATAGTTAGCCGGGTGTGGTGGCTCCCGCCTGTAGTCCCAGCTGCTTGGGAGGCTGAGGCATAAGAATCACTTGAACCTGGGAGGCAGCGGTTACAGTGAGCTGAGATTGTGCCACTGCATTCCAGCCTGGGCAACAGAGCAAGACTCCGTTTCACACAAAAAAAAGAGCACCTCCCGTCACAGGCTTCTGGCCACTGACAGGGAATGCTGCTCACTTCCTTACAATGGCCCAGAGGCTGTCCCTCCTCCGGGCTGTGGTCCCCTCCAACAGGCCAGCACCCCTGCCTTCACAGAGGCTGATCCCTCTGCAGGGATCAGAGATCCCCGCCTGCTCCCTGCCTTCCTGCAAGTCTTTGCCCAGACCTCACCTCAGCAAGGCCAACCCTGAGCCTCGCTGAAATTGTCACCCGCGCCCATGATGCCCACTCACTTTCCCGCTGGCCTTGTTCCCTGCTGCCCTTTTCCTTGAGACTCGACTCTTGCTCTATTGCCCAGGCTTGAGTGCAGTGGCACAGCTCTCTGTAACCTCCACCTCCCAGGTTCAGGTGATTCTCCTGCCTTAGCCTCCTGAGTAGCCAGGATTATAGGTGCATATGGCACCACACCTGGCTAATTTTTGTATTATTAGTAGAGATGGGGTTTCACCATGTTGGCCAGGCTGGTCTCGAACTCCTGAACTCAGGTGATCCGCCCACCTCGGCCTCCCAAAGTGCTGGGATTACAGGCATGAGCCACTGCACCTGGCCTCCCAGCCGCCCTATGGTTGCCTGGCTTTGCGTTCTGTGTGCATCCTGCGTGACAGCCGGAAGCTAACCCCTAGGAGAAGCCCCTGAGACACATTCCATCTCTTCACTCCCTGCATGCCCGGATTTCTGGCTGGGCCCTGCATCACACAGACAGATGTGTGTTTTCATCCCGTCTGTCCGTGACTAATAAGGCCAGGGGCTTTGTCTTCCCGGCTCTGTATGCCCAGAGCCTGACTCCAGTAAACATCTGCTGAATGAGTGGGGCATGGAATCCCAGGGACTTGTCCACTCTGCCTACAGCTCATTGCATGTGACCCTAGACAAAACTCCCCTCTGGGCATTTCCGAGCCTATCTGGCAAGTGGATCTAACCTGCTCTACCAGGCTGCGGCCATGAGTGAAGAGACATCCCCTACTCCTGGCCTGGATGTCCCTTCTCATATTTATTCATTCAACAAACAGCAAGTGGGTGCACTCAACTGCCCGGCCTGTCATCACGTCAGCCACACATTCTTCTATCCACGCGTGTATGGGTCTGAGGAATAGGAGAACAAGATAATTCAGGAGTGGCAAGTGCTATATAGTGAAATGAGGAGTTTGGTAGGAAGCGATGGGGATGGTTCTTTAAGTTGAGGGGTCAGGGAAGCCAGGCATCTTTGAGGGGAGGAGAGCTGAGAACCTAATGAAAAGAGGGTCGGCCTCGCAGCCCTGCCGTGGTGGAACTGGCAGTGATGTGGGGAGGTGTAGAGGCCTCAGGTGGGGTCAAATTTGGCCTAATTACGGGCCAGGAGGAAGACCTGGGAGGCTGGGAGAGTTGCAGGCAACTGTAGGCTTCTGGAACTATTCCATGCTAGCTGATGGGCTGGGGTGTAGAACCTTTCTCAAATCGGGGCTGCATTTCTTCCCTGGGCCAGGCCTACTTGGGAATCTTTTAACATAGGCCGGGAAGTTTGACTGGAGGACACCGAGAGCCGTAGATCCACCAAAGGCTCCGTGAATTTCAATTGAAAGCAGTCACGGGCCACAACCAGACTGATCCTCGGAGGGACAGCCTCTTCCTGGCCTCCCTCTGGGGAGGCGTGACTGGCAGTGGGGCGGGCTGCGGGAATCATTCTGCAGCCCGACTCTGGCTCCATGGGCAGCTCACTCCCTGCGGCGGCGCTGGCAGTCAGCTGGCACCAGTCTCCGCCAGAGATTCCCACAGCCCACACGGGGGACCCATGTTTCTTTTGTGTAATCAGAGGTGACTTGATGAATAGTTACAGTTCATCCATAGCATCTTTGTTCCCAGGAGAAAGAAAACAAATCATGATTTATACGATCATTGCCAGGGCGCCTCTGACCTACAAAGAGGGTTTGGGTCAAAGCCGGGGCAAAGGGCAAGGGCTTGGTCTGGGAGCACTTTTCTGCAGCTGTCACTGTGGTCAGGGCTAGAGCTGGCAAGGGTCTGGGAGTCAGAGGTCTCCCCCAAGACCCATCCTCTCCCCTCTAGGTAGTGTTCCCCACAGCAGAAATGATGCCCAGCCTGGCCCGTACTTGGCAGGACCCGGACACGCCAGGCCAGCCATAGACCCCCCTGGTGGCTGGTCCTCCCAGGCACAGGGAAGGATCCTAAAGTTCAGCAATGGCTGTGTGCCAGGCACCAGGCCTGTGCTCAGGGCTCTGCAGGCACTTCTCAGGCACTCCGCACGAGGTCAGGATGACAACTGTTGCCCCCATTTCATGGATGGGTTTGGGAACACAAAGAGACAAGAAGCAAGACTGTGGCACAGCTCAAAGGCACGGGACTCGAGCCAGGTCCTCCTGCGGGGCTGTGCCCCAGCAGCTGTCAAAGAGTGTTCCTGAGTTCCCAGCAGTGAGGTCTGTGGGGAAGGGCAGTGGTCTGTGCAGTGGGAGGGAGGGAGGGAGGCAGAGGGACAGACCGACCAAGAGCAGAAGGGGTGTAGACGTGGCACATTTGGAGTCAGAAGCAGGCTCTGCATCAGACACAGCCTCAAATCGGGGCTCTGCCTCTTTCTCACAGAGTGATCTTAGCTCTCTGTGCCTCAGTTTCCTCATCTGTACCAGAAGAACAATGCTAACACCTGTCCTGTGGGGTTGTTACAAAGACCAGCTGAGAGAACGTGTGTGTTGTACTCATCACAGTGCTTGAGACAGAGTAATCATTCAGTAAATGGTGGCTGCTATCACTATTATTATTATTTACTATTATTACTTTTATTAATTCCTCTCTCTAGTGATGGGAATTTTGTTTATTTTCTCATTTATTTATTTATTTTAGAGATAGGCTCTTGCTCTGACACCCAGGCTGGAGTGCAGCGGTATGATCATAGTTCCCTGCAGCCTCAACTTCTTGGACTCAAGTGATCCTCCCTCCTCAGCCTCCTGAGTGGCTGGGACTACAGGTGTGCACCAACACACCTGGCTCATTTTTGTATTGTTTGTAGAGACGGAGGTCTCTCTATGTTGCCCAGGCTGGTCTCGAACTCCTAGGCTCAGGCAGTCCTCCTGCTTTGGCCTCCCGAGGTGCTTGGATTCCAGGTGTGTGATGGGAATTTCATTTTGGTCCTTATGCTCATCCATATCTTTGTAATACTCCCCAGTGACTGTGAGAGTGCCCATTGTTCTTCTTGTCCTCAGGCCAAGGTGGAAGGGGATGTTGAGCCAGGACCCCTTCCCACCCAGCCCAACAGCATATCTGCCTCATGTTCTGGGGTATTCCAAGCTGGAGGCTCTGACTCCATAATGGGGCGCATGAGTGCAGATGGTGGAATACTAATGAGAATGGTGATGAGCTCCAGCACTTACTGAGGGCTCATTCCGTGCCAGGAACTTGGGCTGGGAGTGCCAGCCAGCGGCCCTGCAGGAGGCCGTGGGTACCACTTCCCCCTGCTGCTCAGATCCTGCTTGATGCCAGCTTCTCAGACCTTCTCTGGCTGGCTGGGCACCCCTGGGTCATGGATCTCTGCCAAGTAGGGAGTGCTGAGAGAGCAGAGCTCACTGCAGGTCTGGCCCCCCACCCGCTGTGTACACCGCCGTGGGCCTCTGCAGAAAGAACCCAGTGGGCCCCCACCAGCCCCTGATCCCCAAGACCCCGGCACTCACTGTGCCTTGGTTACGGGGTGAATAATTTAGGCCGCTGAGCGTCGGTCATGAAATATTCAACAGCCTGTTCTGATGCAGCAGTATGTGAGTGTGTGTGGGGGTGACGCTGGCGCTGGGGTGTGGAGGCTGGCAGCCACGAGCCAGCATGTTTCTGAAGATAGATACGTAGCTGGGTCTTCTGTCTCCCTCATCTGTGTTGACGGGACCCCCTCTGGATCACCAGGCATGGTGCCTGCTCCCCGCACCATCATGAAGTGCCCGGCTCAGCATCAGCCCCAGCAAATGGCAGCCCTGTGTCTAGGGAGTGGGGAGGGAGGAGAAATCAGTGAGTGGGGGTCCATGGGGGCTGCAGAGTCAGGGGTCTCAGTCAGAGTCAGCCTTGGGGTCTCAGGAGTCAGGGAAGTGGACAGAGAACCAGGGCTTTAGGGACAGGGAGATGCCAGCTGGGAGGGGCTCAGGATGTGTGTGAGAGGGAGGGAGAGGGCACACGTGACAGGGGTCAGAAGAGGGGCTGAGTCGTGTTGGGAACAAGAGGGTGGGTGGGCAAAGGGGGGTAGCCTGGTGCACGTTGATGGGCAGGCAACAAGTGGATGGGCAGTTGGATGGGTGAACGAGGGATGAATGCAGGGTGGAGCATGTGGTTGATCTACGGGGTGAAAGACTGGGGGAGGTAGATGGGCAGGATGTCAAGTCCTGTGAGGAATTGGCCTCCTAGGCACAAAAGGTGAACTGGAACCCAATAGGTCGTGGCCCCCAACCTGGAACTTCTCCTGGGTCTGGGGGTAGGTTGTGGCTCCACCTAGTGTCCTTCGGTGGCAACTGCACCCTGGGCTGTTCACACCCAACAGCCCAGCAGCCAGGACAGCCCTGCTGTTCCCTAGGTAGGCCCCCTCTGGGCTGGCAGAGCAAGGATAAGGGACAGTGACAGCCGAAAACTAGGCCCTAGGAGGAGCCCCTGAGACACATTCCATCTCTTCACTCCCTGCATGCCCATATTGCCAGCCAGGCCCTGCATGCACAGACAGATGGGTGTTCAAGTGCCACTTACCAACTGTGTGACCGAGGAGAGAGCTGAGTCTGTGCCTCTGTTGTGGGACTATGGGTGATGGCACAGAGTCCCAGCCCCACCTGTGAGCCTCCCCAGCTGTAGCTGCACCATTGACTGAATTCTGATTCTGGCAGGTCCCCTGCTAGGTGCCTTACCGGTGTAATCTCAGTTGATGGTCACAGTAATAGTTGATGGCCGGGCGCAGTGGCTCACACCTGTAATCCCAGCACTTTGGGAGGCCGAGACAGGCGGATCACTTGAGCTCAGGAGTTTGAGACCAGCCTGGCCAAGATGGCAAAACTGGGTTTCTGCTAAAAATACAAAAATTAGCCAGGCGTGGTGGCACATGCCTGTAGTCCCAGCTGTTTGGGAGGCTCAGGCAGGAGAATGGCTTGAACCCAGGAGGCAGAGGGTGCAGTGAGCTGAGATTGCGCCATTGCATTCCAGCCTGGATGACAGAGAAAGACTCCGTCTCAAAAATAAAAATAAAAAAAGAAGAACCTGCTTGCCAGTGCCGTAGCCCAGAGCTAGCACAGCAGAAGCATTCAGTACATAGTGGACATCCCGAGGGCTGCCAGATTAACAAAAACAGCAACAACAAAACCCGGGATGTTTGACTAGCTTTGAATCTCAGATAAAAAAGTTGTATTTTAGTATAAGTATGTCCCATGCAATATTTGGGATATAGAATACTAAAGCATTATCCGTTCATCCGAAATTCCGGTTGAACTGTGTGAACTGCATTTTGTCTGGCAACCCTTACCACCCTGCCCGCTGGGAACTCAGTCTTCTGGGCGAGGCAAAGGTCAAAATCAGTTATGGTCAACCAAGCATGACAGGTCATGCTCATAGTGGCCCTGGGCAGTGTGGGGCGGAGGCCAGCAAGGGGGAAATAAATCAGGGTGGCCCTCATGGAGGAGGGATGGGTACTGAGTCTTCAAGAGGGAGGAGGATGGAAGGACATTCCAGATGGAGGGGGCACACGATGAAAGGGATAGAGGTCAGACACAGCAGTTGTGGGGACTCATGGTGACAGTGGGCGAGAGGGGAGGAAAGGCCAGCTCACCACATCTTTGTAGACCTCGGTTAAAAAGTGGGACTGAGGCTGGGCGCGGTGGCTCTGTAATCCCAGCACTTTGGGAGGCCGAGGCGGGCGGATCACGAGGTCAGAAGTTCGAGACCAGCCTGGTCAACATGGTGAAACCCCGTCTCTACTAAAAATACAAAAGATTAGCGGGGCGTGGTGGCGCATGCCTGTAATCCCAGCTACTCAGGAGGCTGAAGCAGAAGAATCGCTTGAACCCGGGAGGCAGAGATTGCAGTGAGCCAAGATCCAGCCACTGCACTCCAGCCTGGGCGACAGAGCTAGACTTCTTATCAAAAAAAAAAAAAAAAAAAAAAAGTGGGACTGAGGGCAGGGCAGTGCTGGGTGGGACGCCCTCAGGGGCCTCTGAGGGAGGGTGGCTCAGGACTCAGTCCAGGCGGAGCCCCCCGGGCGGCAGCGGGCCGGTGACAGGGCCCTCTCCCGCCCACTCTCCCTGCCGTCCAGGGCTCCCCGGGAGGGGAGGGGGGCGGGTAAGGAGGCCTCGGAGGGGGTGAGGCGCTGAAAGCCCACGGTGGGCGCTGTGTCTCCGCAGGGGAGTGAATGCCCAAACCAAGAACGGTGCCACGCCCCTGTACCTGGCGTGCCAGGAGGGCCACCTGGAGGTGACGCAGTACCTGGTGCAGGAATGCGGCGCGGACCCGCACGCGCGCGCCCACGACGGCATGACCCCACTGCACGCCGCGGCGCAGATGGGCCACAGCCCGGTCATCGTGTGGTTGGTGAGCTCCGGGCCCGGGCGGTGCGGAGGGGAGACGGGGCGGAGCCGGCAGGGCGGGGAGTGGAGGGAGCGGGGCCATCAGGAGTGGGGCGGAGGACCGTGGGCGGGGCCTGCAGGGGCCTGGCCCCCATCCCCCGGCCCTCTCTCCCCGCCCCTCCCGCCCAGGTGAGCTGCACCGACGTGAGCCTGTCGGAGCAGGACAAAGACGGCGCCACCGCCACGCACTTCGCGGCGAGCCGCGGCCACAGCAAGGTGCTCAGCTGGCTGCTGCTGCACGGCGGGGAGATCTCGGCTGACCTGTGGGGCGGGACCGCGCTGTACGACGCCGCCGAGAACGGGGAGCTAGGGGTCAGCGCGGGCCCGGGGTGGGGGCGCGCGCCCTCTGCTGGCACCGCGCTCTCCGCACGGCCCTGCCCGGGCGCGGGGGTCCCAGCTCGTGGCCGCGGCCGGGTCCTCACTGCGTGCCCCCACAGTGCTGCCAGATCCTGGTAGTGAACGGCGCGGAGCTGGAAGTCCGCGACCGCGACGGGTACGCGGCCGCTGACCTGTCGGACTTCAACGGCCACAGCCACTGCACCCACTGCCTGCGCACGGTGGAGAACCTGGTACGATCCCTGCGCTGCTCCTGTTGCATTCTCTCTTCTCGCCCCTCCACCCCAGTGGTGGGTGTCGTCACCCCTTTTACCAAGGAGGAAGCTGAGGTTCAGAGACGTGAAGCCCGCTACCCCACACGACCTGTCAGCCCAGAACCACTGCCTGCTGGGGACTGAGGGAGTAGAGGCACAAAGGTTAACGGAAAGAGGACAGGGAAGAACAGGGTCACCCCAAGGGGTAAGGCTGGAGAAATCACAAGACAGGCCCCATTGGGAACAGGCAGGCTCATTCACCTACCCATAGACATTAGCTTGGGTATAACTCACAGCCACCCTCTGCAGAAGAGAGTGTAAGTGTCCCGTTCTACATATGGGTAAAGGGAGTCTGCGGGGCACCAGGATCGCATCACCAGTAAGTGGTAGAGTGGAGAACCTACCTTGATGGCCTGACCAGGAGCCACCTCTCTGCCCCTGCACCATATATTAGCTGACTTCATGGCTGGGTCATAACTGGAAACCCATGCTACTCTTTTTAAATTATGTTTTTATGGTGAGACAGCCACGAAGTGACCTACTGGGACTTGAACTCAGCTGTGGATGTCTCCAAGTGAGGGCTCTGCACCATCTGGTACAATGCCTGCTTTGAGGCAATAGGCAGGGAAGAGAGTGGGCCTCACAGCCAACCCCAAAAGGATGCGGACCAACTCCATGGGGCAGCCTGGCCATGGAGTGGCTGTGAAATGAGGCCCGGAGGGAAGAAGGCAGATGGTCTGTGCCCTGAGCACCGTCTGTCCATCTGTCGTCCCTGCCAGCACAGGGGGATGGTCCTGGCTCTGGGGGCTGCAGAACACAGCAAGGCCCAGAGGCCAGAGGCTGCAGGCGGGCCTGAGGGTGAACTTCCCCCCGAGAAAGAGTCTCTGGAAGAGAATGAATGGCCCAGCAGGTAGTCAGCACTCTGTCACTAGGGTATATAAGCCGGGATGGACACAGGGAAGGACATTTCTGCATCAGTGGTGGGTCCCCATCAGTTAAGAGAGCCTGTGACTCTGTCGAGGGACCATGGGGGGTGGCACCAGAGCCCAGGGCACCTGAGGGCCTGTCTGGATGCAGCTGCTAGTGGTCATAGGACAGCAAACACTATTCATTGGATTCTGACTTAGGCAGGTACCCTGCCGAGTGCCTTAAAGGTGTAATCTCAGTTACTCTTCACAGTACATTAAAAAAATAGTTGGCTGGGTGCAGTGGCTCAGGCCAGGCGCGGTGGCTCATGCCTGTAATCCCAGCACTTTGGGAGGCCGAGGCGGGCAGATCACGAGGTCAGTAGATCAAGACCATCCTGGCCAACATGGTGAAACCCCGTATCTACTAAAACTACAAAAAAAAAAAAAAATTAGTCAGGTGTGGTAGCACACGCCTGTAGTCCCAGCTACTCGGGAGGCTGAGGCAGGAGAATCGCTTGAACCCAGGAGGCGGAGGTTGCAGTAAGCCAAGACCGCGCCACTGCACTCCAGCCTGGTGACAGAGCAAGACTCCGTCTAAAAATAAAATAAAATAAAATAAAAAAGTTGACAGGCCGGGTGTGGTGGCTCATGCCTGCACTTTGAGAAGCTGAGGCGGGTGGATCACCTGAAGTCAGGGTTCGAGACCAGCCTGGTCAACATGATGAAACCCCATCTCTACTAAATATACAAAAATTAGCTGGGTGTGGTGGCGGGTGCCTTTAATTCCAACTACTTGGGAGGCTGAGGCAGGAGAATTGCTTGAACTCAGGAGGTGGAGGTTGCACTGAGCCAAGACCGCGCCACTGTACTCCAGCCTGGGCAACAAGAACAAAACTCCGTCTAAAAAAAAAAAAAAAAAATTTGACAGTATGGCATTTACTGGGCGCCATGTCCTGGAGCTCAGCAGAGCAAGTAGTGCTGTTACCCCCATTTGCAGATAAAGAAACATAGGCACAAAAAGCACAGGTGACTCGCCTGAAATAGCTAGTAAGTCGGGGAGGGAAAGTTTGAAGCCACAGTCCCAGACTGCAGAGCTGGGTGGCTCAGGCCAGGCGCAGTACACCTGCTGAGGCCCAGCCTCTTATCTGCTGCCTACAGGGGTCAGGGCTTGGTGCCCTCAGCACCCACTGCTGTTGCCCAGGTAAAGAGCACCTTTGGGTGCTGCCCACGCCACCTCCTATGGCTCCCCTGACTCCTGCGGTAGGTAGCAGGGCCTGGTCCCCTGGAATGGGTGGGGTGTGTGTGCCCTGGTCCCCTCACTCAAGCAGGCCCAGCTGAGGCAGGGACAGACCCAAGCCACAGAAGACGCTGGCCCAGAAAAGGCAAACACTCCAGCAGAGCCCCTAATTACGGGGCCAATGAGCGCGGCCGCTGAGCCGTTACCTGGTGCCAGGCCTGCCTCTCTCTCCCAGGGTGCCTGTGACACTTCTTAGGTAGGGAGGGGGCACGGGGCAAGGAGGAGCAGGCCTGGGCAGGAGGCAGCGGAGCAAGCGGGCTTGCCGGCAGCAGGGGCAGCATGGGCAATGTAAGCAGGGCCCCTACCACAGCCCCCTCTGCACCGGGAGGGGACAGGCCTGTGGTCAGACGCACAGACCGGGCAGGGCGGGGGAATGGCAGGCCTGGCAGCCTGAGCTCTGGCTGCCCATCACTGCTCAGCTGGCCATCCAGGCCCTACCCTTACCCCAAGGGCCCCATCAGGAGACAGGCCGGGCTGGTGTTGGGAGTCTGCTCCAGGTCCCAGGTCTGGCAAGGAGAGCTGGCTTGCCAGCCAGGTCACTAGGGATGGGCCTGTGCTGTGCCCTTCCCCATGGAGCCTGTGCCGATCTGTGAGGGAGAAGGCCGATCTCCTGGCAGTTCTCCCCCTGGGGTGCAGCTCAAGGCCCCCTCCTCGTCGATCTCTCCACCCTCCTAATCAGGGAGGAGCCAGGGGAGGGAGTTTCCCAGGAACCTGGGTCCTCTGCCTGGCGGGGCTGGGCTTGAATCTTAACCCGGAGGAACCTGAAAGACCCTCTAGCGATGGGGAAGAGACCCCAGAGAGGGGTGTGGCTTGGCCAAGATCCCACGGCAAAGGCATGGCTGAGTAGGACCCTGGCCTGGAGAGCAACGCATCTTGGGGTGCAGTTGCCTTCATGGCCTCCCTGCCTCCCCTTCAGAGCATGGAGCACTGCGTGCTCTCCCGGGATCCATCCGTGGAGCTGGAGGCGAAGCAGCCGGATTCAGGCATGTCCTCACCCAACACCACGGTGTCGGTCCAGCCTCTGAACTTTGACCTCAGCTCGCCCACCAGCACCCTCTCCAACTACGACTCCTGCTCCTCCAGCCACTCCAGCATCAAGGGCCAGCACCCTCCACGTGGTGAGTGTGCCCAGGAGGAAGAGGGGGAGGGAGAGCAGACTGAAGCCAGACTGCTGGGCTGTGAGGGTTGGCCTTGGGCCAGCCTGCCACAGCCAATATCGGAGACTACTCTCATCACTTGCTTTTAAACATGGGGAGGCGACACCCTTTCTGGTGAGAGACAGATGTCACTCATACTTGTGTGTGCTCATCACAGACATACATGTACATCCACATGTACTCTCCCCACCCACAAAATCCACGTGTGCCACCCACCATTCATTATTCTTAGCTACTCACACACAAAAGCACACACTTGTACATGTGTACACACAGCATACAGATATGAACACACATACAGAGCCATGCTAATATCTGCACACACCCACCTTACACACAAGCACACAATGCTCTATTTCCATACTACAGATATGCACACACACACACACCATGTCCACAGAGCAATGCACACACATTCATCAATACAAAGAAGCATGTGCACAAATGCGTACACACTCAAACATACACAAATTCACAATCGCCTCGGCAGACTGCAGGCTTGTGTGTACACACACCCTGACCGTGCCCTGAGCATGGGCGTCCATCCACTTGCAATGCCTGCTTCACGCCACCAGATGGTGGCCTCCAGACCTGGCAGGGTGCCCTGCAAAGATTGGATGTGGCCATCTGTACTCCCAAGGAGTAGACCCTCCCCTTCCAGGTGACCCTGCCCTCTAGACACACCAAAGCCTCCAGTGCTTCCCCTCCAAACCGGAGTGCCTGGTCTTCCCCCAATAAGTGCTGGGCTGGGGCAGGGCAGGGCCAGGGAGAGGAAGCCCAGCAACGCCAGGGGCCACAACAGGTGTACCAAGTGGTGCCCGGAGCCCACCTTGGCCCTCGGCAAGTTGTTTCCAGGTGGTGGAGAGTCTCATTCTTGGGGGAAAGCCTGTCTGCATGCTTCCAAATCTGGCCCTTCCTTCTGCCTCCCCAGGGCTTTCCAGCACTAGAGCTGCAGACATACAGAGCTACATGGACATGCTGAACCCAGAGCTGGGCCTGCCTTGGGGCACGATTGGGAAGCCCATACCCCCACCACCCCCACCCAGCTTCCCCCCGCCACCCCCGCCCCCAGGCACCCAACTGCCCCCACCCCCACCTAGCTACCCATCTCCCAAGCCTCCTGTGGGACCACAGGCAGCTGACATCTACATGCAGACCAAGAACAAACTCCGCCACGTGGAGACAGAGGCCCTCAAGAAGGAGGTAGTGAGCCCTCACCCACTGCCTGCCTCCCAGCAGGGGTACTGGGCTGATGGGGGCCAGTCAGGCCAAAGGCCTGGCCTCACTAGTGGGCACAGGGTGGGGGTCCCTGGGTCCATGGCATATTCAAGAGTCAAAGCTCCTGGCGAGTCCCACGAGGGGTCAGGGCTGGACACTGGACTGGGAGGAGAGTAAGAGCAGGTCACTGCCCTCCATGGGAGCTGGGGGGTGAAGGACGCAGGTCCAGACAGCTGTTCCTCACCAGGAACTGGGCCTGTGCCACCTCTTGCACAGGAGTGGCCGGGTTGTCATGGAGTTGACAGAGAATGCATGGAGACTGCCCCTCCCCAAGCATGCCCCCCCACCCCCACAGCCCCAGGCTCAGTCGGAGAGTGTCACCCAAGGGAGGTGGCTGCCAGGTGGAAGGTGCCAGTGGCATGGCTGTAGAGGTAAGGGCTGGAAGGAGGGAGGGAGGAAGGTGAGCAGGCACTAGCAGGGCTGGGCGCCCACCGGCATTAGGGGCTGGGAGGAAGTGAAGCTGTGGCTGGTTCCAGTTTAGGGCTTGAGCTCCTGGGGGAAAGGGCCAGGCCTGAGCTGGGAGCCCTGGAGGGAAGCGAGCCTGTGTGGAGAGGATGAGGGCAGGGTGGGTAGGTGAAGTGTGAGGTGCCTAGGGATGTCTGGGGCCTGCAGGCGCCTGGCTGAGGCTCTGGAGCAGGGATTGGGGCAGAGGTCTGGTCTGAGCAATTGCGGGTATCCTCGGCAGGGTGCCCTGGGGAACACTGGCGTTCTGGCCACAGGAACAGAGCAAGGATGGTCTAAGAGGTGAGGGGACAGCCTGAGGTCACAGGTGGCCAGATGTGGTGTGGCAGCTCCCTGGGGTCCTGCTGGAGCCTGGGACCTTGCAGTTCTCTCTTAAGCCCAAGGCAAAGCCACCCCAGGGCCAATTCATACAAGGTGACTCAGGTCACAAGGCCAGTGGGCAAGGGAGGCATGGGAGGGACACCAAACCTGCAGGCCAGCTCCAGTAGCTGCCCTCTTCACGCCACCTTAGACCAAGCTCCCACAGTGGCTTTCCCCTTTCATCTCTGGGAGGCAGAGGGGGCCGGGCGGGTAGGGCTGCAGCGGCCCTGGAATCGTTGAGCTCCCGGCGCAGACTGTGGGCCCCGCCCAAATCCACAGGACAGGTGGCCCAGCCAGTGCCCCCTCTCCACCGCTGAGCCCAAGTGCCAGGTCTGTGAGGTCACCTCCTGGCTGTGCGAGCCCCCTCCGGGCTGTGTGCGTCCCTCCCGGCTGTGTGTGCCCCTCCCGGCTGTGTGCGTCCCTCCCGGCTGTGTGCGTGCTGGGCCGCAGACGCCAGGGCCCGGGCCGGGAAGCTCTACAAAGGGCTCTTTGTGTCGCCGCGGCGCCTCCCGCGCGGGTGCCTGACCGCAGGTGGGAGCAGGGTCGTGGCGTCGGAGCCTCCGGGCTGCAGGGGGCGCGGAGCCGGCGGGCTGGCCCAGAAAACGAATCCTGCGGTGTCGCGTTTCCTGCAACGTGAGCCAGGTCGGGCGGGGTGAAGGGTCTGAGGCCACCGCAGGGACGCATGGGCTGGAGAGTGGGGCAGGGGACAGCCCCCACCCGGTCACTCAGTCTTTGGCCCGGCCGCCTCACTCTCCCTCACTGAGCTGGGCCTAGTTGGGGGCAGCTGCGACGGGGCGGGAAGCCGCGCTGTCACCCGACCCCGCCTTACGGCCCCTGAAATCCGAGGCTTGAGCGCGGGTGTCGGTGTCGCTTTCGTGGATGGCGATGGTTTCCAGATGCAGGAGGGAAACGGTGGGGACGCGACCCGGAGCCGGCAGCCAAATATGAGAGGCCCCCTCTGCCCACGGTCAGCCCTCTCTCCTCTCGGGCGGGGATGAAGGTGGGGGCTCAGCTCCCAGCTTAGGGAGAGGCGCAGGGGGCGGGGTCACATCTGGCCCGGGGCGGGTGCAGAGCCGCGGCCAGGTGTGGCAGAGTAGTTGGCGCCCCCGTGGCATCCGCGACGGCTGGGGGGGGTTCGGCCTGGGATTGGCGGGCCCCGGGTGATGTCAGGCCGTCGGAGCCCATAGGCTGGCCGTGCGCGGGCGTCTGTAACCTGAGAGGAAGTATCACGTAAAGCAGGTGTCGGGTCCTGCCGCCCCCGCCGCCAGGTGCACGGCAGGACCACCAGCACCGTGGCAGGTTGGAGCAGCCCCTAGACGGACAAGCGGGGTCCGGGGCAAGCCGGAGCCTCGGAGAGCACAGGCTCTGGAGGGGGCTCCCTCCGGCCCGGGACCCCCGAAAGACAGGGCTCCGCGGAGCCCTGGGGACCCGCAGTCCTTCTGACAGCCGAGAGCGGAGTGCGGCCGAGGGCCTAGTGAAGGCTAAGCTGGGAGGTGCCCCTTCTCTAGCTCCCCCTGGCGTCGGGGCTGGGCCGGCCCGCCCCTGGGCCCGCCCCTTCTGGCCTCAGTGGGGGACCCTGTGGCCCTTGGCCGGTGCCCAGAACCCCTCCCTGTAAGGCGGGCGGAGCCTGCCCTTCCACCGAGGCCCCCATGAACCTCGCCCGCTGCCCACCGTGAGAACAGGGGGTCTAGGAAGTCGGCTGCTGCACCCCCCGACGGCCGCTGGCCGCGAGTTCCCAGGAGGTGAAGAGCTGGGTGGGGAGGCGTGGGGGGCGCCTACCGGGCACTTGCCCGAGCCCCACCGGTCACTGTCTTCCCGCAGCCGAGCTCCTGCGACGGCCACGACGGGCTACGGAGGCAGGACTCCAGCCGCAAGCCCCGCGCTTTCAGCAAGCAGCCCAGCACGGGGGACTACTACCGGCAGCTGGGCCGCTGCCCCGGCGAGACGCTGGTCGCACGCCCGGGCATGGCGCACCGCGAGGAGGTGCGTGCCCGCCAGCCCGCGCCCGCCGGCTGCCCGCGCCTCGGCCCTGCCGCCCGCGGCTCGCTCGAAGGCCCCTCCGCTCCCCCGCAGGCGGCGCAGCCGTCGCGGATGCTACGTGGGCCCCAACTGCTCTGCCACACCTGACCGCGGCTCTGCACGCGCCCCCGGCCAGATGTGACCCAGACCCCTCAGCCTCTCCCTAAGCTGGGAGGTGAGCCCCCACCTTCATCCCCGCAGGCGGAACTCCCTGGGAACCACGTGCCTAACGGCTGCGCCGCGGACCCCAAGGCGTCCAGGGAGCAGCAGCTGCCGCCGCCGCCGCCGCCGCCGCCCCTGCCCGAGGCCGCGACTTCGCCGCCGCCGGTCCCGCCTCTGCCCCTCGAGGGCGCTGGCCCTGGCTGCGGGCAGCGCCGCTCCTCCTCGCCCACCGGCAGTGAGTAGGGGCAGGTTGAGGGGTGGGGGGCGGCGCTAGCCCTGAAAGGGGAGGGAAATCTAGACACCACCCCCTCCCCAGCTGTCACTGCCCGGGTCCTTCCTCTTCTACATGGTCTTCCGGCCACCCCTACCCCATTGAGTACTTGACCCTAAGAGAGGGCTCTGGGTTGCTTGAGGTCCTGCCAAAGCAGGACCGGGCTGCACAGCCTGGGGCAAGTCCCTTCCCCAATCTGGGCCTGCCTCCCACCCTCTAGCTGTGTGGCCTGGACAAGTCCCCTCCCCTCTCTGGGCCTGCCTCCCACGGGCTAGAAAGGGCCTTCCAGCTCTGGCGCTGGTGTTTCCCATGAGCTGGTGCTGGTGTTTCTGATGAGCTGGTACTGGAGGGACACTTGAAGTCGAACCAGCTTCAGAGAGGCCCCGCAGCTGGCCACCCTTCCCCCTGCCCCTGTCTATCCTGAGCCTCTCTTCCTCTCTCCACGTCTTTCTCTTGTCTTTCCAAGCAGCACAGACCTGAAGCCTTCTTAGATATGCCAGGAACTCTTCCTAGCCAGTTCCTGCCAGGGGCCCTGGGCCAGCCAGAGCCTGGCTATGGGGGCAAAGCTGTGACCCACCATGTTTCCCCCTCCCTCCCCGGTGACTTCCCTAGGCATCCTTTTTAAGAGCTAGACTGGCGCAGGATTCCTGGGCTTCTTTTCTGTAGGGTGGGACAGTGTCCCCCTGCCAGGACACCTAGAAGGCCCAGGACAGGGTGCCTAGATGTGGTGCTCCCATCCCAGCCTGGCTGGGGTGCCTTCATCACCCAGCCACTCAGGGCAGAGATCATGCTTAGTGGCACCCCTCAAAGCTTCATCTCCCTGACTAGGAGTGCAGAGCAGAGCTTGTCCCCCTATGGTTCCTATGGAGCCCCAGCCCCTGCAGACCAGAGCCCATGGAAGCATGTCCAGCACCTGCCGAGCCTCCTTCTCCTTCCCTCCACAGTCTGCAGCAGGGCTGAAGCTAAGGGCAGAGAAAAATATACTCTGGGCTTCCCCAGACACCCCCACCCAGCACAGCCAGGGCTGGGTGCCCTACCCCAACCCAGTGCCAAGGTGGAGGCCCTTGCTGGGGGCTAGAGCCACTGGTGGCCCTGCCCTGCCCAGCCCTCAGGGGCACCAGCCAAACCAGGAACTCGATGGACCACCCTCATGGGGCCCCAGAGCAGCCTGAGCCAGGGTCAGATGGGCAGAAATGCTCCTCCTCTCTTCTCCACTTCCCCCCTCCTGCTCTCCCTGGCCCGCTCCCTGTCCCCTGCTATCCCAGTCTCATCCTGGCCCCCTTTCCCTCCTAACTCCGCTGTCACTTCTCTCCTCTTGGTCCCTAGAAGTGAGAGTCCTGAGGCACAGGAAGAGTGAGTAGCTGCGTGCGCGGCTCCTGGCTGAGGCTGAGGCGCGGGGTGGGGGGAAGAGGCAGGAAAAGCACGGGAGGAGGGGCCCAGCCTTGAGGAAAGGGCAGGGGCAGGGGCTGGCAGGCGAGAGAACCTCGATGCATGGGTGGGGCCTTGTACCTCATACCTACCCTCATACCCACATATGCACCCAAGCATTCTGCGCCTGGCTGATGGTTTTGCCTAAATAAATGAGTAAGCCACACCCATTTTCCCTTTCTCCTACTCTTCTCCTCCCGGTGACTGCACTCTGGGATCCCCAGCCTGGGAATCCAAGAGCTGTCGGCCCATTTTATTCCTCCCTCCCAGACCTGACCCCTTCATCGGGGCTCAAGAGACCTATCTCTCCAAATCTCCATTCGCCTCCTCCGGCTAAGCCAGAAAATGCACCCTCTGCCCTGGGTGTTTGCATATTACCTGCCTGCCCTTCTTCCTGGGTGCCTCCTGTGGCCTTAGTAAGGGCTCTGCTTTCCCCTAGAGCTGAGCCGTGCTTTGCCATAAATGTGCTCCCGGCTTGCAACCAATGTGTCTGCTTGTGCGTCTGTCTGTGGGTGTGGTGGCGAGGGAGGGGAGCAGGTGGTACTGGCACTCTGGGGTCTGGACTCTGCATGTCCATGGAGGCCCCAATTGACTCAGCTCAAGGGTCACTGAGGCTTTGCTGATGTAGGGAGAGGGCCAGAGGGAGGCTCCACCCAGCCGGGCTGAGCCAGGAAACCTGGGACAAAGGTCCGGTGGCTGATTCCAGGTAGTGTTTTGCGGCTGGGCAGTCAGTGGCTGGGCAGGAATATATGCCCAAGAGCCACCATGAACTCCCAGGGGTCTCCAGGCAGGGGCCCTCCATCCCGTGAGTAGGGTGGGGGAGGATGGTGGGGTTGCCACAGTCGGGGAACCAAGGGCCTGCCTCTGGGGGCCCTGAAAGCTGCCTGCGGGACCTGGGATCTGGAGAGCTGCCCGCTGGCCCCGAGGATGGGCACCCATCCAATCTTGAGTTGGGAAGGGGGCTGCAGAGGGGCGGGTGAGGGGTGGCAGGGATGCAGCCCCACCCTGGCCAGTGCCTCATCTCCTGCCTCTGCATAGGCACCAAGTCTTTCAACGTGATGTTCCCGATGGGCGACAACTCGGAGCTACTGGCTGAGATTAAGGCAGGCAAGAGCCTGAAGCCGACGCCACAGAGCAAGGGGCTGACCACAGTGTTCTCAGGCAGCAGGCAGCCGGCCTTCCAGGTAGGCGGGCCCAGCAGGAGCCTGCGACCCGGCTTCCCTGGCCCTAGGCCACCAGGCGCTCAGCCCCACCGCTTCTCCCTGCAGCCCGATTGGCCGCTGCCGTCTGTGTCACCTGCACTGTTACCAGTCCGGAGCCCCACACCGCCAGCTGCGGGGTTTCAGCCGCTGCTCAACGGAAGCTTGGTTCCGGTGCCGCCCACTACTCCTGCGCCGGGGGTGCAGCTGGACGTGGAGGCGCTCATCCCCACGCACGATGAGCAGGGCCGTCCCAAGCCCGAGTGGAAGCGCCAGGTGATGGTGGGCAAGATGCAGCTGAAGATGTAGGAGGAGGAGGAGCAGAGGTGGAAAGTGGGTGGGGCGGGGTGCCCAGGGAGCCCTGGGGTCTGCATCTGGATGCACAGCCCATCCCCCACGCCACCCCCAACACCAACCTCGGGACCTCCTATTTTCTTTCTTTCTTTCTTTTTCTTTTTTTCTTTTTCGTGAGACAGAGGCTTGCTCTGTCGCCCAGGCTGGAGTGCAGTGGCGCGATCTCGGCTCACTGCAACCTTTGTCTCCTGGGTTCAAATGATTCTCCTGCCTCAGCCTCTCAGGTAGCTGGGATTACAGGCGCATGCCACCACGCCCAGCTAATTTTTTTGTATTTTTATTAGAGACGGGGTTTCACCATGTTGGCCAGGGCTGGGATTACAGGCATGAGCCACCGTGCCCGGCCATCTTCTTTAGGGAAATCAGGGTGGCACGACCCCGTTTGGGGCTTGTCCCAGTCTCCACACACACCCCCAGCAGCTTGTCCTTGGAGTGAGACAGCAGCCTTTCTCAGACTCTCCTTCACCTGCCCAGCACCTGGGATCTGGTTAAAAGGCCTGTTCGGATTCAGGAGGTCTGGGCAGGGCTGAGGTTCTGCATTTCTAGCCAGCTCCTGGGTGAGGCTGCTGATGACACTGGTCCAAGGACCACACTGAGTAGCCAAGAGAGCTTTGGTCTCAGTCTTAGGGACCTGGGCTCCATTGCTGCGCTGCCGCCTTCCAGCTGCCGATACTGAGCCTCATCCAGCCTCAGTTTCCTTCTCTGTAAGGTGAGCTGATCAGCACCAGCTGGCAGGATGAGTTGCTTTCCATTCATCCAAAAACTATTCCCCGAATGCCATTTATTTTTATTATTTTTTATTTTTTTGAGACAGGGTCTCACTCTGTCACTGAGGCTGGAGTACAGTGGTGCGATCTTGACTCACTGCAACCTCCACCTCCTGGGTTCAAGTGATTCTCCCGCCTCAGCCTCCCGAGTAGCTGGGACTACAGATGCCCGCCAACCATGCCCGGCTAATTTTTGTATTCTTAGTAGAGATGGGGTTTCACCATGTTGGCCAGGCTGGTCTTGAACTCCTGGCCTCAAGTGATCTGCCCGCCTCGGCCTCCCAAAGTGCTGGGATTACAGGCGTGAGCCACCACGCCTGGCCCCCGAGTGCCATTTATGTGCCCCACACGCTTGTAGCCTCTGGGGATTCATGGTGAACATATCAAGGCCTGCTCTAAGGTGGCTGCGGACATGTGTGCGAGTCACCAAGCACACAAAATGGGGCAGTGTGAGAGAGTGGGTGGCAGTGGAGAGAAGTACCTGGGCTGATGCAACACAGCCAGCTGCAATGGGGAACGCAGGGGACTGGGGCAGCCCTAACCGGCCACCTTATACGTGGGCTGGGGGGCGTGTTAGGGAAGGAGGAGGTGATGTCTAAGGTAACACTTGGAAGACGAGTGAGGGGTGGCCAGGCGGAGAGGGGGCTGAAGAGCCGCAGGTGGGACAGGGCAGTCTGGAAGTGAGAGTGGATGTGGCCCTGACTGTCCTGGAGGAAGGGGGTCGCTGAGCTGGAGAGACCTCAGTGGGGGCCAGGTTACCAAGACCTGGCCAGAGGCCCAGAAGAGAACGGACTTTCTCCTGGAGCACTGGGGAGCCGGGTGCGGGGAGTGTTAAGCAGGGAAGAGGCTGCTTCCTATTTGTATGTGGGGAGTGGATCCCATAGGGCCAAGATGAATCAGGGACCTCTGTGGAGGCGATGGCAGGCCCAGGGGGGAAAACTGGACATCAGAGGTGGAGAAAAGTGAGCAAATGAGAATATTACGGTGCCCAGCTGTCCAGCACGACGAAGGGAGGGGAAGGGTGGGCAGCTCAGTGGAAGCTGCAGCTGCAGCCTCTTTAAGAGAGGAGTGGCCTCTCATTCTGCACATAAAACATTGACCACAGGGAGCGGAAGGCTTGGGCCACAGGGGAGCTGGAGAAGGGGTCATGAGTCTGGGAGGAGAGGCCTCACAATAGCCGCCCTCGGATGGGTTGGGGCGGGCCACCGCGCCTCTCAGCTTCAAGGCCTTTGGCAAGTTCCTTGGGTGGTGTAATGAGCGAACAAGCCAGGCATGGAGACCCCGTCTGCTGGCCTGTTCTTGCCGCCGCAGCAGCGAGCAGCAACCGGCCGTGCCCCCCGCCAGCGACCAAAGTGGACACTGCCCAGAGCCTGGAGCGGCGGCTCAGGCCGAAGCCTCACCCCAGCGTCACCCCCCGCCGGCCAGACGCGGTCCCTCCCTGCAGACGCAGCCCCGCGGAGCCATTACACCACCCAGGACATGCAAAAGGTTCCTGGCGCCACGGCGGGAGCTGGGCCAGAGGGAGACGCGCCTCCCTCCCCTCTCTTGTCTTCCCCGCCTTAGCTGACGGCCGCCAGCTCGTGCTGCTACCCCCGCGAGGGCTGGAGGTACCCCCGCGAGGGCTGGAGGTACTCCCGCGAGCACAACGCCATCCTCTGGCCCTTTGGCGAGCTCATGACCGAGGCCGACATCCTCCGCATCGAGCAGCAATCGAGAACCTGCAGGTGCTGCACAAGGCGCAGAAGCTGGAGGCGCGCCTGGAGCAACTGGAGCTGAGCAGCTGCTGCCCATCTCCGTCGCCCTGTGGAGCCGCGCTTCACCGTCGACCCGCGCCGAATGCATGGCCGCGCCGCCAGCCTGCCCGCCTGGTGCAGCAAGATCTCCACGCTGCTCAAGAGCATGGCCACGCTGCTAGCCGCGCTGGGCGGCCGGCCTGCGCACCTGGCGGAGCTGCCGACCGCTGACACGGGCCAGCCGCTGGCGCCGCTGCCTGAGGCGCCCTGACTGCCGGGGCCGCTTTGCCTGGGCCGCTCGCACTGGCTCAACTGGTGCCGCGAGGCTGTGGCGCGCGAGATCCTCGAGTGCGGCGTCTCCGTGCAGCATCACCGCGCCACCTACGAGCTGCGCGCACTGGACGCGGCGCCCCCGCGCTGTCCGCGCCGCAAGCCCCCGCAGTCCGCTGGCGCCCCGGTCCGCGAGCCCATCCTGTAGGAGGACTACGTGGCGGCCGGCTCTGGCCAGCCCAGCGCCGCCGCCGCCCACGGCCCGCTGGCCGACTGGGAGCCCCTGGACACCCTGGGCCCGCCTGAGGCACAGGATTGCCAGGCGGCGCTACTTGAGCCCGAGCAGCTGGCGCGCCGGCCGCCCCTCTGCACGGAACTGCGCGGCGTCCAGGACTACCTCGACCTGCGCAAGGAGCGCATCGTTTACCTCTTCCTGGAGCACTGGCGCCTCTGGGCCTTCCTCGGACCGGGCCTTCCGCGGACCAGGCGCGCCTAGGCAGACTGCTCCCTGGCGTGACGGCCGCCCGTGCTGGCCGGAGCTGGAGGCCACGGACGCCCCCCGGCTGCCGGTGAGCAAGGGCGAGGCCCACAGCCCCAACGAACGGCTGCGGCAGCTGCTGAGGCAGCGGCAGGCAGTGGGCAAGCTGCTGCACCACTGGCGGAGCCTGCGGCGGCACGTGCCGCCAAGCCCGGGCCTGGCGCACGGCGTGTACTGGCCCCAGCACTTCCTGTCGCCCCTAGACGGCGGCGCACCCCCGCGCTACGAAAGCCTCACGCTCGACCTCTTCATGCTCGGCTACTTCCAGCTACCGGAGATGGGCCTGAGCCGCGAGGATCGCAAGTTCCGCCACCTACTGTGCTACGAGATGTTCCACCGGCTGGACAGCCACCCGTGGGAGCGCATCCGCCTCTTCCACCGCGTGGTGCTGGAGGAGGTGGAGGCCGGCCGGCGCGGCTGGAGCGACGGCTTCGAGGACCTCAGGCACAGGTTCTTCGGAAACGGCCTGGAGGCTGGGCCGGCCCCCGAAGAACAGGCGAAGAAAAAGGAAGAGAAGGGGAAAGAACAGGAGCGGACCGAAGAGGCCGCTCCGGTTCAGAAGGGGGACCCGCCCAAGGGGCAGCGCGAGGCCCTGGCCCCTGTGCCGCAGCCGCCGCCACCGCCCGCCCGCCCGCCGGCCCGCCGCGCCTCCCCGCCGCGCCTCCCCGGATCTCAGACTCTCCGGGTTCCGAAGCCCCCGCCGAAGACCCTTTGGAACTAGTGTCT
The DNA here is from genome assembly GCF_000001405.40 of Homo sapiens. Taxonomy (NCBI): domain Eukaryota; kingdom Metazoa; phylum Chordata; class Mammalia; order Primates; family Hominidae; genus Homo; species Homo sapiens. The sequence goes on from NW_025791756.1 coordinate 561,188, forward strand.
GAGATGGGCGAATTCAGCAACGAGGACATCTGCCGCTACATCGACCGCAGCTTCTCCTTCTGGAAGGAGAAGGAGGCAGAGCTGTTTGACATCTGAGCAGCGGAATTCGGAATTCGCAGTTCACCCTCGAGCGTCTTAACGTGGGCCTGGACGCCTGTCTGACGCCCTCCAGAGGCGCGAAGCAGCGGGAAGAACCCAGGACTGTGGCCTTGAGCAGCCCGGAGGGCCCAGGACCAGGCTGCCTCAGCCTCTGAGGTCCCATCGTGAGCAGGTTGTGTGGGGCGTTGGTCGGATAGGCAGGGCAGGCACAGAACAAACCAGGTGTCCCCCTCTGGCCCCGTGGTCTTGCTGAGCTCTGTGTGGAGCCAGGCAGCAGAAGAAGCCCCTCTGAGTGAGGGGCTGCGGCTCCTCCCTGGGGCAGTGTGGCCTGCTCTCTGGTTTTCCACTGGAGTTCACAGCTACCTCCTTGGCTGAGGTCAAGGGAGCCACGTGTGCAGTGTTCTGTGTGAAGTGTGCGGTGTACAGACCCTTTCTCCTCTGTAATATTCAGGAAATAAAACTGTTTGCTGTAAACTGCCTATGTTGGACACCACACCTGCCCCTGATGTCATTGCAGCCCCACGATTGTAGAGCACGTATCCACTCTGTTGGGAAGAGGGCAACCATGGGCTGAAGGTCCTTCTCAGGGGAGCCAGGGGCAGCCTGAATCTCCCTGAGCCAAGAGGCTGGGTGGGGGCCCGCATCTGCGTCTGCCCAGAGATCTTGGACCTGTGGCCATTGGCCACCTGCCCCTGTGGGGAATCAGGCTCAGGACCTCTGGGTCCCGGCTACTTTTTCTCTGCTTCTGTCCCACTCAGCTCTGATCTCTCTGGTGCCTCCTGTAGGACACAAGGGTCTGGGTTACTAGGGGAAAGGAGGCCAGCTCTGAGGGGGTGTGACCAGGCACCTCCATCCACTTGTCCCACAGAAATGCATCCAAAGGGTCACTTCCTGTGACCCTGACTCCTTCAGGTCCCCAGGTTGAGGGTGCCCCCTATCTCCCAGCCCCTGCAGGCTCTGAAGCTTTGTGGTTGTGTTTCAGGAGGAGGAGGAGGCCCGGCTGGCCAGCATGCCCGCCTGGAGGTGGGACCTCCTGCGGAAGAAGCTGGAAGAAGAGAGGTGAGCCGGCGGTCAGGCAGAGGCTGGCCTGGCAGCGGGTCTTGACTGCGCCCCTGAGGTGGAGGTACCAAGTGACACTGTTTCTCCTTCTAGGAAGCAGAAGCGGTGAGTGCAGGGCTGGCCCCAGCCTGCCACCCTTACCCCCACCCAAGTCGCAGAGGGTCGTCCCTTCATCCAGGCCAACTTGAGTGCATCCTCCTGTCTCTTGGCCCTTGTAGCACAGCCTCCTTCCTCCCTATAATATCCCAGACGGCTGACCCCCAGAATCTCTCTCTCATGCTCTGATAACTTTGTTCCCGGTTACTCAGTCCCTGCCTCCTATTAACCTGGCCTTTTCTACCCTTCAGTTAACCTAACCCCAGTATCAATCACCTTGATTGTCTGGCCCTCAGAATGTACTTTCTGCCCCTAGTCATCTCACCCAGCCCAGTGCTGTCCAATAGAAATGTAATGAGAGCCACAGATGTAATTTAAAATTTTCTAGTAGCCACAGTGAAAATGTAGAAGGATATAGGTGAGCTTAATTTTAGTAGTGTTACTTGACACAAAATATCAAAAATATTATTTCGACACATAATCAATTATGAAAATTACTAATGAGATGTTTTATACTCCTCCTGTAAAAGTAAGTCTTTGGCCAGGCATGGTGGCTTACACATGTAATCCCAGCACTTTGAGAGGCCAAGGCAGGGGGACCACTTGAGTCCAGAAGTTTGAGACCAGCCTGGGCAATGCAGTGAGACCTCATTCTGAAAAAAAAAAAAAATTTTTTTTTTCTTTTTTTGAGATGGGGTTTCACTCTTGTCACCCAGTCTGGAGTGCAGTGGCGATCTGGGCTCATGCAACCTCTGCCTCCTGGGTTCAAGTGATTCTCCTGCCTCAGCCTCCCAAGTAGCTGGGATTACAAGCATGTGCCACCGCACCCAGCTAATTTTGTATTTTTAGTAGAGATGGGTTTCACCATGTTGGCCAAACTGGTCTCAAACTCCTGACCTGAAGTGATCCACCCGCCTCGGCCTCCCAAAGTTGTGGGATTATAGGCATGAGCCATCAAGCCTGGCCTTTTTTTTTTTTTTTTTGAGACAGAGTTTTGCTCTTGTTGCCCAGGCTGGAGTGCAATGGCACAATCTTGGCTCACTGCAACCTCTACCTCCTGGGTTCAAGTGATTCTCCTGCCTCAGCCTCCCAGGTAGTTGGGATTACAGGCGCCTGCCACCACGCCTGGCTAATTTTTGTATTTTTAGTAGAGGCCGGGTTTTGCCATGTTGGTCATGCTGGTCTCGAACTCCTGACCTCAGGTGATCCACCCGCCTCAGCCTCCCAAAGTGCTGGGATTACAGGCATGAGCCTTCACACCAGGCCTACGAAAAAAAATTTTTTTTAATTAGCTGCACGGGGCTGCGCACAGTGGATCATACCTGTAATCCCAGCACTTTGGGAGGCTGAAGCGGGTAGATCACCTGAGGTCAGGAGTTCAAGACCAGCCTGGCCAACATGGTGAAACCCCGTCTCTACTAAAAATATAAAAATTAGGTGGGTGTGATGGCACATGCCTGTAATCCCAGCTACTCGGGAGGCTGAGGCAGGAGAATCACTTGAATCTGGGAAGCGGAGGTTGCAGTTAGCCGGGATCACGCCATTTTGTACTCCAGCCTGGGCAACAGAGTGAGACTCCATTTCAAAAAAAAAAAAATTAGCTGGGTGGGCCGGGCTCAGTGGCTCACGCCTGTAATCCCAGCACTTTGGGAGGCTGAGGCAGAATGATCACCTGAGGTCAGGAGTTCAAGACCAGCCTGACCAACATGGTGAAACCCCGTCTCTACTAAAAATACAAAAATTAGCTGGGCATGGTGGCACGCTCCTATAATCCCAGCTACTCAGAAGGCTGAGGCAGGAAAATCGCTTGAACCTGGGAGGCAGAGGTTGCAGTGAGCCGAGATCGTGCCACTGCACTCCAGCCTGGGTGACAGAGCGAGACTCCGTCTCGATTAAAAAAAAAAAAATTAGCTGGGTGTAGTGGCACACACCTGTGGTTCCAGCTACTTGGGAGGCTGAGGTGGGAGGATTACGTGAGCCCAGGAGGTCGTGGCTGCAGTGAGCCATGATCTCACCACTGCGCTCCACCCCGGCAACAGAGCGAGACCCTGTCTCAAATAATAATAATAATAATAATAATAATAAAACTTAGTCTTGAGATCTTATTGCTCTTATTGCCTGACTAAGGAGGTTCTGGGTAGGGAGTTCATTTTAGATCTGCTTTTTTTGTTTGTTTTTGTTCTCATCAAAAACTACCTTTGCAATCTCATGTTTCTCTTGGGCCCTCTTTAATGGCCTAACTTCTTCAAAGCATGATTTTCTTTTAGTTCCTCAAGGTGGCTTTGGAGAAAAGTCTGGCAACTGTGGAGACCCAGAACCCATCTTTGCCTTGAGAATGCAGAGCTGAAAGAGCAGAAATGTCTGAGGGATGGGAGATTGAGGAAGACAAGGAGAAGGGCAAGGTGGTGGTTGAGACTGTGGTTGCCAAAGAGGGTCTGAGTGAGAGTAGTCTTCAGGCTGAGTTCAGAAAGCTCCAGGGAAAACTGAAGAATGCCCACAATATCATCAACCTCCTCAAGAACAACTTGTGCTGAGTAGCAAAGAAGGGAATAGTAAACTTACTCCAGAGCTCCTTGTGCATCTGACCAGCACCATCGACAGAATAAACACAGAACTGGTTGGTTCTCCTGGGAAGCACCAACACCAAGAGGAGGGGAATGTAACTGTGAGGCCTTGCCCCAGACCCCAGAGCCTTGACCTTGGGGCTACCTTCACAGTGGATGCCCACCAAGTCAATGTAGGCTTAGATGGAATGAAAAACCACTGGAGAAGGGCTCGAGATGACAGTGTTTACTTTAAAACGTTCTCCCATGTGAATCAAGAGGTACCAAGAGAAAGGTCTCTTTGTACCACAAACAACAGTAATAATATTCAGCCTACATTCAGCCTTTAGAAAGCCTTTTACAATATAAATATTTCTTGAGTACTTAATTTTTCAGATAACACACTAGGCATTGGCATGGGGCAATAAAACCAATGGCTGCCCTTGAGATACTTAATATGGTAAGGAAAGATGGCACATAAACAGGTAATTTTAATAGGAGGGGGTAACTGCTGTAACATAGGGATGCATCAGGTTATGAGGCAGCCCAGACAAGTAGTATGTAATGACATCCCTTCCTTATCAATGCCATTTTTTTTTTTTTTTTTTGGTCACAGCTCATCACAGGTGTCTGTTCCTGGACCTCAGATGGGTTATTGGGATCCTGTTTAGGGGAGGAGCCATGCTGAAGATTCAGTAAAATGGGGAATACAGGGGATTCTGAGAGAATCGATGGCACAGAATGTGAGGGGAGATGAGTGGAGGGTTCCACCCCTTCTCTTTTTGACCACTGAGAAAACGTTTCCTAAGAGCTCCTCTGTAGACTTGATTGGCGCTGTGCTGTGTGCTGTGGATACAGATATGAAGAAAACATTATCCCAGCACTCCAGGAGCTCCATCTGGAAAGCAAGTCACTGCCAAATGGCATGAGAAGTGCTGTGACAGACTTGAGTAAAGTCCACGGGGTTCACAACGGGCCGTGGTCATCACTGCATGGGGGTGGCCTCGGACTGTCCTGATCCTTGTCTTGGCCCCTTTCACAGTTGGAGAACCAGTCCCAGCCTTGTGACACTGGGCCCAATCAGCGTTTAGCCCACCAGGGTCCACCCAGCACCTGCGCTCCCAGCTGTCACAATGCAAACAACGCTATCAAGATCTCCAGGAGAAGCTGCTGCTATCAGAAGCCACTGTCTTTGCTCAGGCGAACGAGCTGGAGAAATACAGAGTTATACTTAGTAGGTAACTATGACTTACTAGTAAAGAACTAGCCTGTACGTCTTATAAGCTCTGTATGTTCTATACAGACATAACGTGGTTATTGAGCACATGAAGTGTGGCTAGTGCAACTTGGACATTTGGTTTTATTTAATTTTAGTTAATTTAGTATAAAGTGGCCATATGTGGCTACTAACTACCTTATTGGACAGTGCAGGTCTAGGTGTCTTGGGACTCTAAATTAGTTCAGCTCCATTCAACATTTATTGAACCCCTGCTGATAAAGCACTTGCCAGCTTCAATGGGGCTGCTAGAGATGAGAGTACACAATCCCTGACTTACAGATACCTTGTCCCAACTAAGGCCTAGGTTATCTGAAGGGGAGATTATCAATGGCAAATGCAGGCTCCTCCTGTGGAAAGAAATTCTGCTTCCTGGAGCTGGTGGTCTCTTCTCCCACCAGTTCAAAGAAGCTTCTCTCGCACTGTGGATCTGCCCTCCCTGCCCCACAAGGTTAGGGTATGTGCCATTGAGGCTGAGGGCATATGTGGGAAATTCAGACATTCTGTAACACCTGCTGTCTCTTCCCACGCAGGTGAACCCTTGCTGAAGCAGGACAGTAAACAGGTCCAGGTGGACCTCCAGGACCTGGGCTACGAGACTTGTGGCCAAAGCAAGAATGAGGCTGAACAGGAGGAAACCACCAGTCCCGGTAAGAGCACAGGGTGTGGGGCTCACCTTCCCTCCCTGGAGTCAGCTATCACATTTGGGTGCTGTTGGCCAATTCCACACCTGACAAGTAGTGGGGAAGAGGAGGACAGGAGGTTAATAGGAGAACTCTTACCCAAAATGAGGCTGCGTATAAGTTTGAATTTCTACAATTAGTTTGTGGCACACTGCTAATAATAATAATAATAATAATAATAATAATATAAAGTTCTAGCCAACTGATTATTATAGAAATACTAAGGCCTACTTAGAGACCACATGAGGTTTTGGAAACATGCAAACCGTAAGTTAAAAATAATTTTGTTTTGCATTATAAAAGGACTACAACCATAGGGCCACCCACCACATTGAAAACCAGAAGAGCATTTTGCTGCCGCCGAGCGTGGACGCAGGCGGATCTCCGAAGAGCTGGGTCGCCAGCCTCTCCCGCGCACGTTGCCTGGCCTCCAGCACCTACTTGGTCCCGCGCGCTCCCTCGTGTCGCCCCTCGGAGCAGCAGCCGCCGCGGTCGCCGCTACCCGGAAAGAAGTCAGAGACGCCGCGAGGTCGCCGCCACCGCCATGCCCAAGAATAAAGGTAAAGGAGGTAAAAATAGACGCAGGGGTAAGAATGAGAATGAATCTGAAAAAAGAGAACTGGTATTCAAAGAGGATGGTCAGGAGTATGCTCAGGTAATCAAAATGTTGGGAAATGGACGGCTAGAAGCAATGTGTTTCGATGGTGTAAAGAGGTTATGTCACATCAGAGGAAAATTGAGAAAAAAGGTTTGGATAAATACCTCGGACATTATTTTGGTTGGTCTCCGAGACTACCAGGATAACAAAGCTGATGTAATTTTAAAATACAATGCAGACGAAGCTAGAAGTCTGAAGGCATACGGCGAGCTTCCAGAGCATGCTAAAATCAATGAAACTGATACATTTGGTCCTGGAGATGATGATGAAATTCAGTTTGATGACATTGGAGATGATGATGAAGATATTGATGACATCTAAATTGAACTCAACATTTTACATTCCATCTTTTCTGAAGATTGTCCTACAATTTGGATTTTGATCATGACAAAGAAGATTAAAATTTCATTAGCATGAATGCAATTTGTTAAAGCAGACTGATTTGTTTCTAAGATATTTTTGGTTTTTTTAAAACTGATAATAATGCTGAATTATCTTAAGTGAGATGTTAAGCCCACTTTGTTCTTTTAATGTAATGGAGCTTATGGGTAGAAGACCATGTCTACTAATTACAAAAAAAAAAAAAAAACCATGCATTGCTGCTTTTCCTACCACTTCCAGTAAGAAAATGGGTGTTTTGAAGAAATCATTTGCCTTGTCCTCACGGAATCTGATTAAGCCCTGGCCTCTTGATTGTATAGAGTCATTGTGTATATTCCAGTTACCTAGATATTCCCTTGAGATTTTGATACAATTTGAGGGAGGCAGAAGTCTGCATTTGAAGAAAAAAAATAAGTCTGTTTGTCATATTTAAGTAGCCTGTGGCTATTTTTATACTGATTTTGATATCATGTTCTTTTCATAGTCGTATTTTGCCACCGTAAACATAAAAAAAAAAAAAAAAGATTTCCAAAATGCCGTTTTCAGAACCTGGGTTTTAATAGCAGTATTGAATTTGTAAGCTTAGTAGTTGCAGAAATTGAACACTAGGTGGCACTCAGTTATCTTAACAGGGGAAGTACTGATATAATTGTTGACTTTTCTTTTACTATGTGTAAGAAATACCCCAAACATGAAAAGATTGTTTTGATCATATGCATGTATGTAGAATATTTTTGCAGAGCAGAAAGATTATGTTAGAAGTGTGATTTTTATTTTCAGAAGTCATATACATGTAAGCTACAATTTTGAGTGCTTTATAAACACTTAAGATATATATATAAATTTTAATTTCATAGCAACTTGTAAAAAATAAAATACTTGTTGAAAAGCCTTTTTCAACATATCCCTAAGCTAAGGGAAGAGGAAGGAATAACAACTCAGTGAAAAGATGGTCTCCAATTTCTGAATGAAAAAGCTACAGCTGAGAAATAAAATAAAATGTCATGCTGCAGAATATGTTATACCCTTATTTTGTGTTAAGGATATATTTTATTATGTGAATGGTTTTGTTTTTGTTTTTTGCTTGTATTGGGAATTAGCTTTACTGGTAACTTCCTTATTTAGTTTTTAGTGGTCAACTCTAATAAAATGAAACTAGGGCTGAGCTAGTTAGCCCTCACTAGCCAAACTGAAACTGTATGCAACATTAAAAGAAGAGATCCATCATGTAGCTTGTGACACTTTTATTTTATTAGTCACCGGGGAACTTTTCAGTGATGAAAATACACAGGGTAATAAACCTTCACATGGCTTCAAAAGGAAAACAAGCAAATCTTCTCTAATCTACTCTTACTATAATTTCCTAAGTGTACACCAAACTCTGGATTTAAAAATCTGAAGTACTATAGAACATTAAGTTGAAAAATGGAAATTAAGAGTACATATTCATGGTTTATATTTCTTACTCTATGGAGTTCGTGAACACATCTAGGTGGAATGCATCTGAGACTAAGGGCTGGTTTTTAATCCTCATAAGAAACCAGCCTTGAAGAATTAACAATTCTCTTCATTGGTATTCTAAACCTCCTAAGATATTTAGGCTTCTGCACATAAAAGTGTTTTTGCTAAATTTACAGTATATATAGATCCTTTCATATTATTTTACTAATAATGTTTGAACTTTGCATATTTGACATAGTTCCTGATAGGAATAGCACAGCTCAAACATTAGTTTTTCTACTTACCTCCTCTAACACGTGGTTTGTCTGGAGAGTTTCTAAAAATTCAGCTATAACCCCAGTTCATGTATTTACTGGTGATTGTTCTTGCTGAGGTAGTAACAGCCCAATCTTGGGCTGTTAAATCCTAGGAAATCTCGAATCATAGTGATTAAAATAGTTGGGGTAAAGTTGTAGCTTATATGCAATACTACTTGGAGGAATTCTTTTACTAATTTGTATTTAATGTGGAAATTGTATAGTTTCATTGATTTAATCATAAATAATGGAAATGGTCTTCAAGAAGTTTTATTTCATTTTTTTGCTTATACACTCTGATTCCTATAATACAGTGCTATAAGCTATGCACAGAAAATAAAATGTTTGAAATCCAAGAATAATGGTTCTTACTGCTAAGAGGGAGTAATAGTTATTACTAATGATTTTGATTGGGTTGCATTTTTGTTGCAATGTTTATTCCACTTGCAGTTAGAATATGAATATGTTTTATCACTAATGTGGCTAAATAACCAAACATTTGTGTAAAAAAAAAAAAAAGCCAAGATTTCATTGTTTGTTGAATATTTCTTAAGCATCTAGCCCCTAAAGAGACTGCTTCTTACCAAGCCTGTAAACTATGCATGATGGAAATTCTTGTATTTTATTTAGGAATGGCTGTTGGTTTACTTACCACATCTGTGGAATCATGGCTATCAATGTTTGCTTACAAACTAAAAAAAAAAAAAAAAAAAAAAGAAAACCAGAAGAGAAGAAAAACACAGTCTCTCTCATTCTTGAGGAAGTGTAGTGTGGCAGTTAAGAGAAAAGATCCTGGGGCCAGACTTGTTGCTTCAAATCCCAATTTGTAAACTTTCCTATGCCCCAGTTTCTTCATATGTTAAAATAGTAATAAAGGAACTACCTACCCCATCAGATACTAATGTGAATTAAATGAGTAAATTCTTATAAAATGCTTTAGAACAGTGTCTGGCATCAGGTAAAATGCTGTGGATTAGTTCTCATTCTGACTACCACTGCCCCAATACACTGATGTTAACATGCTGATATATTTATTCGAAGTCGTATTTTCCTATGCCTATTTTTCACACAGTGGTAACCCAATAAACTTTTAAATTATAGTAAACTTTAGAGAGCATTAAACTTGCAGCATGCAGAAATAGCTTGTCCTACATTCTTGTGGCTATCCTAACTAGATAAGGGCATGTTAATGTCTTGAGAAACATCAGTGTGTGTGGAATGAACACAGGACGTTGGAGGATTTGAATTCAGGCTCTGCCATGTGCTAGTTTGAGTGATCTAGAACAAGCTGGTTTACTACCTCTCTTTAAGTTTTGGTTTCCCCAGTCAGTAAAATAGAGAGTGGTGAAACCTAACTTATGGGTATAAGGAGGATAAGAAATACTGTATTTGAATGCCTAGCACAGTGTCAGGGTTGAATAAAGTACGACTTCACCTTTTTCCCTAGTAATTATTGTCCTCATGACCAAACCTGCCTCCTCTCAAAGGCAGTGGCCACAACAGCACATCCAACTTTTATTTAGGAAGACATCTTTGTCTTTTTTCAGAGTGTGAGGAGCACAACAGCCCCAAAGAAATGGTCCTGATGGAGGGGCTGTGCTCTGAGCAGTGGTGCCGGGGCTGAACGCTGGCTAGTTCCTCTGAGAGGAAGCCCTTGGAGAATGAACTAGGGAAGCAGGAAGAGTTCTGGGTATATGGAAAGTCAGAAAACATCTGGGTCCTATGAAAGGACATCAAAGATCTGAAGGCCCAGCTGCAGAATGCCAACAAGGTCATTCAAAACTTCAAGAGCCGGGTCCAGTCCCTCTCAGTTACAAGTGATTATTCATCTAGTCTGGAAAGACCCTGGAAGCTGAGAGCTCCTGACACCCTGGAGGGGTCTTCACCTCATAGTGTCACTGATGAGGATGAGTTGTGGCTGTCTGATGGCACTGGGGCTTTCTACTCTCCAGGACTTCAGGCCAAAAAGGACCTGAAGAGTCTCCTCCAGAGAGTATCCCAGCTGGAGGCCCAGCTCCCAAAAAATTTATCTAGGGACATATAATTAACATATATATAACAGTTGAAGAACAGTGGCATGGTAAATTTTTGTTTTGTTTTGTTTTGATACAGAGTCTCACTCTGTCACCCAGGCTGGAGTGCAGTGGTGCCATCTCGGCTCACTGCAACCTCTACCTCCCAGGTTCAAGCAATTCTCCTCCCTCAGCCTCCCAAGTAGCTGGGATTACAGGCATGCGCCACCATGCCCAGCTAATTTTTGTGTGTGTTTTTAGTAGAGGAGGGGTTTCACCATATTGGCCAGGCTTGTCTCGAACTCTTGACCTTGTGATCTGCCTGCCTCAGCCTCCCAAAGTGCTGGGATTATAGGCATGAGCCACCACGCCCGGCCCATACTAAATTTTTTAGTGCAATACTTTATCAGGGTAGAATTTACTGTTAAATGCCTCCTATGGCTTATGTGCCAGAATTCAGTTTGGGGGAGTTCCTTAGAGATGTTCTCATAGAAATCTCTACAGAAGCCCCCATAACTTATCATCCACCCTTTCCTCTTCTGTCCTGCATTAGGAAATATGATTCCCTGATTCAGGATCAGCCCCGGGAACTGTCTTACCTACGGCAAAAAGTACGAGAAGGGAGAGGTGTTTGTTATCTTCTCACCCAGCATGCAAAAGATACAGTAAAATCTTTTGAGGATCTCCTAAGGAGCAATGACATTGACTACTACCTGGGACAGAGCTTCCGGGAGCAACTGGCCCAGGGAAGCCAGCTGACAGAGAGGCTCACCAGCACACTCAGCACCAGTAAGTTGGCCACAGGGCTTTGGATACTCTCAGTCACCCCACAGTTCCAGCCCCTGGTGGCCACCACATCTCCACTGCAACTTTTTAACGTAGGGTCCTGTTTCTATTTCATTTCCTGGGGCTAATACAGGATCAAGACTGCTCAATGGGACTCCTAGCCCTGACACACAGCTGGGACTCTCAGGTCCGACCAGCGGTCCTGAACCCGCTCCCACGGCACGGGAACTCCTTCGTGGCGAAGCAGCATGTGGCGAAGCAGCAGCCCCTGCGCTGGCTCATCTACATAGAAGTCGCCCTATCTGTGATGTCACCGACAGTGCCTTTCCCAGTCCCCGTCTGCCTTTCTGCCGCTCAGCCGACCAACCCGCTGCCGGAGCCGGCAAGGGGAAGTGACGTCTGCCTCTCCCTTTTTTCTCTCCTGCTTCCTTCATCTGTTCTCTCCCAAAGAAGCTGGTCCTTAGCCTGTATTGCGGAGCAAGCTTTCGGCGACCAGCTGGACCCTGGGCACCCTTCTTCGAACAATGGCTTTTAATTCTCAGACTAGAACATTTAGGATTACAAAAGAAACTGGTTCTTTTCACATCCTTATCCTTGTGATGTAGCATTCCGCATATATATATATATATATATATATATATATATATATATATATATATATATCCAACTATCCTAAAAGACACTGCCCTTCATCATTCCATGCCGTTAGACATTTATAGGACCATGCATGGTGATCTCCTCCAGACAAAAGTAAATGCTGGTGCAGAGCAGGTAAGTGTACTATAATTTGAGTACTTCAGCTTTTGGGCATTTTAAACCATGGGTCAGACAAGTTAGAGCAAGAGGGCAGGTTGATAGCAAGAGGGAGTGTTTTTCTTTTAATTTCCTTTTTTTTTTTTTTTTTTTTTGAGACGGAGTCTCGCGCTCTTCGCTCAGGCTGGAGTGCAGTGGGGCTATCTCGGCTCACTGCAAGCTCTGCCTCCCGGGTTCACACCATTCTCCTGCCTCAGCCTCCCCAGTAGCTGGGATTACAGGCACCCGCCACCACGTCCAGCTAATTTTTTGTATTTTTAGTAGAGTTGGGGTTTCACTCTGTTAGCCAGGATGGTCTCGATCTCCTGACCTTGTGATCCGCCCACCTCGGCCTCCCAAAGTGCTGGGATTACAGGCGTGAGCCACCGCGCCCGGCTTCTTTTAATTTTCAAATAGCAAAGTGATGTTTGCCACTGTCATTTCAGAATGAGGTGACAATTTGTTGTTGTTTGGTTTTGTGGGGTTTTTTGTTTGTTTGTTTGTTTCTGAGACAAGGTCTCACTGTCGCCCAGGTTGGAGTACAGTGGCATGATCAGGGTTTACTTCTGCCTTGACCTCATGAATTCAAGCAAACCTCCTTACTAATCCTCCCAAGTAGCTGGGACTACAGGTGCATGACACCACACCCTGGGGTGTGAACTGGGATTTGATGTTTTCAGTTGGCTCCCTGATGGAATAGGTTCCCTTACTATTCTGGAATACAGATTGTCTTCATGATTATGATTCATAATCATAATGATTATGACAGCAGTCCCTGCTGTCAGGCAGGGACGTTTAAGTCTGCAGAAGCTGTCTGCTGCCTTTTATTCAGATATGCCCTGCCCCCAGAGGTAGAATCTAGAGGCAGTAGGCCTTGCTGAGCTGCAGTGGGCTCTACCCAGTTCGAGCTTCCCTACCACTTTATTTACACTGTGACCATAGAACCACATACTCAAGCCTCAGCAGTGGCAGAACCCCCTCCCCCTGCCATGCTCCAGTGTCACAGGTTGATCTCAGACTGCTGTGCTAGCAGCAGGCAAGGCTCCATGGGCATGGGACCTGCCGAGCCAGGCACAAGAGGGAATCTCCTGTTCTGTCGGTTGCAAAGACAGTGGAAAACACAGTATTTGGGCAGGGGTGTACTGCTCCTCGAGGTACAGTCACTCACAGCTTCCCTTGGCTAGGAAAAAGAAATCCCCCAACCCCTTGCACTTCCCGGGTGAGGCGACACCCCACCCTGCTTTGGCTCATCCTCCGTGGGCTGCATCCACTGTCCAACAAGTCCCAGTGAGATGAACCAGGTACCTCAGTTGGAAATGCAGAAATCACCTGTCTTCTGTGTCTATCTCACCTGAAGCTGTAGACCGGAGCTGTTCCTATTCAGCCATCTTAGAAGCAACCCTCTTTTTCTTTTTGTATTTTGGTAGAGACAGGGTTTCACCATATTGCCCAGGCTGGTTTCAAACTCCTGTGGTCAAGCCATTCTATAAAACAAACTTATATTTGTTTTATCTGAGTTCCTTCCTCAGGAAAGGACTCTCAGGCCTCTCAAAAAGCATCAGAGACCTGAAACTCAGCCAATCACAGCATCCAGACAATGAGATGCCAGTCCCCTCACTCATCACGAGTGCTTCCTCAGCCCTCCCTAGTTCCTCTTTTCCCACACACAGTTAACTTTTCTTCTGCGCTATATAAACCCCTAACTTTAGTCAATCAGGGAGACAGATTTGAGACTCATCTCCTGTCTACTCAGCTGCAGCACCTGATTAAAGCCTTCTTCCTCAGCAATACTCAATGTCTCAATGATTGGCTTTCTGTGTGCTGAGAACACTGAAGCCCTGTGGTTTTGGTAAAAATACATGTACCCTTTAAAAAACCGCAATTAATGGGTTGTGGTATATTGAGAAATTGGAGTGGCATCAACTTGGCCAATTCTGAGGAAACACACTGTGCTTAAGTGTCAGGGCCCTGCCTCCTGACCTCGACAGTTTATGGTTGATTTTGAGGCACAGCAGGGGAGTATGGCCTGGTTTGAGTGTTTTATAGAAATGTAAAACATGGCTGATTACTTTTTATTTTAAATCCAACAAATCTCCATTTCTGGTGAGAAAATCTTGCCAAAACCAACCAAACAAATGCATAGAAGTATATGAAGAAGAAAATGAAAGATTCCCTGCCTCCCAATCCCACTTGCTTGGTGTCAGCCATTATTTATCACATGGAGGAAGGGGGCAAGACACCCAAGAAGTCCCAAGTCCTGTTCTCACAATCATCTGGCCTCCCTGGGCAAAGGGAAAAGAGGGAAGGCAAAAAGAATATAACACTACTGTTTGCGGAAATTTCCCCTTGGTACAGGAAATTCTGGTAAACTGAGAGAGTATGTTTTCCAGAGGGAGGCCTCAGGGGCTCTTCTCTGGCCCTAAGCCCAAACTGGATTTTGCCTCATTTTCTGAGGTGCAAATGAAATGATAAAAGTTGATCAAAGGAGAGGGCAGAGAGAAAGAAAGAGGATGACTCCTCTCTCGCAGGTCCACCTTCTTTGGTGTTGCTTGAGGGATCAGAAGAAATGCCTTAACATAGGTGTGTGGGAACTATGGCTGCTAAGTATGAACTCAGTTACCTCCAGTTATAAGCTAGTGTGAGGTTCCATGGTGAGCACTTTGGACTCTGAATTCAGTGATCAGAGTTCAAGTCCCACTGGTACCTTTCTGTATAATTCCAGTGAGGTTCCTCTCTATTGCTCCATAAGCAGAATGGGGGAAATTGCCCAATCGTGGTCACAGACCCTCCATGCCACTGGCTGTGTGCAATTGGAGTCCCGGACCCAGCGACCAGCAAGACCCCTCCCCTCTCAGGGTGACCCTGGGCCTCCAGGTCACAGGTCTCCACTAAAAAGGCTGCCTCCCCTCAATCCTAGACCCTGAGTTTCCTTTTGTTCACGTCATTGGGCCATTGCCCTATGTCTCTTTGGAAGAAATGACCTATATGAAAAATTTTACTTCCAGGATTCCCTAATTCTTTCATCCCTTAGGACAGTGCAGTTTTTCATCTCCTGATCTTGGGTCCGGTACTAATGCGCGCGTTTCATCTTGTTTTCATGGGATCCCCTCCAACCGGCTACCAGTGGATTTCTGTTCTTGGGGTCTCTGTGGATGACAACTAGATGCTGCTCTTGTCCCAAATCCTGACACCTCCCTCCAGGGAATTGCCTCCCTTAGCCTCCTAAATCAGCCAATATTTAGATTTGAGCCTGGAATCCCAGCATCTGTGGAGAACAGAGGCTCCTGATCCCTGGCCAGCCTCCCGCAGTGAAGGGGAGAGGAGCAGAGCAGCTGGGAGGGGCAAGTCCGGGGCCCTGGGCAACCCCCTTCTTCCTGCCCAGACTCTGCTCCAAAGAGAAGTTGCCTTAGGACCAGATCAGATGGAAACTCTTGTTCTCTTCTCATCAGCAGAAAAATTTAGGCAAGAGCTCTGGAGGACGTTCCTAGCTCATAAAAATGCTGTGGTCAAGTCTCTCCAGTTTTGGAAATGCCCAAGGTTACCAAGTGTTTTGAGGGCTCACTTTGGAGCCTCTGAAAAGGAGGGGTGAGGGCCCATGGGAAGGTACCTGAGGGATTCAGGAGAGAGAGGGGAAAGAGCAGACAGGAGGGAGGAGAGAAGGAGGGAGGGGGAGAAAGGGTGTGTGAGGGCCAGGAGCCAGGATTCACCCTGACAGTTCAGTGACTGCTCCCTGACCCCAAGGTTCCCACTGTGGCACCTTCCAGCAGGTGGTTTCCATCTCTTATTGATGTCCTGAGAACTTGGCTCTACAGAATGGTCCCACCCTATTTGTCTGGCATGAGTCCTGCAAAGTTTCTTTTCATCGTTTGGGGGATGAGATGGGGGTATATAGGCTTGCAAGTGACTAGGAGCTAAGTCAGGACCTTGTGGAGCCACTCAGAGTCAACTGTCAAGTAGCCTCCCTTCCCCCTTCGCTTGCAGGATGATTGCCTGCAAGACAGGGCCTGGAGGCCAGGGCACCCAAGGCCACAGAAATGCCCAGGGATGAGTCCTGGCTGGAGATGCCTTGGCTAAGCTGACTGTGCACTTCCAGGGCTCACAGGAGTCTGGCCGGGAGACTGAGCAAGGGGACCAGGGAGGTTGTGTAGCAGGCTTCTGCACAGCAAGGCAGACATTCTTCTTGGAGCCCCCAACCCAAATCAGGTCTTCCACCTCCTCTTCCTAAAGACCCTTTACTGCTGTCATTCTTTTACTGAACTACAAGTTTAGAGGACATGGATTTCAGTGCCCTCATCTGGCCAACCATCTTCAGCCGCCAATGGGCAAGGTAACCTCCCTCCCTGCCAAGACCTGACTCAGGACCTTTCCTTAAGGAGATGTCCTGTTCTTTCTTTCCCACCAGAACTGCCCTGGCCCAGGCCCCATTTCTGTCTGGTGACCAGGACAGTCCCCTCACCAGTCTCCCAGGTTGGGGAGGGCAGATCCTCCTCAGCTCCCTGCCCCTGAGAGACCCCAACCGTCTTGTGTGGCTCCGGCCCACAGAGTGATATCCATGGCCCATATCTCTCAAAACTCTCCCCTCCCACTCTGAATCCACCCTCTACTGCATGCTCCCCTCACAGAACAGACTAATTTTTGTGTGTGTGTCCTTGTTTTGCCTACCTGTACCCCAGACAGACTTTTCTGTCTTAGAACTACCTGTCCCTCTTTGGACAGTGTCTTCCTGGTACTACACATGAAGATGTCCCGCTCTCCACTGCTCAAGGAGAGAGTGCCTGACCTGAGCTGGGCCCATCAGATCCAGTACTTACCTGGAATAGGAAAAAGATGGGGAGAGTGACCAAAGATTACAAAAATCTCTGAAGCTTATCCACTTGAGAGAGAGTCCCTGAAGATACTGGCCTCTCATTCCTGCTATGTATGTCCAATGTGACTGAACTCTGAATAAAATATACAAGTTATAACAATGTAGCAATTGACCCAGCAAACGAGGACACAAACGTGTTGGAGGGTAAGGTGGTGAGAGGCGTGTTTGGGGGTGGTGGTGATGAGCAAGTATGTGAAGGAGAGGTAGTGCCTAAACTTGAAAATCAAAAAGTAATAATATCTATTTAGACATAAGGAGATAAATAACGAAATAATTGCTTCTATGTGATGAAACTCTGGGAGTACACAAGGGGACTGCTGTTTTACTAAACAAATTTTCAAGTATATATGACTTTGATAAAGTATCCAAATAAAATAATTCCTTTCCCATATAAGTATGTGTGTATATATGTATTCATTGTATTTTGAAGATAAATTTTTACACAGTCATGTTAATCGCTTTCATTTAAGGATTTGAGTTTGATGTCATGCATATAATGTGATCCCACTGTATGACTACACAAATGTTGGCAAAAGTGAGTTCAGAGGAAATGGTAGGCAAGTACTTCCCAGTTTTGACCAGAAGATGGAGAAAAAAAGAATTCTCAAAAAATGTTAAAGGTATGACATGTTATATTTTCTTTTCACAGTAATTTAGACAGAAATTAGCAAAATCAAACATGTATAAATACTTTGGTCTGACAATTCCATCTCCAGGTGTCTACGGAGAAATAGACAAGCGATGCACGACAGATACATGTGTCAGTCTGGTCCCTGCAGTTATATTTGTAATAATACACATTGGAGCAATTTCATGGCCATCGGTTAGAGAATGTTTGAGGAATGATCCATTCATATCAAGAAGGACGTTTCAAAGATCAAAGCCTGATGGAAATGCTGGAGACCATGGCGCTGATAGGAGCTCATGCGTGTTGACCAATTACTACGTGACAGGCATTGGCTCCAGGCTTTTCCTGCACTGCTCATTTAAACACTGGACAACCTAAGTGTTCTGATTTAGCCCATTGGACAGATAGAAATGGAGGCACAGAAGATTAATGTGTTTAACTTCAAATGCTGGCAGATTAGGTTTTTCATCCAGGGCCTGTGGCTTCACCATAGGTGTGATTCATGTTCTGTCATTCTCCACTTTAGGAATTTCCAGTATTCCAAATATGAGAAGCTGAGAAAACAAACAACAGACTCAAAACCCTAAAAACCAGGATACGTAAGGGTAGATGTTTGTTGGGTGTGGATTAAAAATGGACTTTTTTTGCCCCAAGCAACAAAGAGGCATCTTAGAGAATGGACAAGAGACAAGAAGAAGAGAAGCTTTAAGAGATAGTTGGTCCAAGGAAGAGACTCTTCAGATGGAAGGTCACATCAGCTAGAAACATTAATATGACTGGATGGGCTCAAACCACTGACTTTTCAGTCAACATCCGACAGCACTAACCTAGTGTTCCAGAGACCCTGCTTGTTAAACAGTGAAAGCTGTTGCTCAATTGTGTCATCCATAATTGTCAAATATTGCCATTTAGTAGCACAAGGAAGTATTCTCTGTTGCCAAGCTAGAGTACCCATAACTCTTCTGTTTTGTTGAACATTCTTCCCCACCACAAACCCTCTTTAGAAGACTGGGGGCTCCTAAAGCATTGAGGCCGAGAGTCCCGTCCTTGTGCATGTTTGGGCATTGACCCAGGGCCAAGTGAGTGGGAGACCCCTCCATGCCTACGCCAGGTCCTCAGGTGACAACTGCAGTCTCTGGATCTGAAGTCATCCACTTTCCCATTCCTAGCTCACCTCACCCATCGTGAAGCCTGGTTAGTATTGCCAGAGACCCGAGTGGGCAGATGCCCACACCAAAGACAGAACCTGCTGTGTGCCCAACTTGCTGATCCCTCCATCCTTCTAGACAAAGGCTTCATAAGCCAGGGACCTTGGGTTTGCTCACAAGGCAGCCCCTCACCTAGTAGGCATTAGTTCATTATGTATATGTATATGTAGTCCTCAGGTTGTATTCCTTAAATATATATAATTTAAGGATATGTATTATATATATATATAAATATATATGTAATTCCTTAAATATATAATTTTAATACAATTTTTTTTTTTTTTGAGACAGACTCTCACTCTGTCTCCCAGGCTGGAGTGCAGTGGCACCATCTTGGCTCACTGCAAGCTCCACCTCCCAGGTTCACGCCATTCTCCTGCCTCAGCCTCCCAAGTACCTGGGACTACCGGCGCCCGCCACCACGCCAGGCTAATTTTTTTTTTTTTGTATTTTTAGTAGAGATGGGGTTTCACCGTGTTAGCCAGGATGGTCTCGATCTTCTGACCTCATGATCCACCCACCTCGGCCTCCTAAAGTGCTAGGATTACAGGCGTGGACCACCGCGCCTGGCCAAAACAAAGTTTTTAAAAGATTCTTTTAATAAACATTTACAATAACATCAAGAAATATAAACGACATAGCAAATATGTGAAAGCCAGCCAGACTCTCAATGGCATCCAGAAATATAAACTACATAGAAAAGACGTGAAAGCCAGCCAGGCTTGGCTTCAAATCCCAGCACTTTGGAAGGCTGTGGCAGGAGGGTTGCTTGATCTCAGAAGCTTGAAACTAGCCTAGGCAACATAGTGAGCCCTCATCTCTACTGAAAATCAGAAAAATTATGCGGGTTTGGTGGTGTGAGCCTGTAGTCCCAGGAATCAGTGGATGAGGCCCTAGGATGTCATAGGCCTGAGAATTCCATGCTGCAGTGAGCTGTGATTGTGCCACTGTACTCCAGCCTGGGTGAAAGAGTGAGATCCTGTGCAGAAACAAAAGAAGAAAAAAAGAGATGTGAAAGCCTATATATTGAAGACTACCAAGTACTGCTTAGAGCAGTTAAAGACCTTTGGAATAGAAAATGTTTCTTCTTGCATTTCAAGATTGCTTTTGTTTTGGGGGGACACACTATTTTTTAGGAATATGAAGTTCTTGTTAGGCATTCCTGTAAAAAAGGCCACTTTTTGATAGGATTGTATTGAATCTGTGGGTTGCTTTGAGTTGTATTTTTATCTTAACCATGTTACAACTTCCAACCCATGGACACAAGATGTCTGTCCATTGATTTAGGTCTTCCTGAATCTCCTCGAGCAATGTTCTGTAGTTGTCTGTGTACAAGTACTGCACCTTCTTGAACAAATTTATTCCCAGGCATATTATCCTTACAGGTGCTATTATAAATGAAATCATTGTGTCAGTTTACTTCTCAGATAGTTCATTGCCATCACAATGGATTGTTTGCTGAAAGTTTGCTGAATTCACTTATTAACTCTGATAGTGTGTGTGTGTGTGTGTGTGTGTGTCTGGTGTCTGTGTGCATGTATGTGTGTTTGCCTTTGTATGTATTGTTTGGGATTTTCTATACATAGGATCACACCATCTGCAAATTGAGATCATTTTGTTTTCTGTTCAAAAATATTTTTTCTCATGTTTATTTTTGAAAGATAATTTGGCCAGGTGTAGACTTGTAGGTGACAGTTTTTCTTTTTTTAAGTACTTTATTGCAAACTTCTTGTTTGTAAAGTTTCCTATGAGAAATCTTATGCCATCCTTATATTTAGTGCTCTGTATGTAACATGTTCTTTTCCCTTTTATTACTTTTAGGATTTCCTTTTTATCACTGGTTTTGATGGATTTGATTAAGGTGTTCCTTGGTGAAGTTTTCTGCATGTTTCTTGTTCTTGGGATAATCATATTTCTGTAATATTTGAAGTTTATGATTTCCATGGAGCTTCTAAATCTTTCATCCAGTATGTTTTAAATATCTTTGTCTCTCTTCTCCACTACCTGCCCTTCAGGGATTCCATTTAGCCCTATACTAGGGTGTTTAAAGTTTTGATGCTGATGGTCTTTATGTGTTTTCAAGTCATTTGTTAATGTGTGTTTCATTTATGTTAGTTTCAACTTCTATTCCTTCTAGTTTAATAATCTTCTCTTCTGCAATATTTAATCCAGTGCCTTCTTCCATTTCACACTGTAAATCATAGTTTTTATCTACAGAATTTGATATTTAAAAAATCTTCAACCTCTCCATTTAATTAAAATACAATTATACTAATTGCGGTAACGTCCTTTTCTTCTATTTCCAACGTGTGTGTCAATTTCAACCAGATTATTAGATTCTTCAGTATGTGTCATGTTTTCCTGCTTCTTTGACTGCTTGATATTCTTTTATTTTTATTTATTTGTTTTTGGGGGGATGGAGTTTCACTCTCGTTGCCCAGTCTGGAGTGCAATTGTGTGATCTCAGCTCACTGCAACCTCTGCCTCCCAGGTACTCAAGCGATTCTCCTGTCTCCGCCTCCCAAGTAGCTCAGATTACAGGCATGCACCATCATGCCCAGCTAAACTTTTTGTGTTTAGTAGAGACAGGGCTTCACCATGCTAGTCAGGCTGGTCGTGAACTCCTGACCTCAGGTGATCCACCCGGCTGCTTGATATTCTAAGATTTGATGCTGGAGCTTTGGTGTCAATGCTCAAAAGTGCCCAAAGACACCACTCAACCTCAGTGTCTATGCACACCCAAGCTTTTGCAACAGGAGAGGTAGAGACAGCAGAGATGAATGTGCTACAACATGCTGGTAGAAGGTACCCCAATTGTGCTTGGGGCTTCCTATGCCTCATAGAATAATGTGCCTTCCTTAATTTTTCCCATAAGAACCACCCTACTTCATGCCCTGTCTCTCTGTCCAAACACCAGGACAGCCCTCAGACCAGTCTCAACCACCCAATGGATTGACAAAGGTCCAAATATGATTCAGTGGAGAAGGCATTCTCTTGTCAACAAATTGTGTAGAAACAACTGGACATGCATATCCCCAAAGGAAAAAGATTCACCTGAACCTCAATACTGACTCAAAAACTAACTCAAAATGGATTATGCAACTAAATATAAACTATAAAAGTAGAAAAAGTATAGCAGGAAATATAAGACAAAATCTTCACGACACAGTTAGGCAAAGTGTTCTTTGTTATCAAGAAACACAAACCATTAAAGAAAACATTGATAAATTCAACTTTATAAAAAGTAAAAGTTTTTGCTCAACACGAGACAGTATTAAGAGAACAAATATAAGCTGCAGATTGGGAGAAAAACAGGGGAAATGACAAATGTGACAAAGGACAAGTGTGATAGTTACTTGCACGTGTCACTGTGACTGAGCACCAGGGTGCCGGGACATTCGGCCAAATGTGATTCTGGTTGTGTTCCAGAGAGTGTTTCACATATGATTAACATCGGGATGGGCAGACTAAGTGAAGCAGATTGCCCCCCTTAACGGGGGTGGGACTCATGCAATCAATCAAAGGTCAGGAGAGAATTAAGAGGCCTAATGGGAAACAAATGCTTTCCTGGGTATCCAGCTTTCCTTCCATCTTGGGAATTTCAGCCTCCATAATCTCAGAAACAAATTCACATATGTATACACACACATATACATTTCATAGGTATGTGGCTAAGATTGTATTTTTAAAAGTTCAGCCATGAGATGATTGGTGAAGCCAGCCAATGAATAAGGGTGTGTTCTATTATATGACTCAGTCTTCTTTTGTACACGATTGAAGTTCTGCATTTGAAGTAGGAGGACAGGAGAGAGCAAGTCCACCTAGGATGATAACAGCTGAATTTCTCAACAGACACTTCAAAGCCCTAGGCGTTAACTTAGAGAGTCAAAAATCCCACCCATAACCCTGCCCCTAAACGCCAGGGCTAGGGAACACTGTGGCCCTCAGGTGATTTTGTTTCACTTGGTCTGGGAGCCACACAAGGGCAGAGGGAGCAGGAAACACTAAGCAAATCGAGGCCAGGACAGCAGGGAGGGCCTGTTCATGACAGAACACAGGTAAAACTATCCTCAGAAAGAGCATGTGGAGAAACACAGATCATGCCTGAGACCTGGTGGATTAGAGCACTGGCTACTGGGGAATTGAAAGGAAGGGGCTTCACCATGCAGAGGACCAGAGGTGCCAGTCTTGGAAACGCAGAATTGCTGGGAGATGGGGAGGCATGGACAAAGGAAGCATCCTCTGGAGACTCATGGTGAAGAGAACAAATGAAGTAACTGGCAGAAATTATAGGTCCTGGTAGAACAAAATAGAATCCCACAATGAGAACATACAGCATGTATGTCCCGCAAGGAAGACAATAGCTCCTAAAAATGCAAGAAAAATCATTTTGGGCAAACACCTTATATCCAGTAATGCGATCCATGTATCAAGACCACGAGGAAGATTATTAAACATGCTAAACTCAGCGAGACCTGATTCCCTCATGAGGACTCTGTTAAGGATGAGTACCACTCAGCAAGTGATGACTGTGACATTCACTTTTGAACAGCTCATGAGCATTAATATATTTAATTGTGGATCTAAACCAAAAACCAAGGTGTGGGCAAGATGACAACCACAGAATTTCACTGGCATATGTTTAGGTTCAAATACCATTATGAGAAGTGGCAGGTAAAGGAGGTAGGAAAAAGAAAACACATCATGTAACTGACTGTCATATGGAAATATTTGACGTTGAAAGTCATAATTTAAAATGTATAAACCAAATATTAGAAGTGTGTCTAGTTCAAAGGGGGGAAAACTATGAAACATTTTTAATCAATATCAAACATGAACTACACAACCCTTCCTAAATGCCAGAGGCACACACAGACACACACACACACACTCTCACAAAGAATATAAATATCTAGAACCAAGAAATGGAGTAAATGCATTCTGCTACATATGGTAAACATAGCCTACAAGGTGGAAGAGATTAGAAAATAAACAGGGAAATGGAAATGTTTTTATTAATTCACATCAGTACCCACCAAAACCAATCAGCATAACAAAAGATTATAACACTGAATGTAAAAAACAATCCAACAGTCCAGAGTGATAGGCAAAAGCTTTTAATTGTATAGATTAAAATAACTTTGGACAAAAATTAAAACTCAGGCAGAGAATGTTTTTTTTTTCAACAACACACACTAGCAAAAACAAAGGCACAGTAAACATTGAGGCAGAAAGTTTCCAGCGTAGAGATATGAATATAATAATAGACACAGGCAGGGATGATTAATAAATGATAAAATGTTTACAGGATGATCATCGGAATACAGGACATTTCTAATTTTGAAAACCACCCTCCCAAATACTTCATTATAAGTAAGGTGTCTCTAAAAGGGACAGATCTCCTAGACCCCTCCTTAACCAAGTAACCAGTCCTGATATCATGATAATGCTGATGGACAAACTAGACCTTCTCTGCCCGCAGATGGGCTAAGGTTGGAAACTCACAGCATTGTCTCTGCAGTGTTCCCGGCAAAACGTTTAGGCTGAATTTAATCATGAAGACATTTTCAGACAACTTCAGAATGTAGATCATTGAGCCAGACAGCTGACCTGTCCTCTATAAACAAGTCCATGTCACCACCATCAATGACAACAACAAAAAGATGAGGAAATATTTGGGGTTCAAAATAACTAAAGAAATGCAGCTATATTATCTTTTTACTTTTTTTGAACCCAAAATATCTCTTCTCCTTTTTGTTGTGTGATTTGTGGTGATATGGACTATGTGAAGGAGACAGGTCAGTTGTCCTGCTCAGTGTTCTACATTCTGCAGTTGTCTGGTGATTACCTCCTATGAAACTCAGGCTAAGCGTTTTCTGCAAGAACATGGCGTTGTTCATATTCTGCACCGGCAGAGTCCTGGGTGACATGCTGTCTCCTGCCAGCGGCTCCTGACTCCTGTTCTCTACAGGATGGAATCGAGAGGAGCAGGGCTAAGGCCTCCCAATGCTGTTTGTCCATCTAGCTGTGGTCTTCCTAAGTACTGACACCAATTGGAGGCTGAAGGACTGTGGCTTCTCTAACCAAAGGAGCCTAGCGGGTTAACAATTGTCAAGAGCAGTTGGTGGTTCTGAAATACAATCCTCAGCCAAGGATCCCTCCTGTGTTAAAGATGGATCAGCTAAAACAATTCAACACTGAAGATACAAAGAATGAGGTTAGGTTCATTGAAACCAGGGTAACACCTTTGGATGAGCTAAACACAAAGATGACACTGACCTTGAGCAGGTATAGAAGCTCAGAGACATGCCTGCAAAATGAAATCCCTGAGGAACTTTGTAGCTACCCAGAGATACGTGGTTCAAATTAAAATGTCTGACTGATCACTCCCGGCATGTGCTGCACAGTTATGTGAACGTGTCACACCTAACTTGGGTCCATTGTCTTCAGACTGAGCACAGGTTGCCACTGGCATGGTCTGAGAATAGGAATAGAGCCATGCCCACTGACCCATCCTATGTCTGGGCTTCCAAATGGAACTATAGTTTCATTCAAATCTTCACGTGCCTATAGGTCCTGCCTGCAGGAATGACATCTCTCGGCTTAGTAAGGGCTGCTTACTGTGGGAATATGACTCCCATCTGGAAGACCAGGTGGAGACTTGTTCCCATCAAAGTAAGAAACCTATTGTCCACGTCAAGGGCGAAGCTGATGTGCTGTTCCTCAAATGAGTAAAACACACTTCTGTAGTGCTGGAATGAGTCAGGTAGTTCAAAGAACATTGACGGAGTCGAATAACATCTATCCAGTGAGTCCTGCAAGATTTCAGGCTCTTCCACTTCCATCAGCACACCGCTGAGCCTGGAAAAGCAGACAAAACTAAAGAAGCAGCCAGGGAAAATCAGACACCACAGAGCCCCACTAGATTTCAGAAGTAACGTAAGGAAGTGGTAAGAAAAGAAAAGGATAGATCCATTAATGAGGTAAAAAAAAAAAATTATTGCCTTTATGTTGGGATAGAACAGGGCCAGGTAGAAAACAATGAAAGAGAAAGACAGAGAGACAGAGACAGAGACAGAGACAGAGAGAAAGTGAGCTAGTGAATTGGCCAGGTGACATACTGGTAAGGGAGTAAAAGGACACTCTGAGTTAGTGCCCTCATGACACACAGCAAACTGCGATCATGAAAAGAGTGAGCTCAATAGTTTTCCATAAAATATGCTCAAAATTCGATGCAGTGGCCACGAGAGTACAGCTTTTGAAGTATGGTCATCCTATGGTACGTTAGTAAATGATAAGGGGAGGAAGAAATGGAAACCTAAACATCTACTGCAATGAAAACCAACAGCAATGACAGTAGGAGTAATTCAGCCTTCGTTGAAAACATGAAATCAAACACACTCTGGTTTCCCTGAATCTGTTGCCTCCAGGTGTTAACACAGAATTAAGCATCCACAATTGCTGAAAGTTACCTGGGGCATGGTGGGTTTTGATCTTCTTCCCCTTCTTTTCTTCCCCTTCTCCTTCTTTTCTTCGTTGATCTTCTTCCCCTTCTTTTCTTCCCCTTCCCCTTCTTTTCAATTTCTGCAATAAATTCAGACATGGACAGACACATTAAGCTGATTCCCCTACACACATAACAATCCACTGTCTAATCCTCACACAGGGACCTCAGGCTCCTCAGCATAAGAATAGGAGACTGTGAGAGATATATTTCAGGAGGCCTGAAGGCTGGTCATGATAGAAATTCCTCGGTTTTTCTCCCAGAAACTGTGGGTAAAATGTCCCTATTCTAGTAGATCGTTATCCCAATATCATTTGTCCCGAGTTTGTGCAAACAGTTATGCCATATTTTTCCAATCAATTTAAAGCAAATACCCTCAAATGATTTCTAGGAGAAAAACTGCAATATTTAGCCCTGTCTCATCAAATACTCAGATTGTTCATGGTTGTGAGGACTTTAGACACTGAAATTAGAGTGAAAAAGGAAATCTACAAACCCTTGAGTCAAAATCATAGTTCTCTGAATTTGTCACATCTGCCCAGGTCCAATGTCATGAGAGTAGAATCAGAGTGCCACAGGCATGGCCTGAGACTAGGAAGAGAGCCATGCTCACTGACCCATCCCATGTCTGGGCTTCCAGTTAGAACTAGAGTTTCATTCAACCTACATGTGCCTATAGGTCCTCACTGCAGCAATGACATCTCTCAGCTCAGTAATGGCCACTTGGAGCAGGAATATGATCTTTATATGGAAGACTCAGTGGATCCTTATCACCTTCATAGAAAGGTACTCACCTCCCACGTCAAGAGAAAAGCCAACATGTTTTTCCTCCAATGCATAAAAGGAACTTCCATAGGGCAGGCAGGAGTCAGGCTGTTCAAGACAACTGGAAGGAGTTGAATAACATCTATCCAGTGAGTCCTGCAAGACTTCAGGCTCTACTGCCTCCAGCAGCTCCCTGCTGAGCCTGGAAAAGGAGGAAAAAGTAAAGAATAAGCCAGGGGAAATCAGACACAACAGAGCCCCAACTAGGTTTCATGGGTAGCATAAGGAAGTGGTTGAAAAAGTAAAAGGAGAGATCCATTAATGAGGTAACAAATTATTGCCTTCATGTTGGGACAGAACAGGGCCAAATGGAAAAGAATGAAAGAGAAAGACAGATAGACACACACACACACACACACACACACACACACACACACACACACACACAGAGAATGAGCTCAGTGAATTGTCCAGGTGACACACTGATGAGGGAGTAACAGGACACTCTGAGTTAGTGCCCTCAGGACACACAGCATACAGTGATCAGGAAAGGACTGTGCTCAATAATTTTCCATAAAATGTGCTCAAGTTTCCATGCAGTCGCCATGAGAATACAGTTTTTGAAGTCTGGTCCACCTACAGTAGGTTAGTAAATGATAAGGGGAGGAAGAAATGGAAACCTAAATATCTACTGCAATGAAAACCAACGGCAATGTTAGTAGGAATAATTCAGGCTCGGTTGAAAAGATGTAATCGATAATGTCAGCCCGCCCTGTTTTCCCTGAACCAGGAGTCTCCAGATGTCAACACAGAAGTAGCTGTTCACAATTGCTCAGTTACCTGGGGCATGGTGGGCCTTGGTCTTCTTCCTCTTCCTGGTCCTTTTTAATTCCTGCAATACATTCAGACAGGGACAGACAAAATAAGCCAATTCACCTACACCCGTAACAGTCCACTGTCTAATCCCCACACAGGGATCTCAGGCTCCTCAGCAAGAGAACAGGACAATGTGAGAGATATACTTCAGGAGGCCTGAAAGCTGGTCATGATATTCTTTGGTTTGCATCTCAGAACCAAGGGTGAAATATCCCTATTCTGGTAGATCGTTATCCCAAAATCATTTATCCCAAGTTTGTGCAAACAGTTATGCCTTATTGTTCCCATCAGTTCAAAGACAATGCCCCAGATGATTTCTAGGAGGAAAACTGCAGTATTCAGCCCTGTCTCATCAAATGCCCAGCTCGTTCATGGATGCAAGAATTTTAGACACTGAAATTAGAATGAGGGAGGAAATCTACAAACCCTTGAGTCCAAATCATAGTTCTGTGAATTTTTTACATCTGCCTGGGTCCAATGTGCTGAGAGCGGGCTCAGGTTGCCACAGGCATGGCTGGAGACTAGGAATAGAGCCTTGCTCACTGACCCATTTCATGTCTAGGCTTCCAGCGGAGACTACAGTTTCATTACAACCTATATGCGCCCATAGGTCCTGCCTGCGGCAATGACATCTCTCGGGTCAGTAAGGGCCACTGGGAACAGGAATATCACCCCTATCTGGAAGACCAGGTGGAGGCTTATCACCTTCATAGTAAGGTACTCACTGTCCACGTCAAGAGCCAAGCCAAGGTACTGTTCCTCCAATGAGTGAACAGCACTTCTGTAGGGCTGGCCTAAGTCAGGCAGTTCAAGATAACCTGAAGGAGTCGAATAACATCTATCCAGTGAGTCCTGCAAGACTTCAGGCTCTTTCTCATCCAGCAGCTCCCTGCTGAGCCTGGAAAAGTAGGAAAAAGTAAAGAATAAGCCAGGGGGAATCAGAAACCACACAGCCCCAGCTACATTTCATGGCTAACATAAGGAACTGTTTAAACAGAAAAAGGGCAGATCCATTAATGAGGTAATGAATTATTGCCTTTATGTTGGGATAGACCAGGGCCAGGTAGAAAAGAATGAAAGAGAAAGACAGGGAGAGGGAGAGGGAGAGAGAGACAGAGGAGAAAGTGAGCTCAGCGAATTGGCCGGGTGACACACTGATGAAGGGGTCAAAGGACACTCTGAGTTAGTGCCCTCGGGACACACAGAGAACAGTGATCATGAAAAGAGTGGGCTCAATAATTTTCCATAAACTTGCTTAAGATTCCATGCAGTTGCCATACAGCCTTTGAGGTATGGTCAACCTACAGTAAGTTAGTAAATGATAAGGGGAGGAAGAAATGGAAACCTAAACATCTACTGCAAGGAAAACCAACAGCAATGTCAGTAGGAGTAATTCAACCTTCGTTGAAAACATGAAATTGAACATACTCTTGTTTTCCCTGGACCTGGCATCTCCAGGTGTCAACACAGAATTAAGCATCCATAATTGCTCAAAGTTACCTGGGGCATGATGGGTCTTGGTCTTCTTCCACTTCTTGGTACTTTTCAATTTCTGCAATAAGTTCAGACATGGACAGACATATTAAGCTGGTTCTCCTACACACATAACAATCCACTGTCTAATCCTCACACAGGGACTTCAGGCTCCTCAGCATGAGAATAGGACACTGTGAGAGATCTTCTTCAGGAGGCCTGAAGGCTGATCATGATAGAGATTCCTGGGTTTTTGTCCCAGAAACTGTGGGTAAAATTCCCTATTCTGGTAGATCGTTATCCCAAGATCATTTGTCCTAAGTTTGTGCAAATGGTTATGCCATATTTTTCCAATCGATTTAAAGCAAATGCCCCCAAATGGTTGCTGGGAGAAAAACTGCAATATTCAGCCCTGTCTCATCAAATACTCAGATTCTTCATGGTAGCGAGGATTTTAGACACTGAAATTAGAGTGAAGGATGAAATCTACAAGATCTACAAAATTGAGACAAAATCAGAGTTGTGTGAATTTGTCACATCTGCCCAGATCCAACATCTTGAGAGTAGGATTAGGGTGCCACAGGCATGGCCTGAGACTAGGAAGAGAGCCCTGCTCACTGACCCATCCCTTGCCTGGGCTTCCAAGTGGAACTAGAGTTTCATTCAACCTACATGTGCCTATAGGTCCTCCCTGTGGCAATGACATCTCTCAGCTCAGTAAGGGCCATTTGCAGTAGGAATATGACCCTAACCAGAAGACTCAGTGGATCCTTATCACCTTCATAGAAAGGTACTCACCATCCATGTCAAGAGCCCAGCCAACACGCTGTTGCTCCAATATGTAAAAGGCACTTCTGTAGGGCTGGCATGAGTCAGTCAGTTCAAGATAACCTGAAGGAGTTGAATAACATCTATCCAGTGAGTCCTGCAAGACTTCAGGCCCTTTCTCATCCAGCAGCTCCCTGCTGAGCCTGGAACAGTGGGAAAAAGTAAAGAATAAGCCAGGGGGAATCAGAAACCACACAGCCCCAGCTAGATTTCATGGCTAACATAAGGAAGAGTTTGAAAAGAAAAAGGACAGATCCATTAATGAGGTAACAAATTATTGCCTTTATGTTGGGATAGAACAGGGCCAGGTAGAAAACAATGAAAGAGAAAGACAGAGAGACAGAGACAGAGACAGAGACAGAGAGAAAGTGAGCTAGTGAATTGGCCAGGTGACATACTGGTAAGGGAGTAAAAGGACACTCTGAGTTAGTGCCCTCATGACACACAGCAAACTGCGATCATGAAAAGAGTGAGCTCAATAGTTTTCCATAAAATATGCTCAAAATTCGATGCAGTGGCCACGAGAGTACAGCTTTTGAAGTATGGTCATCCTATGGTACGTTAGTAAATGATAAGGGGAGGAAGAAATGGAAACCTAAACATCTACTGCAATGAAAACCAACAGCAATGACAGTAGGAGTAATTCAGCCTTCGTTGAAAACATGAAATCAAACACACTCTGGTTTCCCTGAATCTGTTGCCTCCAGGTGTTAACACAGAATTAAGCATCCACAATTGCTGAAAGTTACCTGGGGCATGGTGGGTTTTGATCTTCTTCCCCTTCTTTTCTTCCCCTTCTCCTTCTTTTCTTCGTTGATCTTCTTCCCCTTCTTTTCTTCCCCTTCCCCTTCTTTTCAATTTCTGCAATAAATTCAGACATGGACAGACACATTAAGCTGATTCCCCTACACACATAACAATCCACTGTCTAATCCTCACACAGGGACCTCAGGCTCCTCAGCATAAGAATAGGAGACTGTGAGAGATATATTTCAGGAGGCCTGAAGGCTGGTCATGATAGAAATTCCTCGGTTTTTCTCCCAGAAACTGTGGGTAAAATGTCCCTATTCTAGTAGATCGTTATCCCAATATCATTTGTCCCGAGTTTGTGCAAACAGTTATGCCATATTTTTCCAATCAATTTAAAGCAAATACCCTCAAATGATTTCTAGGAGAAAAACTGCAATATTTAGCCCTGTCTCATCAAATACTCAGATTGTTCATGGTTGTGAGGACTTTAGACACTGAAATTAGAGTGAAAAAGGAAATCTACAAACCCTTGAGTCAAAATCATAGTTCTCTGAATTTGTCACATCTGCCCAGGTCCAATGTCATGAGAGTAGAATCAGAGTGCCACAGGCATGGCCTGAGACTAGGAAGAGAGCCATGCTCACTGACCCATCCCATGTCTGGGCTTCCAGTTAGAACTAGAGTTTCATTCAACCTACATGTGCCTATAGGTCCTCACTGCAGCAATGACATCTCTCAGCTCAGTAATGGCCACTTGGAGCAGGAATATGATCTTTATATGGAAGACTCAGTGGATCCTTATCACCTTCATAGAAAGGTACTCACCTCCCACGTCAAGAGAAAAGCCAACATGTTTTTCCTCCAATGCATAAAAGGAACTTCCATAGGGCAGGCAGGAGTCAGGCTGTTCAAGACAACTGGAAGGAGTTGAATAACATCTATCCAGTGAGTCCTGCAAGACTTCAGGCTCTACTGCCTCCAGCAGCTCCCTGCTGAGCCTGGAAAAGGAGGAAAAAGTAAAGAATAAGCCAGGGGAAATCAGACACAACAGAGCCCCAACTAGGTTTCATGGGTAGCATAAGGAAGTGGTTGAAAAAGTAAAAGGAGAGATCCATTAATGAGGTAACAAATTATTGCCTTCATGTTGGGACAGAACAGGGCCAAATGGAAAAGAATGAAAGAGAAAGACAGATAGACACACACACACACACACACACACACACACACACACACACACACACACAGAGAATGAGCTCAGTGAATTGTCCAGGTGACACACTGATGAGGGAGTAACAGGACACTCTGAGTTAGTGCCCTCAGGACACACAGCATACAGTGATCAGGAAAGGACTGTGCTCAATAATTTTCCATAAAATGTGCTCAAGTTTCCATGCAGTCGCCATGAGAATACAGTTTTTGAAGTCTGGTCCACCTACAGTAGGTTAGTAAATGATAAGGGGAGGAAGAAATGGAAACCTAAATATCTACTGCAATGAAAACCAACAGCAATGTTAGTAGGAATAATTCAGGCTCGGTTGAAAAGATGTAATCGATAATGTCAGCCCGCCCTGTTTTCCCTGAACCAGGAGTCTCCAGATGTCAACACAGAAGTAGCTGTTCACAATTGCTCAGTTACCTGGGGCATGGTGGGCCTTGGTCTTCTTCCTCTTCCTGGTCCTTTTTAATTCCTGCAATACATTCAGACAGGGACAGACAAAATAAGCCAATTCACCTACACCCGTAACAGTCCACTGTCTAATCCCCACACAGGGATCTCAGGCTCCTCAGCAAGAGAACAGGACAATGTGAGAGATATACTTCAGGAGGCCTGAAAGCTGGTCATGATATTCTTTGGTTTGCATCTCAGAACCAAGGGTGAAATATCCCTATTCTGGTAGATCGTTATCCCAAAATCATTTATCCCAAGTTTGTGCAAACAGTTATGCCTTATTGTTCCCATCAGTTCAAAGACAATGCCCCAGATGATTTCTAGGAGGAAAACTGCAGTATTCAGCCCTGTCTCATCAAATGCCCAGCTCGTTCATGGATGCAAGAATTTTAGACACTGAAATTAGAATGAGGGAGGAAATCTACAAACCCTTGAGTCCAAATCATAGTTCTGTGAATTTTTTACATCTGCCTGGGTCCAATGTGCTGAGAGCGGGCTCAGGTTGCCACAGGCATGGCTGGAGACTAGGAATAGAGCCTTGCTCACTGACCCATTTCATGTCTAGGCTTCCAGCGGAGACTACAGTTTCATTACAACCTATATGCGCCCATAGGTCCTGCCTGCGGCAATGACATCTCTCGGGTCAGTAAGGGCCACTGGGAACAGGAATATCACCCCTATCTGGAAGACCAGGTGGAGGCTTATCACCTTCATAGTAAGGTACTCACTGTCCACGTCAAGAGCCAAGCCAAGGTACTGTTCCTCCAATGAGTGAACAGCACTTCTGTAGGGCTGGCCTAAGTCAGGCAGTTCAAGATAACCTGAAGGAGTCGAATAACATCTATCCAGTGAGTCCTGCAAGACTTCAGGCTCTTTCTCATCCAGCAGCTCCCTGCTGAGCCTGGAAAAGTAGGAAAAAGTAAAGAATAAGCCAGGGGGAATCAGAAACCACACAGCCCCAGCTACATTTCATGGCTAACATAAGGAACTGTTTAAACAGAAAAAGGGCAGATCCATTAATGAGGTAATGAATTATTGCCTTTATGTTGGGATAGACCAGGGCCAGGTAGAAAAGAATGAAAGAGAAAGACAGGGAGAGGGAGAGGGAGAGAGAGACAGAGGAGAAAGTGAGCTCAGCGAATTGGCCGGGTGACACACTGATGAAGGGGTCAAAGGACACTCTGAGTTAGTGCCCTCGGGACACACAGAGAACAGTGATCATGAAAAGAGTGGGCTCAATAATTTTCCATAAACTTGCTTAAGATTCCATGCAGTTGCCATACAGCCTTTGAGGTATGGTCAACCTACAGTAAGTTAGTAAATGATAAGGGGAGGAAGAAATGGAAACCTAAACATCTACTGCAAGGAAAACCAACAGCAATGTCAGTAGGAGTAATTCAACCTTCGTTGAAAACATGAAATTGAACATACTCTTGTTTTCCCTGGACCTGGCATCTCCAGGTGTCAACACAGAATTAAGCATCCATAATTGCTCAAAGTTACCTGGGGCATGATGGGTCTTGGTCTTCTTCCACTTCTTGGTACTTTTCAATTTCTGCAATAAGTTCAGACATGGACAGACATATTAAGCTGGTTCTCCTACACACATAACAATCCACTGTCTAATCCTCACACAGGGACTTCAGGCTCCTCAGCATGAGAATAGGACACTGTGAGAGATCTTCTTCAGGAGGCCTGAAGGCTGATCATGATAGAGATTCCTGGGTTTTTGTCCCAGAAACTGTGGGTAAAATTCCCTATTCTGGTAGATCGTTATCCCAAGATCATTTGTCCTAAGTTTGTGCAAATGGTTATGCCATATTTTTCCAATCGATTTAAAGCAAATGCCCCCAAATGGTTGCTGGGAGAAAAACTGCAATATTCAGCCCTGTCTCATCAAATACTCAGATTCTTCATGGTAGCGAGGATTTTAGACACTGAAATTAGAGTGAAGGATGAAATCTACAAGATCTACAAAATTGAGACAAAATCAGAGTTGTGTGAATTTGTCACATCTGCCCAGATCCAACATCTTGAGAGTAGGATTAGGGTGCCACAGGCATGGCCTGAGACTAGGAAGAGAGCCCTGCTCACTGACCCATCCCTTGCCTGGGCTTCCAAGTGGAACTAGAGTTTCATTCAACCTACATGTGCCTATAGGTCCTCCCTGTGGCAATGACATCTCTCAGCTCAGTAAGGGCCATTTGCAGTAGGAATATGACCCTAACCAGAAGACTCAGTGGATCCTTATCACCTTCATAGAAAGGTACTCACCATCCATGTCAAGAGCCCAGCCAACACGCTGTTGCTCCAATATGTAAAAGGCACTTCTGTAGGGCTGGCATGAGTCAGTCAGTTCAAGATAACCTGAAGGAGTTGAATAACATCTATCCAGTGAGTCCTGCAAGACTTCAGGCCCTTTCTCATCCAGCAGCTCCCTGCTGAGCCTGGAACAGTGGGAAAAAGTAAAGAATAAGCCAGGGGGAATCAGAAACCACACAGCCCCAGCTAGATTTCATGGCTAACATAAGGAAGAGTTTGAAAAGAAAAAGGACAGATCCATTAATGAGGTAACAAATTATTGCCTTTATGTTGGGATAGAACAGGGCCAGGTAGAAAACAATGAAAGAGAAAGACAGAGAGACAGAGACAGAGACAGAGACAGAGAGAAAGTGAGCTAGTGAATTGGCCAGGTGACATACTGGTAAGGGAGTAAAAGGACACTCTGAGTTAGTGCCCTCATGACACACAGCAAACTGCGATCATGAAAAGA
The DNA here is from genome assembly GCF_000001405.40 of Homo sapiens. Lineage (NCBI taxonomy): Eukaryota > Metazoa > Chordata > Mammalia > Primates > Hominidae > Homo > Homo sapiens. The sequence goes on from NW_025791756.1 coordinate 596,671, forward strand.
GTGAGCTCAATAGTTTTCCATAAAATATGCTCAAAATTCGATGCAGTGGCCACGAGAGTACAGCTTTTGAAGTATGGTCATCCTATGGTACGTTAGTAAATGATAAGGGGAGGAAGAAATGGAAACCTAAACATCTACTGCAATGAAAACCAACAGCAATGACAGTAGGAGTAATTCAGCCTTCGTTGAAAACATGAAATCAAACACACTCTGGTTTCCCTGAATCTGTTGCCTCCAGGTGTTAACACAGAATTAAGCATCCACAATTGCTGAAAGTTACCTGGGGCATGGTGGGTTTTGATCTTCTTCCCCTTCTTTTCTTCCCCTTCTCCTTCTTTTCTTCGTTGATCTTCTTCCCCTTCTTTTCTTCCCCTTCCCCTTCTTTTCAATTTCTGCAATAAATTCAGACATGGACAGACACATTAAGCTGATTCCCCTACACACATAACAATCCACTGTCTAATCCTCACACAGGGACCTCAGGCTCCTCAGCATAAGAATAGGAGACTGTGAGAGATATATTTCAGGAGGCCTGAAGGCTGGTCATGATAGAAATTCCTCGGTTTTTCTCCCAGAAACTGTGGGTAAAATGTCCCTATTCTAGTAGATCGTTATCCCAATATCATTTGTCCCGAGTTTGTGCAAACAGTTATGCCATATTTTTCCAATCAATTTAAAGCAAATACCCTCAAATGATTTCTAGGAGAAAAACTGCAATATTTAGCCCTGTCTCATCAAATACTCAGATTGTTCATGGTTGTGAGGACTTTAGACACTGAAATTAGAGTGAAAAAGGAAATCTACAAACCCTTGAGTCAAAATCATAGTTCTCTGAATTTGTCACATCTGCCCAGGTCCAATGTCATGAGAGTAGAATCAGAGTGCCACAGGCATGGCCTGAGACTAGGAAGAGAGCCATGCTCACTGACCCATCCCATGTCTGGGCTTCCAGTTAGAACTAGAGTTTCATTCAACCTACATGTGCCTATAGGTCCTCACTGCAGCAATGACATCTCTCAGCTCAGTAATGGCCACTTGGAGCAGGAATATGATCTTTATATGGAAGACTCAGTGGATCCTTATCACCTTCATAGAAAGGTACTCACCTCCCACGTCAAGAGAAAAGCCAACATGTTTTTCCTCCAATGCATAAAAGGAACTTCCATAGGGCAGGCAGGAGTCAGGCTGTTCAAGACAACTGGAAGGAGTTGAATAACATCTATCCAGTGAGTCCTGCAAGACTTCAGGCTCTACTGCCTCCAGCAGCTCCCTGCTGAGCCTGGAAAAGGAGGAAAAAGTAAAGAATAAGCCAGGGGAAATCAGACACAACAGAGCCCCAACTAGGTTTCATGGGTAGCATAAGGAAGTGGTTGAAAAAGTAAAAGGAGAGATCCATTAATGAGGTAACAAATTATTGCCTTCATGTTGGGACAGAACAGGGCCAAATGGAAAAGAATGAAAGAGAAAGACAGATAGACACACACACACACACACACACACACACACACACACACACACACACAGAGAATGAGCTCAGTGAATTGTCCAGGTGACACACTGATGAGGGAGTAACAGGACACTCTGAGTTAGTGCCCTCAGGACACACAGCATACAGTGATCAGGAAAGGACTGTGCTCAATAATTTTCCATAAAATGTGCTCAAGTTTCCATGCAGTCGCCATGAGAATACAGTTTTTGAAGTCTGGTCCACCTACAGTAGGTTAGTAAATGATAAGGGGAGGAAGAAATGGAAACCTAAATATCTACTGCAATGAAAACCAACGGCAATGTTAGTAGGAATAATTCAGGCTCGGTTGAAAAGATGTAATCGATAATGTCAGCCCGCCCTGTTTTCCCTGAACCAGGAGTCTCCAGATGTCAACACAGAAGTAGCTGTTCACAATTGCTCAGTTACCTGGGGCATGGTGGGCCTTGGTCTTCTTCCTCTTCCTGGTCCTTTTTAATTCCTGCAATACATTCAGACAGGGACAGACAAAATGAGCCAATTCACCTACACCCATAACAGTCCACTGTCTAATCCCCACACAGGGATCTCAGGCTCCTCAGCAAGAGAACAGGACAATGTGAGAGATATACTTCAGGAGGCCTGAAAGCTGGTCATGATATTCTTTGGTTTGCATCTCAGAACCAAGGGTGAAATATCCCTATTCTGGTAGATCGTTATCCCAAAATCATTTATCCCAAGTTTGTGCAAACGGTTATGCCTTATTGTTCCCATCAGTTCAAAGACAATGCCCCAGATGATTTCTAGGAGGAAAACTGCAGTATTCAGCCCTGTCTCATCAAATGCCCAGCTCGTTCATGGATGCAAGAATTTTAGACACTGAAATTAGAATGAGGGAGGAAATCTACAAACCCTTGAGTCCAAATCATAGTTCTGTGAATTTTTTACATCTGCCTGGGTCCAATGTGCTGAGAGCGGGCTCCGGTTGCCACAGGCATGGCTGGAGACTAGGAATAGAGCCTTGCTCACTGACCCATTTCATGTCTAGGCTTCCAGCGGAGACTACAGTTTCATTACAACCTATATGCGCCCATAGGTCCTGCCTGCGGCAATGACATCTCTCGGGTCAGTAAGGGCCACTGGGAACAGGAATATCACCCCTATCTGGAAGACCAGGTGGAGGCTTATCACCTTCATAGTAAGGTACTCACTGTCCACGTCAAGAGCCAAGCCAAGGTACTGTTCCTCCAATGAGTGAACAGCACTTCTGTAGGGCTGGCCTAAGTCAGGCAGTTCAAGATAACCTGAAGGAGTCGAATAACATCTATCCAGTGAGTCCTGCAAGACTTCAGGCTCTTTCTCATCCAGCAGCTCCCTGCTGAGCCTGGAAAAGTAGGAAAAAGTAAAGAATAAGCCAGGGGGAATCAGAAACCACACAGCCCCAGCTACATTTCATGGCTAACATAAGGAACTGTTTAAACAGAAAAAGGGCAGATCCATTAATGAGGTAATGAATTATTGCCTTTATGTTGGGATAGACCAGGGCCAGGTAGAAAAGAATGAAAGAGAAAGACAGGGAGAGGGAGAGGGAGAGAGAGACAGAGGAGAAAGTGAGCTCAGCGAATTGGCCGGGTGACACACTGATGAAGGGGTCAAAGGACACTGAGTTAGTGCCCTCGGGACACACAGAGAACAGTGATCATGAAAAGAGTGGGCTCAATAATTTTCCATAAACTTGCTTAAGATTCCATGCAGTTGCCATACAGCCTTTGAGGTATGGTCAACCTACAGTAAGTTAGTAAATGATAAGGGGAGGAAGAAATGGAAACCTAAACATCTACTGCAAGGAAAACCAACAGCAATGTCAGTAGGAGTAATTCAACCTTCGTTGAAAACATGAAATTGAACATACTCTTGTTTTCCCTGGACCTGGCATCTCCAGGTGTCAACACAGAATTAAGCATCCATAATTGCTCAAAGTTACCTGGGGCATGATGGGTCTTGGTCTTCTTCCACTTCTTGGTACTTTTCAATTTCTGCAATAAGTTCAGACATGGACAGACATATTAAGCTGGTTCTCCTACACACATAACAATCCACTGTCTAATCCTCACACAGGGACTTCAGGCTCCTCAGCATGAGAATAGGACACTGTGAGAGATCTTCTTCAGGAGGCCTGAAGGCTGATCATGATAGAGATTCCTGGGTTTTTGTCCCAGAAACTGTGGGTAAAATTCCCTATTCTGGTAGATCGTTATCCCAAGATCATTTGTCCCAAGTTTGTGCAAATGGTTATGCCATATTTTTCCAATCGATTTAAAGCAAATGCCCCCAAATGGTTGCTGGGAGAAAAACTGCAATATTCAGCCCTGTCTCATCAAATACTCAGATTCTTCATGGTAGCGAGGATTTTAGACGCTGAAATTAGAGTGAAGGATGAAATCTACAAGATCTACAAAATTGAGACAAAATCAGAGTTGTGTGAATTTGTCACATCTGCCCAGATCCAACATCTTGAGAGTAGGATTAGGGTGCCACAGGCATGGCCTGAGACTAGGAAGAGAGCCCTGCTCACTGACCCATCCCTTGCCTGGGCTTCCAAGTGGAACTAGAGTTTCATTCAACCTACATGTGCCTATAGGTCCTCCCTGTGGCAATGACATCTCTCAGCTCAGTAAGGGCCATTTGCAGTAGGAATATGACCCTAACCAGAAGACTCAGTGGATCCTTATCACCTTCATAGAAAGGTACTCACCATCCATGTCAAGAGCCCAGCCAACACGCTGTTGCTCCAATATGTAAAAGGCACTTCTGTAGGGCTGGCATGAGTCAGTCAGTTCAAGATAACCTGAAGGAGTTGAATAACATCTATCCAGTGAGTCCTGCAAGACTTCAGGCCCTTTCTCATCCAGCAGCTCCCTGCTGAGCCTGGAACAGTGGGAAAAAGTAAAGAATAAGCCAGGGGGAATCAGAAACCACACAGCCCCAGCTAGATTTCATGGCTAACATAAGGAAGAGTTTGAAAAGAAAAAGAACAGATCCATTAATGAGGTAACAAATTATTGCCTTTATGTTGGGATTGACTAGGGCCAGGTAGAAAAGGATGAAAGAGAAAGACACACACACACACACACACACACACACACACACACACACACACACAGAGTGAGCTCAGTGAATTGGCCAGGTGACACACTGATGAGGGAGTCAACGGTCATTCTCTATTTGTGCTCTCAGGACACACAGTGAACATTGATCATGAGAAGCATGGCCTCAATAATTTTGCATAAAATGTGCTCAAGTTTCCCTGCAGCCACCATGAGAATACAGCTTTTGAGGTATGGTCAACCTTCACTAGGTTAGTAAATGATAAGGGTAGGAAGAAATGGAAACCTAAACATTTACTCTAATGAGAACCAAAAAGCAATGTAGTAGGCATAATTTAGACTTGTCTGACAAGACAAAATCATTATTTTCAGCATGTACTGTTTTCCCTGGACTTGGCATCTCCAGGTGTCAACATCAAATTAACTGTCCACAATTTCTCAGACTCACCTGGGACCTGTTGCCTCTTGGTCCTCCTTTTTCACTTGATCCCACCGATGTCCTGCAAATAAATTCAGATGGGGCCTCTTACATTAAGCAGTTCTTCCTTGCACACAGAAACATTCCTCTGTCCAATCCTAACACAGGTACATCAGTCTGGTCAGTGTGAGAACAGGAGACTTTGAGAGAAATATTCCAGTAGGCCTGAGGTCAAGTCTTGAGAAAACTGGCTTGGGTTCTTTCATGAGCCTTGGGCAAAATTACCCTGTTTTGGAATGTTATCTTCCCTATGTGCTCTGTCCTAGGTTTGTGTACACAAATGAGCAACTTTTTCTCCAATAAATTGTAGGCAAATAGTTCTAACACCTCATAGGAGAGATACTTCAATATTAAGCTTTCTCTCATCAAATACCCAGAATTTGATAGTTTATGAGATTGTGGACACAGAGATTTGATGAAGGGGTGCAATGTACCAGCTCTTGAGTCAAAATGAAACTTGGTTCTACACAGAAGCATCAGCTATTATGGCTTTTGTGGGTGAAAAGTCAGCCATTTATCTAGAAAACATACCAGGAACATGACGGACAGATGAGCTAAAGCAAGCGAACTTAGAAGACACAGAAAATGGGAATAAATTCAGTGAAACCTGGGCCACATCTTTCACTGAGAGGTAGACAAGGGTGACACTTGCCTCGGGCAGGTAAAGAACCACACAGACATGCTTTGGGAACAAAACTCATAAGGAATTTTGTAGCTGGCAAGAGACATTTAATTCAGATGAGCTGATCTGACAGACAACTCCTGGTCATGTACTGCATAGTTTGGTGTGAGCTTGCCACACCTGCCTTGAGTTCAATGTCGTGACAGTCAGTCCAGGTTGGCACGGGCATGGCCTGAGACTAGGAAGAGAGCAAAGCTCACTCACCCACCCATGCCTGTGCTTCAGACTCGACTCCAGAGTGATTGAAATCTACATTGATATATAGGTTCAGCCCACAGTGATGGCAAATCTCAGCCCAACAAGGGGCACAAGGCCCAAAGATTATGGGGTCTACCTGGGCCATGAACTGGAGCTTTATCACCTTCACAATGGAGTACTCACCGCCTATGTCAACAGCCATGCAGACTTGCTGTTCCTCTAATGAGTGAAATGTGCCGCTGTAAGACTGGTACGAGGCCAACATTTCAGGAGGAATTGAGAGAGTCGAATAACCTTCATCCCAGGACTCCTGGGGGACTTCCTCCTCTTCAGACTCCTGCAGATTCCTGATGAGCCAGGCAGGACAGGGATGATAGAAGATTTAACCAACAGACATTAGACAACAAAACCTCCCAGATGATCTGATGGGAGACAGAATGGAGTGGTCACAGAAACCAAAGGCATTTTTCCTTCAAGAGAAATAAAACTATCCTTCTAAATACAGGGCGGAGGGTGACTGCTCTGGGGACAGAGCAAAAATGGGCAGCATGTGCTCAGTACATTTGCCACAGATGAGCCAACTCAGGGCACCCAGACTCTCCCTGTAAACTACCATCATGACTTGCAGCACAGAGAACTGACACAGGGCTTCAACTACTTTGCATAAATTGGGTTGAATTTTACATGCAGCATTCAAGTGAAGAGAGTTCTTGACGCAGTGCAGACACAGATCTTCTGTATTAAGGGCCCCATTTTCCCAATATTTTGATATAATATATTTACCTTTTCAATTTCTTTTCTTGCAAAAATACTAGCCAACATACTACCAACAAATAGGAAGAAAGCATATATACATCTCTCCCTGGATTTAAACACATGGGAGAGAATAGGCAACACCAAGAAATCTCTGTTTGAGGGTCTGGAGAGGACTTCCAGCAAACTCCAACAGACCTGAAGCTGAGGGACCTGATTGTTAGAAGGAAAACTAACACACAGAAAGGAATAGCATCAACATCAACAAAAGAGACATCCATACCAAAATCCCATCTGTAGGTCGCCATCATCAAAGACCAAGGGTAGATAAAACCACAAAGGTGGGGAGAAACCAGAGCACAAAAGCTGAAAATTCCAAAAACCTGACATCCCTTCTCCTCCAAAGGATCACAGCTCCTCGCCAGCAATGGAACAAAGCAGGATGGAGAATGACTTTGATGAGCTGACAGAAGTAGGCTTCAGAAAGTCGGTAATAACAAACTTCTCTGAGCTAAAGGAGGATGTGCGAACTCATTGCAAGGAAGCTAAAAACCTTGAAAAAAGATTAGACGAATGGCCAACCAGAATGAACAGTGTAGAGAAGACCTTAAATGACCTGATGGAGCTGAAAACCATGGCACGAGAACTACGTGATGCATGCACAAGCTTCAGTAGTCAATTCGATCAAGTGCAAGAAACGGTATCAGTGATTCAAGATCAAATTAGTGAAATGAAGCGAGAAGAGAAGTTTAGAGAAAAAAGAGTAAAAAGAAATGAACAAGCCTCCAATAAATATGGGACTATGTGGAAAGACCAAATCTACGTTTGATTGGTGCACTGAAAGTGATGGGGAGAATGGAACCAAGCTGGGAAACATTCTTCAGGATATTATCCAGGAGGACTTCCCCAACCTTGTAAGGAAGGCCAACATTCAAATTCAGGAAACACAGAGAACACCATAAAGATACTCCTCGAGAAGAGCAACCCCAAAACACATAATTGTCAGATTCACCAAGGTTGAAATGAAGGAAAAAATGCTAAGTGCAGCCAGAGAGAAAGGTCGGATTACCCACAAAGGGAAGCCCATCAGACTAGCAGCAGATCTCTTGGCACAAACCCTACAAGCCAGAAGAGAGTGGGAGCAATATTCAACATTCTTTTTTTTTTTCCATATGTATAGTTTTCCTTTATTATTTTTTGTGTGTATGTATATATATGTATATATATTTTTTAATACTTTAAGTCTTAGGGTACATGTGCACAACGTGCAGGTTAGTTACATATGTATACATGTCCACATTGGTGTGCTTCACCCATTAACTCATCATTTAACATTAGGTATATCTCCTAATGCTACCCCTCCTCCCTCCCCCCACCCTACAACAGGCCCCAGTGTGTGATGTTCCCCTTCCTGTGTCCATGTGTTCTCATTGTTCAATTCCCACCTGTGAGTAAGAACATGCGGTACTTGGTTTTTTGTCCTTGCGATAGTTTGCTGAGAATGATGGTTTCCAGCTTCATCCATGCCCCTACAAAGGACATGAACTCATCATTTTTTATAGCTGCATAGTATTCCATGGTGTATACGTGCCACATTTTCTTAATCCAGTCTATCATTGCTGGATATTTGGCTTGGTTCCAAGTCTTTGCTATTGTGAATAGTGCCGCAATAAACATATGTGTGCATGTGTCTTTACAGCAGCATGATTTATAATCCTTTGGGTATACACCCAGTAATGGGATGGCTGGGTCAAATGCTATTTCTAGTTCTAGATCCCTGAGGAATTGCCACACTGCCTTCCACAATCGTTGAACTAGTTTACACTCCCACCAACAGTGTAAAAGTGTTCCTATTTCTCCACATCCTCTCCAGCATCTTCAACATTCTTAAAGAAAAGAATTTTCAACCCAGAATTTCATATCCAGCCAAACAAAGCTTCATAAGTGAAGGAGAAATAAATCCTTTACAGAGAAGCAAATGCTGAGAGATTTTGTCACCACCAGGCCTGCCTTACAAGAGCTCCTAAAGGAAGCACTAAACATGGAAAGGAACAACCGGTACCAGCCACTGCAAAAACATGCCAAACTGTAAAGACCATTGACGCTAGGAAGAAACTGCATCAACTAACGGGCGAAATAACCAGCTAACATCATAACGACAGGCTCAAATTCACACATAACAATATTAACCTTAAATGTAAATGGGCTAAATGCCCCAGTTAAAAAACACAGAATGGCAAATTGGACAAAGAGTCAAGACCCATCAGTGTGCTGTACTCAGGAAACCCATCTCACATGCAGAGACACACATAGGCTCAAAATAAAGGGATGGAGGAAGATCTACCAAGCAAATGGAAAGCAAAAAAATGCAGGGGTTGCAATCCTAGTCTCTGATAAAACAGACTTTAAACCAACAAAGATCAAAAGAGACAAAGAAGGCCACTACATAATGGTAAAGGGATCAATTCAACAAGAAGAGTTAACTATCCTAAATATATATGCACCCTATACAGGAGCACCCAGATTCATAAAGCAAGTCCTGAGAGACCTACAAAGAGATTTAGACTCCACACAATCATAATGGGAGACTTTAACACCCCACTGTCAATATTAGACAGATCAATGAGACAGAAGCTTTACAAGGATATCCAGGACTTGAACTCAGCTCTCCACCAAGCAGACCTAAAAGACATCTACAGAACTCTCCACCCCAAATCAACAGAATATACATTCTTCTCAGCACCACATCACACTTATTCCAAAATTGACCACATAGTTGGAGGTAAAGCACTCCTCAGCAAATGTAAAAGAATGGAAACCACAACAAACTGTCAGACCACAGTGCAATCAAATTAGAACTCAGGATTAAGAAACTCACTCAAAACTGCACAACTACATGGAAACTGAACAACCTGCTCCTGAATGACTACTGGGAAAATAACAAAATGAAGGCAGAAATAAAGATGTTCTTTGAAACCAATGAGAACAAAGACACAACATACCAGAATCTCTGGGACACATTTAAAGCAATGTGTAGAGGGAAAATTATAGCACTAAATGCCCACAAGAGAAAGCAGAAAAGATCTAAAATTGACACCCTAACATCACAATTAAAATAACTAGAGAAGCAAAGCAAACAAATTCAAAAGCTAGCAGAAGACAAGAAGTAACTAAGATCAGAGCAGAACTAAAGGAGATAGAGACACAAAAAACCCTTCAAAAAATCAATGAATCCAGGGCTGGTTTTTTGAAAAGATCAACAAGAAAACCCTGTTTGGCTAGTTCACCTGGCTCATCTGATGGCAAGTTCCTATCTTGAGAGGACTATGAAATTAAAACCAATACAAGTGCCACAAATAACATACAACATTGTAAATCAGCACAATTTGTAGCTGGGTGAATGGAAGAAATAGTTCTATTCATCACTTCCTCATTTTCCCTAAATCTACAATCTCCAGATGTTACTACTGAATTAACAGCCAACAATTCCACAACATTACCTGGGAGACACTGGCCCTTTTTCTTCCTCTTCCTCATCATCACTTTCATTTTCTGTAAATAAATTCAGAGAAGCAGGTCACATTAAGCAATTCATACTTCACATATGACCAAATCACTGTCCAGTCATAGCACAAGGACATAACTATTCTCAGTGCAAGAATAAGGATTCTGACAGGAATATTCTAGGGTGCCCTAGATTAACTTTGGTGAGAATTAGATGACCCTGCTTTCCAGACCCACAGGCCAAAATCTCCCTCTACGTGTAGACCATAATGCCATATTCCCTGCCTGAGTCAAAGTTAAACAAAATTTTTTCCCCAAAAAAATCTCCAAAAATTGGTCCATTTTCTAAGAGTGTTGCTGCAATACGGACTTATATCACCAGATAACATGGACATTAAATGTTTAGAGGCATCTATACATGAAACACGACTGATAGATAAATTTGAACAACTCTTGCTTTAAAAAGAATCTGTGATTTGGGAGGCCAAGACAGGTGAATCATTTGAGGTCATGAGTTCAGGACTACCCTGGCCAATATGGGGAAACACTGTCTCTACTAAAAATACAAAAATTAGCCAGATGTGATGTTGTGCACCTGTGGTCCCAGCAACTCAGGAGGCTGAGGCAGGAGAATCACTTGAATCTGGGAGGCAGAGGTTGCACCAAGCCAAGATGGTGCAACTGCACTCTAGCCTGGGTGACAGAGCAAGACTCCATCGCAAAAAAAAAAAAAAAAAAAAAAAAAAAAAAAAAAAAAAAAAAAAATCCACGATGCTACAAAGAAACATTGGATCAGCCATTGCATTGACAGGGTGGAGAACCAGGGTCCAGCCTTGCTTTATGGAAATATATCAGCAAAGTAAAGAAGAAAAGTTTCCATCCTGATTTCAGGGTGACTGTGCAGCTAAGCAAGCTGACTTAAAGGAGATCCAGATGAAAGCTGAGAGCAGTGAAGCCTGGGGAACAATATTTCCAAATACAAAGGCAAGGCTGCCAGCTTCCTGAAACAGGCATAGAAACTCCATGGACATTGTTCAGGGACAGATGACTTAATCACAGATGACAAGAGATACTGAATCGAAGCTAGGAGGCCTGACAGATACTGCCTGTGCACCTCCTGCACTCAGGTGACTATGAGATTGTCACACTTGCCTGGGGTCGAGTAACTTGATACTGGGGACTGGCAGACAAAGGCATGACATTAGCTGAGAAGGACAAAAAAACTCCCTGATATCTGTTTAGAAACCCATCATAGTTTTTTATTCAAATGAATTTGTGTTTATAGAGCCTGTCTTCAGAGTTTATCTTCCTCAGCCTAGAGAGAGGTATGAGACACAAGGAAAACAGAGGCTACCTGGGATAATGTGTACAGCATCCTCCCATTCAACATGAGAGGATGAGCCAATGAGAGTTGAGTCGACTTTGTCTTCCTCAAATGTGATTTTGGTTTTCCTATGTGGCTGGTTGGAGTCATAAGGGCCATGGCTATTTGAACAAGTGATGGCACATTCCTCCAGTGAGTCCTCAGGGACTTCCTTTTCTTCAGCCTTCTGCATGTCCCTGATGAGCCAGGTGGGACAGAGATGACAGAAGATTAAACACAGAGGGATTGGACCCCAGGGAGTCCTAGCTGGTTTTGACAGGCGGCATTAAGAGAGTGGTCCCAGAAAGCAAACTGGAGGTTCCCATTAAGAGGGTACATGCAATCCTGTTCTCTCTGCAACAGAGCATGGCTGCCATGGGAACCAGAGAGGAAGAGAGCAGCTGGTGTTCATTGCACTGGACAGATAGGAGCTGAGGAGGATGAAGACTCAGCTATCCCTGTACGGTGCAGACATGACACTCGGCACACATAGAGAAACATGACAGCTGCCGCACCCTGTGTCTAAGCTGGGTTATATTTCACATACTGAGGCCAAGCGAATGCGGGTTTTTGGCCCATCATAGATGCCAGAGAGGGTGTGCCTCCTAGATATTCTTCATATGTTACCATCCATTAATTGTTCCTGAGTATTCAGTGTTACCTGGGGGCAGACGATTTCTGCACTTTCTCAGCCACCTCAACTTGAACATCTTCATCGTCATCGTTGTCATTTTCTGTAAATACAGAAGTGTTCGTTCAGATATTTCCCACTTCACAGTCTGCAAGCACAGTCAGCCCAATGTGCAACAGAGACATGAACATCTAGGTATGGGTCACCGTTCAACTGAAAACTCTCATGTTTTATCTTTAACAGAATGCCCTGGCATGGTTTCCTGATCCATCAGGCAATGCATTTCTGATCTGGAGGGCCACCATCAAGATGTGGCCAAATATTGAAAAGACCTTTTGCTTCCCATATCACTGGAGGCTTGTGCAGCCTCTCTCTGGACTTTGGCAGCTGTCTCCCCCATCCTGCCAGATCTGATTCCCAGGCACAGGCTTGGTGTCCTGTCACAGTTTGCATTTCAAACCTAATTCTTTCTCTTAGAAGCAGACAAACTTGTCCCACAGTCCTCTATGCATCAGAAGATTTCAAGCCTCCAAGTGGCTTCTGCTGTGTTATTCAGGGACATTCTATCCATGGGGAGTGCTCCAGTCTGAAGCACTTCCTACCACGAAACGCCACCACATAAAGTGCCTTCTCCAACATCACACGGCGAGGGGCTTCATCTCATTTTGGAAAGCAGTTTTAAGTGTTCCCACATTTGAATGCTTCAGACCCTTGCAAGAGACAATTTGCCATGGAGAGAGAGAAACTCAGGAAAGACAAGTCATTCACTCACTGACAGTTACTAAGAACATTGCCGAAAAGACAGCCTGGGAACCTTCATTCTTAGTCCAGAGCTCTTTTCACTCTAACAAGCCTGCTCCTATCGCAGCCTCCTTCCTGTCCTTTAAAACTAGACAGATACTGCCTCTTACTCCAAAGACCACCTTCCATCAAGGGAGGAGGGACACTTGCAATACTGTGACCTCCAACCCCATGGGTTTCCCAACTCCGTTCTTACCCAGGAAGTCCTGGTCATGTCATGGCCACATAAGCTTAGTGGAAAAAAACACCATTGATACAACTGTCATTGTGAAAGTATGGAGGTCTGGAGTCTCTCATAAGCCTGGGGTTTTGGGTCATCAGGGCCTATGGCCACCTTACCTGGGCTGAGCTTTTGGACAAGGTGCTGTGCCAGTCTACACCCCTCAGCCAGCTGTTCTTGGAGGTCCTGCCCCTGGGACTTGTCTGGCTCATCCGGAGTGAGGAGGGCCTGGAGATGCTGATTCAATGAGCGGGAGGCATCTCTCCCTTCCCGTAACTTCTCCCTTAACTGGGTCAGCTCTCGTTCCTGAGAGTGAACCAGGACTTTATATTGCCTAAGGTGAGACGGTAGAGAAAATTTAAGAGTGGAAAGGGTTGAGTGATCCGCTCAAATATTGCAACAGAGATTTCTGAGACAATGTCCTCAAGGAGACCTCCAAGCAGAAGGTCAGCACATGTTGGAAGGAATGTCTGTGGCTAAGAGAAAGAATAGAAAATGGTTTACAGGCTTCCTCTGTATCAGAGAGGGCTCCTGCAAGATCCTCGATGATGTTCCATTCATCTTTCCCTTCTGTAAACAAAAGTAGGTGTCTTCCTAATTCCGTTTCAAAAAGACATCCTTTCAGTTCCTCACTCTGGCCATGGACATTTCCATGTGAAAATACACATAGTGCATCTTGCGGCCACTAGATACAAAGCCATGTACAGAAATGAGGCCAGGTGCAGATGGGGCGAATTGAAAAGATGAAAGAAGAAAAGAATGACAGGGTCGAGAAGGCAACATTGATTGAGTGAAAGAATGAGAAGACGCAGTCAGTCAGAAGGTGATTCTCACTAAGGGTAAGTGGGGTGGTGATGGCACACCATTTTGAGTATACTGAATGCTGCTGTGTGGTTCACACTCCTTTGGTTAATTTTGTGTTATGTAAATTTCACATCAACAATTACTTGTTTGAAAAAGAGAAAACAAGGCTCTGAGAAACAACTGCAACCCATAAATTTTTATTATCCTTCTTCTCTGTTTGATAAATATTTGTGTGTAGCGAGCCTGCCATGGCAATTCCTGCCCTTCCCCTGGCCCAGCTTAGTTCTTAAGTCTCCCCACTGAGCTGCTGTACTTCAGAGATTTACACAGCTGCTCCCCCGCCTGCCCCCATGGGGTCCCCTCACCTGAGCTCCTCAGCTTGCTTGAGCTGCTCTGCAAGCTTCTCCTCCTTGAACTGTCGCTCATTCCTCAGCATAGATTTTATGAGGTCTTTGCACTCTTCATATTCTGAGAAAAGACAGACACGCCTGCCTCAGTGGAAGGCTGGACATGCTGCTGTGGTCATTGCCTACAGGGCAGGAGCCAGGTCCATCCCAAGGACAAAACTCTCCCCAGTACCAGGGTCTAGACAGGGATTTCCACATCTTTACTCTTCAGTCTCCTGACTTTCTGGCATCTGATCCTCCAAAATTTAGAGATGAAGAAAGAGAACCTCAAGGGCACATCAAGGAAGTTGACAAGATGATTCAACCACAACGAAGTGGAGTCAGAATTCACAGCCCCTGAGGTCTGACTCTGAATGCGGGGCCACTTTCCCAAGACTTGCAGCCTCTCCTCTAAAACACTGCACTGGGGCATGAAGTAGTGATTTCTTGTACAGTCGGGAAGGCCCCTAGGACTATGGGACTGATGGTTTCCCTTTTACTGGGAATTTCAAGGACAAGTATGCGAAAGATTTTAAAAATCTTTGATTTTTAAATCATATCTTCTGTTATGATTTTAAGAATCATATCTGAAGCATAAAGTGTGACACATAACACCATAAGGCCATGAAGGAAATATGCCCAAATGCTAATAAAGTTTGTGTTAATTTAGAAACAGCAGAATGAAGAACTAATAGATAGTGTTTACTGTGTGCCAATAAATGTTCTAGGAGATTGACAAGAAATAGCTCATGTAATTCACTGCAGCAATTTACAGAGGTAGGTATTATTGTAGTACCCTCTGAACAGGTGAGGAAACTGAGGGACAGAAAAGACAAGCAACTTGGATGGAGCCCAGGAGACAGGCCCACGGTCTCTGCTCTGTACACTGCACTGCTATCTCCACACATTCTCAGGTGCGATCTTTCTTCCTCTTTAGGAACAAGACTCTGTGCCCCAGGAAGCAGGACTTCACTCTCACCAAGCTACATTCTGCTTCTTATTCTTATTTTTATTTATCATTATTAGTATTATTTTTTTAACAGTCTTGCCCTGTCGCCCAGGCTGGAGTGCAATGGCAAAATCTTGGCTCACTGCAACCTCAGCCTCCTGGGTTCAAAGGATTCTCCTGCCTCAGCCTCCTGAGCAGGGGTGATTACAGCCACCTGCCACCATGCCCATCTACTTTTTGTATTTTTAGTGGAGATGGGGTTTCTCCATGTTGCCCAGGCTGGTCTCAAACTCCTGACCTCGTGCTCTACCCGCCTCAGCCTCCCAAAGGGCTGGGATTACAGGAGTGAGCCACCATGCACGGCCCCTACTCCCTGCTCTTGATACTGTCACTTATAGATAGCACAGGTTCTATTAGGAGCAGACTCCTCTTGAAGTCCCTCAGAGCGGGTACTGGCTACTATCACCAAGTTTCCCTCAGAGTCACTAGAACAGAGCTTTGCATATTGGGCCTCAACAGAAACTTGAACTGAATAAAAGTTCACTAGTCTCAGACATTTAGAACAACAGACTAGATGTTATTTGTCTGCAGGATCTTACATGGTACAGAGAGGATTCTTGAAAACATGATTGAACCTCTTGGAGAAAACAGGTCATTCTGTGCCTGTGTCAGAAATCAATAAATGGCAGTTTAACTCTAGTCCCACCCCCACCTGATTGCAAACATGGAAAGTTGCTAAATATTTTGGGACCTCTGTCTTCCAACTTTAACAAAATGTTAAAATACCCATTTCTGTTTTCCTAGAAGTATGGGGAGGATGACATTATTTTAGATGGAGAGAGCACTTAGTTTCTCAGAGAGAAGACAGGACTTCGTTCATCACTTTCGTGATGGTGAGCCTATAGATCTTACTGTATTTGTTCTGCTGGTTGGCCAGGAAGCCGGCCAGTTGAGTTACAAAACATTTCTCTTTGAGGTTTCTGAACTGCTGTTTCTTCTCTGCCAGCTGGGGGCGCAATTTCTCATTCATTTCTAGAATGTTCATCTCTGCCTTCTCGCTGGACAAAGGGCCGGCTGATACCACCATGCTGACGTTTGTGGCAGAAGAGGTGGGGCCAGGGACTGGGGAGAAGAAAGGCAAACACATGATGGGTTAAAAACTGGTGAAATCAAATAGGCTTAATCAGGACTGAGGGATGTCACTGGCAGCCTTGTCTACTTATTTGAAGATGATGTTTCCCTGGTTTCACTCTTGTCATCTCCAGTCTTGATCTCCTTTAAGTCAACTTGTCTTAGCTATGCAGTCACCTTGAAACCAAGACATAAACACTTCTACACTTTTCTTGCTTATAAGTTTCTATAAAGCAAGGCTTGGCCCTAAGATTTTTACCCCATGAGTGGCCAATGTTGCTGTGTAGCACAAAAGGTTTCATTTTGCTTTTTTAATTTTTTTCTTTTTTGGTTTTTTGTTTTTTGTTTGAGACGGAGTCTCACTCTGTCATGCAGGCTGCAGTGCAGAGGCACAATCTCAGCTCACTGCCACCTCTGCCTCCCGGGTTCAAGCGATTCTCATCCCTCAGCCTGCCAAACATCTGGGATTACAAGCGCCAAGTAACATGCCAGCTAATTTTTGTATTTTTAGTAGAGATGGGGTTTCGCCATCTTGGACAGGCTGGTTTCGAACTCCTGACCTCAGGTGGTCCGCCCACCTCGGCCTCCCAAAGTGCTGGGATTAAGATGTGAGCCAGCACCCCTGGTCAGAGACATTTTTTTTTTTTTTTTGAGATGGAGTCTCGCTCTGTCTCCCAGGCTGGAGTGCAGTGGCACAATCTAGGCTCACTGCAGGCTCCGGTTCCTGGGTTCATGCCATTCTCCTGCCACAGCCTCCCGAGTAGCTGGGACTACAGGCGCCCAACACCGTGCCCAGCTAATTTTTTTTTTTTTTTGTATTTTTAGTAACGACGGGGTTTCACCGTGTTAGCCAGGATGGTCTCGATCTCCTGACCTCGTGATCCACCCGCCCCGGCCTCCCAAAGTGCTGGGATTACATGTGTGAGCCACCGCGCCCGGCTGAGACTTCTTATTAATAGCTAAGACAAGCCAATGAAAAGGAGAGAGAGTCTAGCCTGAGAGGAGTGAACCAGGGTGGGAGGATCGTCTCAGCCGATCCTCCCACCTAAGTCTCCTGAGCAGTTGGGACTATAGGCACGCAGCACCATACCTGCCTAATTTTTTGTATTCTTTGTAAAGATGGGTTTCACCATATTGTCCAGGCTGGTCTTCAACTCCTGAACTCAAGTCATCCTCCCACTTGGGCCTTCCAAAGTGCTGTGATTATACGTGTGAGTCACAGCACCTAGCTCCATCCTAGTTTCTGACTAAAACAATATGTGCGTATACAGCCTGTCCTCAGAATTGATCTTCCATAGCCTAGACAGAGGTATGAGACACAAGGAAAATAGAGGCTACCTGGGAGAATGTTTACAGCATCCTGACATTCATCATGAGAGGATTCTCTGTCTACAACCAGAGCTGAGTTGACTTTGTCTTCCTCAAATGTGATGTTGATGTTCTTGTGAGGCTGGTTGGAGTCACAAGGGCCGTGGCTATTTGAACAAGTGATGGCACATTCCTCCAGTGAGTCCTCAGGGACTTTGCTTTCTTCAGCCTTCTGCACCTCCCTGATGAGCCAGGTGGGACAGAGATGACAGAAGATTAAACACAGAGGGATTGGACCCCAGGGAGTCCTAGCTGGTTTTGACAGGCGGCATTAAGACAGTGGTCCCAGAAAGCAAAATGGAGGTTCCCTTTAAGGGGGAACAGGCAATCCTCTTCTCTCTGCAACAGAACATGGCTGCCATGGGAGCCAGAGAGGAAGAGAGCAGCTGGTGTTCAGTGCACTGGACAGATAGGAGCTGAGGAGGATGAAGACTCAGCTATCCCTGTATGGTACAGACATGACACTTGGCACACATAGAGAAATACGACAGCTGCCGCACCCTGTGTCTAAGCTGGGTTGAATTTCACATACTGTGGCCAAGCGAATGCGGGCTTTTGGCCCATCACAGATGCCAGAGAGGGTGTACCTCCTAGACATTTTCATATGTTACCACCCATTACTTGCTCCCGAGTATTCAGTGTTACCTGGGGGCAGATGATTCCAGTACTTTCTCAGCCTCCTCAACTTGAACATCTTCATCCTCATCTTCGTCATTTTCTGTAAATACAAAATGTTCGTTCAGATATTTCCCACTTCACATTCTGCAAGCACAGTCAGCCCAATGTGCACAGAGACATGAACATCTATGTATGGTTCAGCATTGTACTGAAAACTGTCATGTTTTATCTTTCACAAAATGCCCTGGCGTGGTTTCCTGGTCCATCGGGCAATGCATTTCTGATCTGGAGGGCCACCATCAAGATGTGGCCAAATATTGAAAAGACCTTTTGCTTCCCATATCACTGGAGGCTTGTGCAGCCTCTCTCTGGACTTTGGCAGCTGTCGCCCCCATCCTGCCACAGATCTGATTCCCAGGAACAGGCTTGGTGTCCTGTCACAGTTCGCATTTCAAACCTCATTCTTTCTCTTAGGTGAGGACAAACTTGTCCCACAGTCCTCTATGCGTCATGAGACTGCACAGGCCCTCCATGTGGCTTCTGCTGTGTTATTCAGGGACATTCTATCCACGGGGAGTGCTCCAGTCTGAAGCACTTCCTACCACCAAATGCCCCTACACCAAGTGCCTTCTCCAACACCAAACGGAGAGGGGCTTCATCTCATTTTAAAAAGCATTCGTAAGTGTTCCCATATTTGGATGCTTCAGACCCTTTCAAGAGACAATTTGTCTGCCTTTGCAGATGGAGAGAGAGAAACTCTGGAAAGATAAATCACTCACTCACCGACAGTTACTAAGAACATTGCCAAAAAGACAGCCTGGGAACCTTCATTCTTAGCCCAGAGCTCTTTTCACTCCAACAAGCCACCTCCCATCACAGCCTCCTTCCTGTCCTTTAAAACTAGACAGACGCTGCCTCTTGCTCCAAAGACCACCTTCCATCAAGGAAGGAGGGACACTTGCAATACTGTGACCTCCAAACCCATGGGTTTCCCATCTCTGTTCTTACCCAGGAAGTCCTGGTCATGTCATGGCCACATATGTGTAGCAGAAAAAAACCCCACTGATACAACTGTCATTGTGAAAGTATGGAGGTCTGGAGCCTCTCATAAGCCTGGGGTTTTGGGTCATCAGGGCCTATGGCCACCTTACCTGGGCTGAGCTTTTGGACAAGGTGCTGTGCCAGTCTACACCCCTCAGCCAGCTGTTCTTGCAGGTCCTGCCCCTGGGACTTGTCTGGCTTATCCGGAGTGAGGAGGGCCTGGAGATGCTGATTCAATGAGCGGGAGGCATCTCTCCCTTCCCGTAACTTCTCCCTTAACTGGGTCAGCTCTCGTTCCTGAGAGTGAACCAGGACTTTATATTGCCTAAGGTGAGATGGTAGAGAAAATTTAAGAGTGGAAAGGGTTGAGTGATCTGTTCAAATATTGCAACAGAGATTTCTGAGACAATGTCCTCAAGGAGACCTCCAAGCAGAAGGTCAGCACATGTTGAAAGGAATGACTGTGGCCAAGAGAAAGAATAGAAAATGGTATACAGGCTTCCTCTGTATCAGAGAGGGCTCCTGCAAGATCCTCGATGATGTTCCATTCATCTTTCCCTTCTGTAAACAAAAGTAGGTGTCTTCCTAATTCCGTTTCAAAAAGACATCCTTTCAGTTCCTCACTCTGGCCATGGACATTTCCATGTGAAAATACACATAGTGCATCTTGCGGCCACTAGATACAAAGCCATGTACAGAAATGAGGCCAGGTGCAGATGCGGCGAATTGAAAAGACGAAAGAAGAAAAGAATGACAGGGTCGAGAAGGCAACATTGATTGAGTGAAAGAATGAGAAGACGCAGTCAGTCAGAAGGCGATTCTCACTAAGGGTAAGTGGGGTGGTGATGGCACACCATTTTGAGTATACTGAATGCTGCTGTGTGGTTCACACTCCTTTGGTTAATTTTGTGTTATGTAAATTTCACATCAACAATTACTTGTTTGAAAAAGAGAAAACAAGGCTCTGAGAAACAACTGCAACCCATAAATTTTTATTATCCTTCTTCTCTGCTTGATAAATACTTGTGTGTTGCGAGCCTGCCATGGCAATTCCTGCCCTTCCCCTGGCCCAGCTTAGCTCTTACGTCTCCCCACCGAGCTGCTGTACTTCAGAGATTTACACAGCTGCTCCCCCGCCTGCCCCCATGGGGTCCCCTCACCTGAGCTCCTCAGCTTGCTTGAGCTGCTCTGCAAGCTTCTCCTCCTTGAACTGTCGCTCATTCCTCAGCATAGATTTTATGAGGTCTTTGCACTCTTCATATTCTGAGAAAAGACAGACACGCCTGCCTCAGTGGAAGGCTGGACATGCTGCTGTGGTCATTGCCTACAGGGCAGGAGCCAGGTCCATCCCAAGGACAAAACTCTCCCCAGTACCAGGGTCTAGACAGGGATTTCCACATCTTTACTCTTCAGTCTCCTGACTTTCTGGCATCTGATCCTCCAAAATTTAGAGATGAAGAAAGAGAACCTCAAGGGCACATCAAGGAAGTTGACAAGATGATTCAACCACAACGAAGTGGAGTCAGAATTCACAGCCCCTGAGGTCTGACTCTGAATGCAGGGCCACTTTCCCAAGACTTGCAGCCTCTCCTCTAAAACACTGCACTGGGGCATGAAGTAGTGATTTCTTGTACAGTCGGGAAGGCCCCTAGGACTATGGGACTGATGGTTTCCCTTTTACTGGGAATTTCAAAGACAAGTATGCGGAAGATTTTAAAAATCTTTGATTTTTAAATCATATCTTCTGTTATGATTTTAAGAATCATATCTGAAGCATAAAGTGTGACACATAACACCATAAGGCCATGAAGGAAATATGCCCAAATGCTAATAAAGTTTGTGTTAATTTAGAAACAGCAGAATGAAGAACTAATAGATAGTGTTTACTGTGTGCCAATAAATGTTCTAGGAGATTGACAAGAAATAGCTCATGTAATTCACTGCAGCAATTTACAGAGGTAGGTATTATTGTAGTACCCTCTGAACAGGTGAGGAAACTGAGGGACAGAAAAGACAAGCAACTTGGATGGAGCCCAGGAGACAGGCCCACGGTCCCTGCTCTGTACACTGCACTGCTACCTCCACACATTCTCAGGTGCGATCTTTCTTCCTCTTTAGGAACAAGACTCTGTGCCCCAGGAAGCAGGACTTCACTCTCACCAAGCTACACTCTGCTTCTTATTATTTTTATTTATCATTATTATTATTATTATTATTTTTACCAGTCTTGCCCTGTCACCCAGACTGGAGTGCAATGGCAAAATCATGGCTCACTGCAACCTCAGCCTCCTGGGTTCAAAGGATTCTCCTGCCTCAGCCTCCTGAGCAGGGGTGATTACAGCCACCTGCCACCATGCCCATCTACTTTTTGTATTTTTAGTGGAGATGGGGTTTCTCCATGTTGCCCAGGCTGGTCTCAAACTCCTGACCTCGTGATCTGCCCGCCTCAGCCTCCCAAAGGGCTGGGATTACAGGAGTGAGCCACCATGCACGGCCCCTACTCCCTGCTCTTGATGCTGTCACTTATAGATAGCACAGGTTCTATTAGGAGCAGACTCCTCTTGAAGCCCCTCAGAGCGGGTACTGGCTACTATCACCAAGTTTCCCTCAGAGTCACTAGAACAGAGCTTTGCCTGTTGGGCCTCAACAGAAACTTGAACTGAATAAAAGTTCACTAGTCTCAGACATTTAGAACAACAGACTAGATGTTATTTGTCTGCAGGATCTTACATGGTACAGAGAGGATTCTTGAAAACATGATTGAGCCTCTTGGAGAAAACAGGTCATTCTGTGCCTGTGTCAGAAATCAATAAATGGCAGTTTAACTCTAGTCCCACCCCCACCTGATTGCAAACATGGAAAGTTGCTAAATACTTTGGTACCTCTCTCTTCCAACTTTAACAAAATGTTAAAATACCCATTTCTGTTTTCCTAGAAGTATGGGGAGGATGACATTATTTTAGATGGAGAGAGTACTTAGTTTCTCAGAGAGAAGACAGGACATCATTCATCACTTTCGTGATGGTGAGCCTATAGATCTTACTGTATTTGTTCTGCTGGTTGGCCAGGAAGCCGGCCAGTTGAGTTACAAAACATTTCTCTTTGAGGTTTCTGAACTGCTGTTTCTTCTCTGCCAGCTGGGGATGCAATTTCTCGTTGATTTCTAGAATGTTCATCTCTGCCTTCTCGCTGGACAAAGGGCCGGCTGATACCACCATGCTGACGTTTGTGGCAGAAGAGGTGGGGCCAGGGACTGGGGAGAAGAAAGGCAAACACATGATGGGTTAAAAACTGGTGAAATCAAATAGGTTTAATCACACTGAGGGATGTCAGTGGCAGCCTTGTCTACTTATTTGAAAATGTTGTTTCCCTGGTTTCACTCTTGTCATTTCCAGTCTTGATCTCCTTTAAGTCAACTTGTCTTAGCTATGCAGTCACCTTGAAACCAGGACATAAACACTTCTACACTTTTCTTGCTTATAAGTTTCTATAAAGCAAGGCTGGGCCCTGAGATTTTTACCCCATGAGTGGCCAATGTTTCTGTGTAGCACAAAAGATTGCATTTTGCTTTTTTAATATTTTTATCTTTTGGTTTTTTGTTTTTTGTTTGGGACGGAGTCTCACTCTGTCACCCAGGCTGCAGTGCAGTGTCACAATCTCAGCTCACTGCCACCTCTGCCTCCCGGGTTCAAGCGATTCTCATCTCTCAGCCTCCCAGGTAGCTGGGATTACAAGCGCCAACCACCATGCCAGCTAATTTTTGTATTTTTAGTAGAGATAGGGTTTTGCCATGTTGGCCAGGCTGGTTTTGAACTCCTGACCTCAGGTGATCCGCCCACCTCGCCCTCCCAAAGTGCTGGGATTAAGATGTGAGCCAGCGCCCCTGGCAGAGACCTTTTTTTTTTTTTTTGAGATGGAGTCTCGCTCTTTCGCTCAGGCTGGAGTGCAGTGGTACAATTTCGGCTCACTGCAAGCTTCCCCTCCCGGATTCACGCAACTCTCCTGCCTCAGCCTCCCAAGTAGCTGGGACTACAGGCGCCCAACACTGCGCCCAGCTAATTTTTTTTTCTATTTTTAGTAGAGACAGGGTTTCACCGTGTTAGCCAGGATGGTCTCGATCTCCTGACCTCGTGATCCACCCGCCCCGGCCTCCCAAAGTGCTGGGATTACATGTGTGAGCCACCGCGCCCGGCCGAGACTTCTTATTAATAGTTAAGACAAGCCAATGAAAAGGAGAGAGAGTCTAGCCTGAGAGGAGTGAACCAGGGTGGGAGGATCGTCTCAGCCGATCCTCCCACCTAAGTCTCCTGAGCAGTTGGGACTATAGGCACGCAGCACCATACCTGCCTAATTTTTTGTATTCTTTGTAAAGATGGGTTTCACCATATTGTCCAGGCTGGTCTTCAACTCCTGAACTCAAGTCATCCTCCCACTTGGGCCTTCCAAAGTGCTGTGACTATACGTGTGAGTCACAGCACCTAGCTCCATCCTAGTTTCTGACTAAAACAATATGTGCATATACAGCCTGTCCTCAGAATTGATCTTCCATAGCCTAGACAGAGGTATGAGACACAAGGAAAATAGAGGCTACCTGGGAGAATGTTTACAGCATCCTGACATTCATCATGAGAGGATTCTCTGTCTACAACCAGAGCTGAGTTGACTTTGTCTTCCTCAAATGTGATGTTGATGTTCTTGTGAGGCTGGTTGGAGTCACAAGGGCCGTGGCTATTTGAACAAGTGATGGCACATTCCTCCAGTGAGTCCTCAGGGACTTTGCTTTCTTCAGCCTTCTGCACCTCCCTGATGAGCCAGGTGGGACAGAGATGACAGAAGATTAAACACAGAGGGATTGGACCCCAGGGAGTCCTAGCTGGTTTTGACAGGCGGCATTAAGACAGTGGTCCCAGAAAGCAAAATGGAGGTTCCCTTTAAGGGGGAACAGGCAATCCTCTTCTCTCTGCAACAGAACATGGCTGCCATGGGAGCCAGAGAGGAAGAGAGCAGCTGGTGTTCAGTGCACTGGACAGATAGGAGCTGAGGAGGATGAAGACTCAGCTATCCCTGTATGGTACAGACATGACACTTGGCACACATAGAGAAACACGACAGCTGCCGCACCCTGTGTCTAAGCTGGGTTGAATTTCACATACTGTGGCCAAGCGAATGCGGGCTTTTGGCCCATCATAGATGCCAGAGAGGGTGAGCCTCCTAGACATTTTTATATGTTACCACCCATTACTTGCTCCTGAGTATTCAGTGTTACCTGGGGGCAGATGATTCCAGTACTTTCTCAGCCTCCTCAACTTGAACATCTTCATCCTCATCTTCGTCATTTTCTGTAAATACAAAATGTTCGTTCAGATATTTCCCACTTCCCATTCTCCAAGCACAGTCAGCCCAATGTGCACAGAGACATGAACATCTATGTGTGGTTCAGCATTGTACTGAAAACTGTCATGTTTTGTCTTTCACAAAATGCCCTGGCATGGTTTCCTGGTCCATCGGGCAATGCATTTCTGATCTGGAGGGCCACCATCAAGATGTGGCCAAATATTGAAAAGACCTTTTGCTTCCCATATCACTGGAGGCTTGTGCAGCCTCTCTCTGGACTTTGGCAGCTGTCTCCCCCATCCTGCCACAGATCTGATTCCCAGGAACAGGTTTGGTGTCCTGTCACAGTTCGCATTTCAAACCTCATTCTTTCTCTTAGGAGAGGACAAACTTGTCCCACAGTCCTCTATGCGTCATGAGACTGCACAGGCCCTCCAAGTGGCTTCTGCTGTGTTATACAGGGACATTCTATCCATGGGGAGTGCTCCAGTCTGAAGCACTTCCTACCACCAAATGCCCCCACATCAAGTGCCTTCTCCAACACCACACGGAGAGGGGCTGCATCTCATTTTGAAAAGCATTCGTAAGTGTTCCCATATTTGGATGCTTCAGACCCTTGCAAGAGACAATTTGTCTGCCTTTGCAGATGGAGAGAGAGAAACTCTGGAAAGATAAATCACTCACTCACTGACAGTTACTAAGAACATTGCCAAAAAGACAGCCTGGGAAACTTCATTCTTAGCCCAGAGCTCTTTTCACTCCAACAAGCGACCTCCCATCACAGCCTCCTTCCTGTCCTTTAAAACTAGACAGATGCTGCCTCTTGCTCCAAAGACCACCTTCCATCAAGGAAGGAGGGACACTTGCAATACTGTGTCCTCAAACCCCATGGGTTTCCCATCTCTGTTCTTACCCAGGAAGTCCTGGTCATATCATGGCCACATATGCGTAGCAGAAAATAACCCCACTGATACAACTGTCATTGTGAAAGTATGGAGGTCTGGAGTCTCTCATAAGCCTGGGGTTTTGGGTCATCAGGGCCTATGGCCACCTTACCTGGGCTGAGCTTTTGGAAAAGTTGCTGTGCCAGTCTACACCCCTCAGCCAGCTGTTCTTGCAGGTCCTGCCCCTGGGACTTGTCTGGCTCATCCAGAGTGAGGAGGGCCTGGAGATGCTGATTCAATGAGCGGGAGGCATCTCTCCCTTCCCGTAACTTCTCCCTTAACTGGGTCAGCTCTCGTTCCTGAGAGTGAACCAGGACTTTATATTGCCTAAGGTGAGACGGTAGAGAAAATTTAAGAGTGGAAAGGGTTGAGTGATCCGCTCAAATATTGCAACAGAGATTTCTGAGACAATGTCCTCAAGGAGACCTCCAAGCAGAAGGTCAGCACATGTTGAAAGGAATGACTGTGGCCAAGAGAAAGAATAGAAAATGGTTTACAGGCTTCCTCTGTATCAGAGAGGGCTCCTGCAAGATCCTCGATGATGTTCCATTCATCTTTCCCTTCTGTAAACAAAAGTAGGTGTCTTCCTAATTCCGTTTCAAAAAGACATCCTTTCAGTTCCTCACTCTGGCCATGGACATTTCCATGTGAAAATACACATAGTGCATCTTGCGGCCACTAGATACAAAGCCATGTACAGAAATGAGGCCAGGTGCAGATGGGGCGAATTGAAAAGACGAAAGAAGAAAAGAATGACAGGGTCGAGAAGGCAACATTGATTGAGTGAAAGAATGAGAAGACGCAGTCAGTCAGAAGGTGATTCTCACTAAGGGTAAGTGGGGTGGCGATGGCACACCATTCTGTGTATACTGAATGCTGCTGTGTGGTTCCCACTCCTTTGGTGAATTTTGTGTTATGCAAATTTCACATCAACAATTACTTGTTTGAAAAAGAGAAAACAAGGCTCTAAGAAACAACTGCAACACATAACTTATTATTATCCTTGTTCTCTGATAAATATTTGTGTGTCATGAGCCTGCCATGGCAATTTCTGCCCTTCCCCTGGCCCAGCTTCGTTCTTACTTCTCCCCGCCGAGCTGCTGTACTTCAGAGATCTACACACCTACCCGCCTGCCTCCCCCCACGGGGTCCCCTCACCTGAGCTCCTCAGCTTGCTTGAGCTGCTCTGCAAGCTTCTCCTCCTTGAACTGTCGCTCATTCCTCAGCATAAATTTTATGACGTCTTTACACTCTTCATACTCTGAGAAAAGACAGACACACCTGCCTCAGTGGAAGGCTGGACATGCTGCTGTGGTCACTGCCTACAGGGCAGGAGCCAGGTCCATCCCAAGGACAAAACTGTCCCCAGTACCAGGCTCTAGGCAGGGATTTCCACATCTTTACTCTTCAGTCTCCTGACTTTCTGGCATCTTATCCTCCAAAATTTAAAGACGAAGAAAGAGAAACTCAAGGCACATCAAGGAAGTTGACAAGATGATTCAACCACAACGAAGTGGACTCAGAACTCACAGCCCCTGAGGTCTGACTCTGAATGCGGGGCCACTTTCCCAAGCCTGGCAGCCTCTCCTCTGAAACACTGCACTGGGGCATGAAATAGTGATTTCTTGTACAGTCGGGAAGGCCCCTAGGACTATGGGACTGATGGTTTCCCTTTTACTGGGTATTTCAAGGACAAATATGTCAAGGACTTTAAAACATTTCATTTTTAAATCATATATTCAGATATGGTTTTAAGAATCATATCTGAAGCATAAAGTGTGAGACAGAAGACAATAAGGCCATGAAGGAAATATGCCCAAATACTTTATTAGTATGACAGGCAGCATCAAGATTTAGATTAGTTGTGTTAATTTAGAAACAGCATAAGATTAGTTTGTGTTAATTTAGAAACATCAGAATGAAGAACTAATAGATAGTGTTTACACTGTGCCAATTAATGTTCAAGGAGATTGACAGGAAATACCTCATGTAATTCATTGCAGCAATTTACAGAGGTAGGTATTATTGTAGTACCCTCTGAACAGATGAGGAAACTGAGGGACAGACAAGACAAGCAACTTGGATGGAGCCCAGGAGACAGGCTGAGGGTCCCTGCTTTGCACACTGCACTGCTGCTTCCACACATTCTCGGGTGTGATCTTTCTTCCTCTTTAGGAACAAGAGCCTGTGCACCAGGAAGCAGGACTTCACTCTCACCAAGGTACTCTCTGCTTTTTATTTTTATTTTTGTTTGATTTATCTTTTTGTTTGTTTGTTTTTTGACGAGTCTTGCCCTGTCACCCATGCTGGAGTGCAATAGTGCAATCTTGGCTCACTGCAACATCTGCCTGCTGGGTTCAAAGGATTCTTCTGCCTCAGCCTCCCGATTAGTGGTGATTACAGTTGCCCGCCACGACGCCCATCTACTTTTTGTATTTTTAGTGGAGATGGGGTTTCTCCATGTTGCCCAGGCTAGTCTCAAACTCCTCACCTCGTGCTCTGCCCGCCTCAGCCTCCCAAAGTGCTGAGATTACAGGAGTGAGCCACGTTGCACGGCCCCTACTCCCTGCTCTTGATGCTGTCACTTATAGATAGCACAGGTTCTATTAGGAGCAGACTCCTCTTGAAGTCCCTCAGAGCAGGTACTGGCTACTATCACCAAGTTCCCCTCAGAGTCACTAGAACAGAGCTTTGCCTGTTGGGCCTCAACAGAAACTTGAACTGAATAAAAGTTCACTAGTCTCAGACATTTAGAACAACAGACTAGATATTATTTGTCTGCAGGATCTTATATGGTACAGAGAGGATTCTTGAAAACATGATTGAGCCTCTTGGAGAAAACAGGTCGTTCTGTGTCTGTGTTAGAAATCAATAACTGTGAGTTTAACTCTAGTCCCACCCCCACCTGATTGCAAACATGGAAAGTTGCTAAATACTTTGGTACCTCTGTCTTCCAACTTTAACAAAATGTTAAAATACCCATTTCTGTTTTCCTAGAAGTACAGGAAGGATGAAATTATTTTTGATGGAGAGAGCATTTAGTGTCTCAGAGAGAAGACAGGACATCATTCATCACTTTCATGATGGTGAGCCTATAGATCTTACTGTATTTCTTCTGTCGGTTGGCCAGGAAGCCGGCCAGTTGAGTTACAAAACATTTCTCTTTGAGGTTTCTGAACTGCTGTTTCTTCTCTGCCAGCTGGGGGCGCAATTTCTCATTCATTTCTAGAATGTTCGTCTCTGCCTTCTCGCTGGACCAAGGGCCGGCTGATACCACCATGCTGACGTTTGTGGCAGAAGAGGTGGAGCCAGGGACTGGGGAGAAGAAACCCAAACATATGATGGGTTAAAAACTGGTGAAATCAAATAGGTTTCATCAGGACTGAGGGATGTCAGTAACTGAAATTCTTAACTTACTGTTGTGAAAAATGTGATCACTCCCCACAGCACTTTAGGATCCTTCACCACAAAAACAAGGTTCGAGGTGCCTGAACTCAGAGCTGAAAGCACTGCCAGTAGCTCAGACTCTGATAAGAGTGAGGTAGACTGTGGCCAGCGTGCCAGGTAACCGTCTGCAGTTGCAATAACAGAATTAGAAGGTGGGGGTGTCATGGAATCTTAGGAGCCCTGCATTCCAATTGCCCAGGCTTTCCTGAAATACAGGCACCCTAGTCTCACCTGAGGGTCACCACCAATGGGGATCATTCCTTCAGCATTCACTCTCAGTATTCGTGTACCCTTGTGATGATGCCACAGACCCGTGTCTTTCCCAATACATCTAAGCATATTCCTCACTGTTTATCTCTTGTCTGTACAACATCATCAAGGCAGAAACAGTTTCCCAACAGGTTGTATTTTCTTAATGGTAGTCATGAAGTCACCCCACCTGCTCTCAGTTAAAACAGAGCTTAAGGCTTTTCCACAGGTGTAAGATATCAAACTTTTAGCCTGCCCTGATTTCCTCTGGGTCTTCTGCAGTTTTGTCTGTATCCACTAGAAAGTGAATGAATAATTCATTTGTAAAAAATGTTGTCTTTCCTGTCTCAGTATTCTTCTTGCTGTTTCCCATTGTTATGTTGATTTCTTTTTTCTCACTGGGCCACCATCTTTGCTTTTCATTACACTCTAGACCAGTTTGACATCCCTATGTCCAGAGCTCTTCCTCTATGTGGGTTGATTTGGTTTTTGATGTCACTGAGCGCTACATTTTATACTTGTCACTTATGGATGTCATTCTAGTGTCACAAGAGCTCTTTTCAAGGTATCAAGTGATCAAAATCATTTATATAGAGATCTCCTGAAAACAGGTGTGACCATCTATCTTGGGAAGTTTCATAAACCTGATGCTATTTTGTTGTTTCCATTTTGTTTTCCCATATACTGAAAAGAACAGGGCCATGAGCGGTTCTTATGCAATATGGTTTGATATATATTTTGTTCAGATGACCTAACACCATTGATTTTGGGTTGCATTCCACTAACAGAACATGGCAAGATCAAGGTTATGGTCACGGTTGGTTGGTGATCCTCAGTGTTGCAGTAGAAGGTGAGTTTGAGATGAGAGGAATGAGTAGGAAAGAGTGATCCCCTGAACCACCTCCTCGCTTTCTCAGCTTTCATCCCCACCTAGGTTTTGTGAGCCTGGAACTTGGGAGACTGTTCTGTAGCCCAGGTCTCCTAAGATTGGCTGCTGGACTTGCCTGAGTTGAGGGTGCGGTGGGTTGACCCTGGGCTGCCCAGCATTCATGTGGTAGTGAAGGAAGGAGGACTGGATCAATCCCATTTCAAAGCATGTCTCTCTGCACTCCACACTGTCCTCCAATGACACTGTAAGGAAACCGCTTTAAGACGTATCAACGGCTTTAAGTAAATGTATTTTCTGGCATCTGGGAGACCTGACATTCTGTGTCATAATGAAAATCTGTCATGTTTCTTTATTTTAAAAATGATAAAACTGCAGGTTCACAGAGTTACATGGCTTACTTGAGGTCACACGGGGATGAGTTTTCAGCACTGCCAATAAAAGCAATCACATGAATTATTCAGTAATTATTCATAGGATCCATATAATTCAGTAAATATTCACATAATTATTTACTAGTTGTTCATTGACCAATTCGTACAAGGCATTTTGCTCAAAACTGAGCTTATATTTGGACATTGTATCTTCATCATAATCCTGTGGTAATGCTATTATCCGTAAGTAACAGGTAAGAAACCTGAAGAGGAGGGATAGCAAATCATGTATTTGGACATATTTCCATTTTTTTTTTTTTGGTTTTTGTGATGCTGGAAGAATGACCAGAATGAGTCATAGGAAGAGTATACATTCCTGTAGTATTTTGCAGGACAGAGGTGTGACCTCCTAGAGTACTGGGACCAAAATTCCCAAGTGTCTGCAACCTTGCTTTAACAGTATGGGAGATCACCTCTATCACCTGGAATTCCCCTGGAACTCTGGAATATACAAGAGAAGTATGAGACTTGGGTCTTCCCTTGGCTGTGTTTAATTCACTCTTCTATGGAATACCAATGATTCTCACTAAGACTTTGGCCTTTTCATAAGCACAATGTGCATTTTATGGAGAAGATTTTACACTTTGCTCTATTTAGAAAGAATAAATATGAGCAGTGGTTTAGGTTTTATGCCCTGGACTTAATATGTTTCTGATTCCTGTTTTGAGATTAAATTCTCATGTAAATAGAAAAATACTTATTATTTCTCATAAGGCCAAGTTTGTTATTAGTTTGAGTTTTTGAAGATGAAGCACAAACTTTTGATTTTATCTTTGTCTGTCTCTGTCAGCGCCACTCGTTGTCTCTCAGTATGACCTGGACTTGCCCCTGCACTTACCCTTGTCCTGCTGAACCATCTCCATGCACTGTCCAATTCCATCAGTGATTCGGGCTCCTTCCAAGGCTCCCTGAAAAGGGCACAGAGATCAGGACATTAGGCACATTCCGGACACAAAGGCAACCCATACTGTAGAGTGGGCAGCTGTGTTTCCACTTCCCTAATATTCCAGTGATGTCCTCAAACTGAAAGGAACACTTTCCCTTTTTAGGGGTCTGTTCTTCATGTCTCAGTGCCTCTGATCTAGTCAACACAACTGTCCTGAATGTGAAAGAACTTGCTAAATTTCTAGTTTCTTGTTAGGTGGCTAAAATAGATTTATAAGACTTCCTTACTTACCCATGACTGCTGAAGTTTGAATTCTTAGCAGTACGATTCGTTTTCTTGTAAGGTGAGCAGCTTAGGAAAGATTGGCCATCTTCCTGTGCAAAAAGAGGCAAACTTAATTTCTACTCAAAGCATGCTTGAATTTGGAATCAGGGCTTCCACTCTTCCGAAGTTGGAGTGTCACTGCGACAGGCATGTGTCCCGAAGGGCTCGTGTCTCTGCTATACTCAAAGTTTAAATGGAGCCCAGCAAGCCAGATGTCCTTTACTTCTAGGTTCCCTCAACAGTTTCTCCTCCGCTTTAGAGACCGCATTGAAAATATTCTTGTTCTGCTGTTGTGTTTTGGCTTTGGAATGATGTGATGCAGCTCAATGGGTCCCACCCCCAACTTGATCAAAGTAAGAAACAGCTGGGAAAGTCAGTGCAAATACAAGTTCATTGTCCTC